>NC_000011.10:111414848-111717879 GCF_000001405.40 Homo sapiens
AAACTTGAAGCCTGAAGTCGCTGGAGATACCAACACCTTCCCCAGCTGTAGGGGGGTCGGGGGAGATGAGCACTTAACAGAAAACAAAATTTGCAGGTCTTTGGGGAGGCTGGGGAGAGGGAAGAAGACTGCTCTGGAAAACACAGAAGGAGAATAAAAGACAGAAACAGTTAAAAAGAATAAATGACTATGAGCACAAACTCTGCTACCTGGCTTCAAAATGGGATTGCAGTTGCAAGATGGCCCCAAGATATGAACTAACTCCTCTGGGACCCAGATCGAAGCCCAGGTGGCAACTGCACCTGCCTCACCCAGTGCAGAACACAGAATTAGTCCTGCTCTGCAAAGCCCTGTTATTGGCTTACTGTTACCAGTGACCCCCGCCTCCCCTGCAACCCAAAAGGACGGAAACCTAATTTTGATCACTTTTCCCTCCTCCAAAGCTGCTTCTCCTTCATTCCTCTACAGACCCCCTTATATTGTAAACTGGCAGCTGATAATACCATTCACTTTCAAACCAATGTTTACTGAGAAGTCAGAGGAAGTGAATATAAAAGATAGGGCTTGCAAAGACAGAGGGCAAAAGAATTGGAGATTTCTTCTTCTATTTGAAAGCATCATGCCCTCCTGACCTAGGTCCCAGAGACCAGGCTAGAGAGAGAAAGAGAGACACTGAGGTTCCTGGTGTATCTCCTGATGTGCAAAATGGCAGGAGGAGGAGGCTGGTATTGCTTATGGCCCCACGTGACCTAAGGATGGCCTTTCCCAATGGTGAGCCCAACAGCCTCCCAGAGAATCAGGCCTCCAGAGCAGAGCTGGGAGGGGAAGACATGGCAGCCCTGGAGGCTGGGCCTACGGGGTGGGGGAAAATTAGAGGAGCCAGAGACCCACAGTTTAGAAATACAGTGGAGGTCAGGTGCAGTGGCTCATGCCTGTAATCTCAACACTTTGCAAGCCTGAGACAGGAGGATCCTTTGAGCTCAGGAGTCTGCCATCAGACTGGACAATATAGCAAGACTGTCTCTACTAAAAATCAAGAAAAAAAAATAGCTGGGTGCAGTGGCACACACCTATAGTCCCAGGTACTCGGGAGGCTGAGGCAGGAGGATCACTCGAGCCTAGGAGGTCGAGGCTGCAGGGAGCCAAGATCACACCACTGCACTCCAGCCTGGGCAACAGAGTGAGACCTTGTCTGAAAAAAGAAAAGAAAAGAAATACAGTGGAACATGGCAGCTCCTTTGTTGTTAAGTTCCAGGATATTTTTCATTCTGGGCAGCCTAAGGTGTCTTTAGCTGTTAAGGAGAAAGAGCTTGGAGGATGTGGGGAAGGGAAAGCTGGGGTACTACTGAGGGTTGAGCCTGATAGGGGGATGGAGTTGCCTGGACTGAATTTTCAGGGCCTTCATCAGTTCCTTTTCTGTCCCCTGGAAAACAAACTGGGCCTCTCTTCCTCTCTCTCCCTCTCTTTCTCTCTCTCTCCCTCTCTCGTTTTCTCACTCTGGCTCACACACACACACCTTTTCTTGATTAGATCGTTACATTCAATCCTAGGTAGGTGTGCCTCTAATTTCGGGTCCCCAAGCATACACACCCCAGACCTCAGGGGACTTTGGCTTCCTGAGGTCAGGTCGGAGCACAAACAGATCTGAAACGCCGTTAGTCACATCATGGAAGGGAGTGAGTTGGGTGCTTCAGGTAGATCCAGAGTACACCTTGGCTCTCACTCGTTATTATTTCTTAACAGTGTGAAACCCCCAGGACATCCCGACAGCGTCTGTCCTGGGTGGGCCAATGTGAGCAGAGAGCACGGGCTTTGAGGCTGGAGCCCCTGCATTTGTATTCTGGCTCCACCGCCTACCCTGTCACCGTGAGAAAGCGGTTTGACTTCTCTCAATCTCCTTTTCCCCTAGGTAGGAAAGGGACAGTAATGGTCCTTAGTAGGACTGAATGAGATACTGTGTAGGCCCAGCACGGTGCCTGAGCAGATGAAAAACTCAATAACTCATAGTCATTCTTACTTTTAACAGCACTTCCATTATCATTGTTATCCTCCAGGTCAGGAGCCACGCTGGGCCTGCGGTGAATTTTCTTAGAGTAGATTTTTAAGGGAGCCGGTCCCCAGCTCTTTCCAGAATCCCCAGAAGCTATTAAGGTTGTCTGTGTACATCCAGTTTGCCATGTTTAGTTAAACTTTGAGGGACTCACGCCCCAGTGCAGCCCACGGGGTTTTTGCAGAGCTGATGACTAATATTTTGTAGAGAGTCTGATGACTCCAATACACCTGCCTTATGTCCCTGGGTCTGAAACAGCTTTCTTAATAGACTGAGAGATTCACTACAAGGACTCTCCTTTGTCAACATTTTACCAGCCCTGATGAAGGATTAAAAATTATGTTAACCAGCAGTTCTGACTTGGCTTCTGTCAGTCACAGCTTCGCATGGCTGCACTTGCTTCTCTCTTCCTCTTCCTCTTCCTGTCCCCTCTTTGCTGATCTGGACTCAGCCTGGTATTCTTGTCACAAGGTCATCGCCTAGGTGAGCTCAGCTCAGCGTGAAACAAAACAGCTCATCTGAAGGCACCACACAGTCCGTACTGGGAGGAGGGGACCCTCCTCAATCCCCTGCCTTCTCACAAGTGGGCTCTTTTGGTTCCATCTTGCAAAAGCTGGGCAGAAAGAATTTTAATCTGAGCTCTCGGAGCCCTTGGACACAGGGACAGCATGAACTGCCCCTAATTCCTTGGGTGCTGGGTGGTCTGCAATCACTCCCTCATAGCACTGTCTGAGGGCTGACCACTCAGCTTGCAAAGATATCTAGGCACAATTTGTTTTCAAAAGGCTTGCATGTTTGTTATTTTTTGAACTTTGGCTTTAGATCAGTTTGGGTGTTCTCCAGAGAACAGCCACTCTGCTTCGGCATTGAAGCGTTCTCTCACTCACGCTCTCCTCCCTACTCCCAAGTGTCTTGAATCACTGCTGCATTGCAGGTTCATGCATCTGGACTGTTTTCATGTTCTTGGGGCATGGCGTCTATTTTATAAACACACGGTCAGTTTACACTGCCTGGGAACTTAGGGGATTTCCTCTCTGTGGGAAACAGCTGTGAGGAGCTTGACCAAACTTGGCTTTGTGGAGAGTAAGACGTCGCCTCTGATCATCCACGTGGGGCAGCTGCACTGGCTGTGTTCCTGTTGTTATGCCTGAGGATTCTCCTAGAAATCTAAGCTAAGAAGGGAAGCTCATTATGCTCTCCTCCCTGGTTTCCAGTTTAGTTGTTCATGAGTGATTTTGCATATCATAAAACCCCATGTCTGTTCACCTTCACGCCGTCTGCCAGCAGCACCTTAAGCCATCTGACTGCTGTGGGACCTCTGAGGCCACAGAATTATGGCATCATGAAGCTGGAAGGGACTTTAAGAGAGCCATTCGCCCAACACATTAGATGAGCACTTATTATGTGCAAAGTGCTGTGCTAGATGCCATGGGTGAAGGAAGGTGAGAAAGACCCAGCCTCTGTCCTCAAAGAACTGACAGACTTTAGGCTTGGCCATCATCATCACAAAGCATTCTGTGACCTTCTTCTTCAGGTGGGCTCAAGGTGTCCTCCTTAGTTCATGCCCCCTGCTGAGCACTATCACAGCACCTCCTATGCTGCAGTGAAGTGATCCTCATGTCTGTCTTCCGCATAGAATGTGAGCTTCCAGAGGGCGGGACCAACGATGCTGGGTGACATGGAGATTCTGCAGCGCCTATCATAAGGTTTTCATAAAGGGGAAATAAGATTAAGAGTAGAAACACTCTATTTACTAGCTACTTAGGCTAACCACCAAAACCAGAGGAGGTTGGTAGCTCCCTGAAGCAGAAAGAACTAGAGAAGCCAAAGGGATACCACCAACCTTGAGAGTCCATGAAGAAGCTGGGAAAACCGGAAGCATCTAAGCCACCGTTCTCTTGGCCCTTCTGCAAACCCTCTCTGCCACGTCTGCAGGAGTTTGTTTTAGTTCACTAGGGCTGCCAAAACAAAGTACTGACTGGATGGCTTAAAGAACAGAAATTTACTTCCTCACCATTGTGGAGACTGCAAGTCCAAGGTCAAGGTGTCAGCGGGGTTGTTTCTTCTGGGAGCTCCTCTCCTTGGCTTCCAGATGGCCGCCTTCTCTCTTTGTCTTCATATGGTCTTCCCTCTATACCTATCTGTGTCCTAATCTCTTCTCATAAGGACACCAGTCATATTGGATTAGGGCCTACTCATATGACCTCATTTTACCTAAATAACCTCCTTAAAGACCTTATCTCCAAATAGAGTCATATCCTGAGGTACTGGGGATTAGGAAGTCAACCTATAAACTTGGAGGAGAAGAAGGAGGCTGCACAATTCAGCCCATGACAGAAGTTAACACTGATGCTCAGAGAAGTGCCAGTGAGTCCCTGATAAAAGCTACAGCCAATCAGTTCAGGAACCAAGAATTAGGCCTGTAACTGCCTTCCTTCTTGGCTGACTGACAACCCTAGAGATACAAAGCTTCATCCAGCACTGGTAACCGAACTTAACTCTATTTTGCCACCACCACTTCCTGTACGTGCCCCTCGCCCCTTGGCCTCCCCACAGCACTGGTGCTACCTGAGGTGTCTGTATTTGAGCCAAAGGCAAGAGAAGGTGTCAATACGGAAGAGAGAAAGAAACATGTCTCCCTTGGGACTAGGGTGGGAAATGACAAGGATGGAGGCAACTTCCAAGGAGAACCACTGGCTCGCTTCCCAAGCTCATAAGCAGAACATAGAAAAAAGGTCCAAATGCCCTGGCTAGATGGAAGAGAGCCAAGCCACCAGCAAGTACCAGCAGCGGGTCTCTGACTGCCAGCCAAGGCCATGGCGCTGCCAGACAGGAACTGACATGGAGCAGAGAGAGAGGCCTGGCAGCGGGATGGCTTCACCCTCCACACAGCTTTTGCTGTTGGCTTCTGCAGGGTCATGAGTCCTCAGCAGCCTCAGTTCCCAGAGTCACTCTTCACTATTGGGTGCCAGTTGGCTAAGTGCCATATTGGAAAAAGAGTACGGGATGTGAGCTTCTAGATGAACCAACCCATTATAATCAGACTTGGCTTAGTTTGGCCACACATTGCCAAGACAGGAGGGAGGTGTTGCTGACTCAGCACCAGGCACCCAAGGACAGGCAGGTCCAGAAGTGGCTTGAGGTAAAGGAATCTACAATGGACAACTGTAGTGTCCTAGAGATGCCTAGGGTCCAGCCATTAAGCTGTAGTCCAGTTCTCTCGGCAAAGGAAAGTTCACAGTCTATCTTCTCAGCTGCCCCTGAATCCAAGTCTCAAGGTGCAAAGTCCTGGAGGACTTGCAGACACCAGCTGCTGGCTTGTCCAGGAGATATTAAAGTTTCCTTTAAAATCATCCCAGCAGTCCAGATGACCTGCTCTTCAACCTCATCCTGAAATTGCATCCACAGCAGGGTAGACCAATCTGAGCAGCCAGCTCTGGAAGTGAAACTGAGGAGATCATAGCCAACAATCCTCCTTGGACCAGGTGGCATTCTGGGCTTTGCCTGGAGAAAGCCACATTTTTTACACAAAGACCAAAAGACCAAGGATCAGGAGGAAGAAGGCAGTGGGCATGGTAGGGTGTGGACTCTGCCTTAGCAGAGACTCTGGGGGAGATAAAACAGGGGGAGATGAGACCATGATCATCTCACAAGAGTTAAGCCTCAAAAGTCACAGGAGCTGTATGTAGAGCTACTTTGCCCACCTGTGGTTCTCCCCTGTAATGGGTAAGAACAAGAAACAGCATTCAACAGTTTGAGACACAGTTTGTCTAGTAGAATGCCAGAGGGATTGCAGTAGCAACCTGGTGACCCCGTTCATTCATGCATTCATTCAACACATTTTTATTGAGCACCTAATTTGTGCCAAGCATTATGCTGAGTGGTTGACAGGATAAAAAAATAAACTAACAGGCCTTACCCTCATGAAGCTTACATTCTAGCAGAGAAAAATGAATCAATTATACAATTCAAAACACTAATAATTGTAATAAGTGCTACCAAGGACTTTGAGAGTACATGATGGAACACAATCTTGGAGGTCCCAGAAGGCTCCTTTGGGAAAGGGACACCTAGGCTAGTCCCTAAAAGGTGAGAGTAAATTACCTAGAAAAAAGGATGGGATAGGGATGGGAAAGAACATGCCAGGAAAAAGGAGTAACTTATGCAAAGGCCTTAAGGCTGGAGAGAGCGTGACAGAATCAAGGAACCAAGGTCCCAAGTGGCTGGAGTCCAGAGATTGGTGTGCAATGGATCTCAAGAGCCTAGCTCTCAGAGAGGGCACCTCATATAGGGCCTCGTAGACTATCTAAAGGGTTTTTATCTCTAAGAGCAGCCAGAGCCATAGAAGGGCTTGGGGGAGGATGAGATGGCATAATTAGCTATGCTGACCTGAGCATTCAGCCCTCCCCTTTACCTAATGTTGCCTCCATACAAAGGAGGAGACCTGGCTTTGTGTCTGAGTTCATCATGATCTGAAAAACTCCAAACTGGATAATTCATGAGAGCTACTTTGCTTCTAGCAAGCACAGCTAGTCAACCGATTTGCAAAGACAAAATTTAGGTTTGCACGTGTGTTTCCCGAAGGGCAGGATGTCCCTGTGGGCTCCCATCTGGCTACCAATTAACTGATGTCTGCACCTTAGAGGCATAGACCTGCCCAGCTTGCAGGAAAGAGAAAATGGGGCTAACTTCCCCAGCAACACTATAAACTAAGGCTTACAAAAAGTAGAAGGCGGCTGGGCGTGGTGGCTCACACCTGTAATCCCAGCACTTTGGGAGGCTGAGGCAGGTAGATCACAAGGTCAGGAGTTCAAGACCAGCCTGGTCAAGAGGGTGAAACCCCATCTCTACTAAAAATACAAAAATTAGCCAGGCATGGTGACAGGGGCCTGCAATCCCAGCTACTCAGGAGGCTGAGGCAAGAGAATCGCTTGAACCAGGGCAGCAGAGGTTGCAGTGAGCCAAGATCATGCCACTGCACTCCAGCCTGGGCAACAGAGTGAGACTCCATCAGACAAAAAAAAAGGCAGAAGGCATGGCAGGTCACAGCAATTTTTCGTGATACCATTGAGACCAAGCTCACGGGAATCAAAAGGGCCCAGAAGTTGCTGGAGAGCAAGTCAACCTCTCCCTATCTCTGAAACTCAGGAAAACAGTCCCTTCTCTATGCACCAAGAGAGAATCTCTAATCTATCATTCCAATAGGATTCTCCTAAACTGCTTCAAGCCAGTCTGTTTTTTTATCCCAAAACAAAAGGATGCAGGGGAGGGTCTTCTGGTCTCAGCGACCTTCACAAGGGAGCCCCAGCAAATCGTTCCTCCAGCTCTGAGCCAACCGTGCACCAAGCTCAATCTCAACCTAAATATTCAAGGCACAAAAATTGATCATAGAGGTCCCCAGTAAGGGCAGAGTGGTTCTGAAAAAGACCACACTGACACACTTCTGCTGGACTTCCTCTCATGCTCATGAGAAATGGCTGCTGTACGTGGCCTCTGAGACCACCCAGGTGCCCTCCTGCTGGACACTCAAGATGGACATTCACAGTGCTCACCCCACCCTGCCACCCCAAGAGTCCTGGAAATGCATGTGCACACAGGCCTTCATCGCCCTAATGCTCACATGGCCACCAAGCGCAGGCTGGAATAGAAGGATGTGTCCTTTGACCTTTTTGTCCTCTCTTCCCAGACCGAGCCTGGGCATCAAGTGCACAGGAAGACAGTTAACCTGAATCACCACGTGGAAACACTCCTATATAGAACCTTTGTGCCTCAGGTGCAGAGGATCAGCCAGGGACAGGACAGGGTGACTCCCGAGGCCAGAAACAGGACAAGGTCCCTCCCCTGCTCAATAAGAATGGACACGAGACACCCATAGGACACACTCAGGAACTCCAAGTTCTGTCTTGGCCTCCCCCATCCCCAGCTGGCAGCCAATCCCCAAAAGCAGCTGTGGGTGGAGAGGGAGGGCAGTTTTGGATTCTATAGACTATAAAGCAGGTGCTGTGGCAGCTTTGGTCTTAGTAAGGCTGCACACCTCTCTGTTTTCCCCCACCTTAGTGAGACTCCCTGTGTCAGGACATTGGTGCATTTTCTCCCCCATGCACTGGACACAGTGCATTTCCATTTCTTTTCCAGGTGGGGACCCTGTAGCCAGTGACTCCTGACCTGGCTGCTCCTCAGCAGACACCTCAGGTTCCTCCTGCAGAAGAGACCCCTGTTGGCCACTCCTAAGCCTTCCTCAGGTGCCTAGATAGCCCCTCCACCCCGAGTCAGCAAGAAGGGCCACCGCAGTGACAGAGCTCCCCCTACTGAGAGCTCGCTGTGGTGGCGGGCCCGGGAGACCGAATGAGGCACTCTCTCCCCTAGAAATTAGATTCTGGGAACATCTTCCAACTCTCCCCCAATCCACTGCTCCCAAATAAGGGCAGCATTATCTGGAAGATCCTAAGAATCAAATCCTTTTACATCAGTGCCATATCTCCATTGTCAAAACTTGAAATAACTCCCAGGACAGGCCCTTAGCCCAGCCTGGGCCAGACTAATGGCATGTGTTCCAAGGTCCCCACTGCACCGATCTCAAAGCATCATGTGCACCAAACCATTCAGTTAAGCATTCCTACTAACTACCTCCCAGAGAGCTGGCCTACCCCTCCCCAAAGGAATTCTTAGACACCTTGCCCACCCTTACACCACAGGCAGCTGAGCCCAAGCTGACAACTTCCAAAGGACCTGTCGATATCAATGACAATAAATAATAATATAACATGCTTGGTTCTCAAAGTATATGACATTCATTTAATACACAAAAACAATGCCACCACCCTCAAAAAATAGATATCACCATCAGATGAGGAAATTAAGGCATAGAAAGATGAGAGACATGCCAGGATGAAAACTCAGCTCCTTACACATAAAGACCACTTTCTGGAGGAGCTGTGAGCTGAGGACTGTTAAGACGAAAGGACATTGGAACCAGGAAATCTCCGAGGCCTGAGCTCCTTTCAGGGCCCTGCCAGAAGAGGAGGCCGAGAAAGCCAGACCTCTCCCTCCCCAGGTGCTAAGTCACCACAGAGACCCTCCCCAGGTCACCACAGCCTTAGAACCACCACCACCAGTGGTGACAGAAGCCTCATGGAGGAGCAAAATAGGTGAAGGGAAATGAGCACAGGCTCAGAGGCTTGACCAGCCTCTCCCATCCTGCCCATCGCAAGAAACATGTTCTTCAGAGAGCTCTTAGCTAGAGAAACACTAAAGGCCCTCACAGGTTCATCTTTAGGGCATCTCCCATCCACAGCCCAAGTCGATACAATCCAGTGCCCCAGGATACTGAGAGTGACACGGATAGATGATGCTCAATTTGGGAAGCAGCAAGGGCAAGGAAAGCAAGGAAACTAGCCTGGGCTCTAGAGCTGGATGACTTACAAAATGTTGGTGTCACTATCTAAAAACAAAGGAGTCAAGAGGAACACCATGGGGTGAGAAAGGAGATGATGAGTTAACGCGAAAATGCTGGGCGTCCTGCCCCACAACTTGGCATGGAATTCACCTCAATATAATTTTTGCTGTAAGATGACAGTGCTAATTTGTTCACATTTATTACAGTTGGTTAATCCACCCAAATAATTCATTTATTTGAGGCCAATAAACTGAATGCTAACTGGCCTCAAAGTCATTCATCATCATTAAGTGGTAAGGTTATGTGGTTATTAATAAACCAAGCCTGCAGATAAAAGATTTACGGTCACTTAAGCATTTGTTTATTAATTCAATAAAATTAGGCCAGATGTAGTGGCTGACGCCTGTAATCCCAACACTTTGAGAGCCCGAGGTGGGTAGATCACCTGAGGTCAAGAGTTCGAGACCAGCCTGACCAATATGGTGAAACCCCGTCTCTACTGAAAATACAAAAATTAGCCAGGCGTGGTGGCAGGTGCCTGTAATCCCAGCTTACTCAAGAGGCTGATGCAGGAGAATCACTGCAACCTGGGAGATAGAGATTGCAGTGAGCCAGGCTGTATTAGGTACTTTAAAAGATTAATAAAAACAAGCCCGGTCCCCAAGTAGCTCAAACCTTACTAGAGAAGAGATGTGATGTCAAGGGCCATGAGAGGGGACAAACTGCCATGGCAGTTTAGAAAGCGGATGAGCAGGTCCTTCTGTACAATCATAGAGGGCTACATGAAGGAAGGCGCCATTTGGGCTGGACCTGGGAAAATGGGTAGGTGTGGAACAAACTTTTATCATGGGGCATGCATTCCAGGCAGAACGTGTGCAAAGGAGGAGGTAGGAAAAATGAAGGGTATTTTTTAGAAGCAGTAAGGATTCCTGGAAGACAGTGGCAGCATTTCTGGGTAGGGGGTTCACAGGTGTTGTTGAGGCCCTGCTGCATGCCAGGCACTCTGTACCATAGGCAGGCTCCATGCTGATCATGGAGATAAACACATACACAAAAGACACAGGAGCCCTGGCCTCATGGAGCTCATAGTCCCTCCAAGGATACAGTCGAAAAAGAAGACTGGAGAGCCCCCAGTGCTGACCATTTAAGGAGCCTGGGGACTTGGGGGTTAGCAATGGAGAGTTAATGACAGTTTTTAATGCTGCAAGGTTATGATCAGCGCCTTTTAGAAGATTTATCTGGCCCGATAGTAGAAGAAAAACTTAAGAAGAAAGACGGGAAATATTGAAATTTCAGTTAAGAAACTACTGTAGTAACCCAGATGAGAGATAATTACCAAAATCAGAGCAGTAGGTAGGAAGAAAAATAGGGTATGAATGCAAGAGATACTAACCAAGCAGACTACACTCAATCTGGGAACTAGCAAGGGCAAGAAAAGCATCGAAATGGATCTGAGGGCGGGCACAGTGGCTGACGCCTATAATCGCAGCTCTTTGGGAGGCCAAGGTGGGAAGATCGCTTGAGCTCAACAGTTTGAGACTAGCCTGGGTAACATAGTGACACCCCATCTCTACAAAAAATTTAAAAATAGCTGGGCATGGTGGCACACACCTGCAGTCCCAGCTACTCGGGAGGCTGAGGTGGGAGGATCACGTGAGCCCTGGAAGTTGAGGATTCAGTGAGCCGAGATTGCGCCACTGCACTGCAGCCTGGATGACAGAGCCAGACCTCGTCTCAAAGAAAGAAAAAAAAGGAGAAACTGACCTGGGCTCTAGTGCCTAGGTGATTTACAGAATGTTGGCATCATTATCCAAAAACCAGGGTGTCAAGAGGAGCACAGCGGGACAAGGAGGAGGGTGATGAGTTCATGTGGGGTATGCTCAGTGTCTTCCCACAATGAGAAAGTGGGTGGTCCAGCCAGAGAGAGGTGAGAATTGCCAAGAAACCATGAAAGCAGTGACAGAGGAAGGGAAGGGAAATGAAAAAAAAATGGAAAGGAGGACTGGATTGAGAGTGGTTGTATCTACACATTGTATAGATCCTCCTGGCAGAAGACTCTAGCACCCATGGTTCTCTCTCCGTGTCTCCAAAGCTCTTTGGAAAGACACTTTCTTTGGCAAAAGAAAAGGAGAACACACAATAGAGAGAATGTACTGCAGAAATATGCATGGCAAATATGGCAGGGATAGGGAAAGGGGTTTGCATTGTAGCGGTGGTGGGTGGACAAGGTGTTTCAATCTGTAGTGTTCCCTTATAGTTCTAGCACACCTTGGGCTCTCCTCTCACAGTGACTCTCCCTCCATGCTCCAGAGATCCTGACTCCTCAGTTTTCCCATTGCTACCAGAGCCCAGGCCGGCCTGAATTCCAGATGATGACCACCACTAGATGAGAAAGACCAGATCAGAAGTCACCCTCTTCACCAGCACCCAAGGCTTCTTCACCTACACTCCCCTTACCACGCCCCTGTATCACACTGCATCAGAGGCAGGCAGGCCCGGGCAGGTTTGGCACAGCCAGCTCCCAGGCCGGTGTGGGAAAGTTAATATCACCCCGGAGTTTACTCAAAGTGTATGTGCCTTAGCAGAGCATGTTTTCTGGAGCTTCCCTGGGAGCTCACCAGCGCCATCAGAACATTTCTCAGTCTTTGCAAACACAATTGATTTACAATCCCACCACTGAAGTCACAAAGACAGAATGAAAATCAACTCCCCACAAGGATATTATTTCCTTGAAGAGACCTAGAATGATCTCAGTGACAGAGTTTCTTCATAAGTGGGTAAGAAAAAGTCCCTGCCTGCCTCCATTTTCTATTGGAACATCTCTTTTCTCTCATAATGCTGTTAAATATACCCCAGCAAAGTGGAGCTACTAAATTGAAATCATTAAGAAAGGATCAGTTCTCTACCCATCTCAGCTCTAGAGACTAGAGGAAAGGTGAGATCCATTCACAATAAGATGCTCTTCTTTCTGGAAAAAGGCAGCCACATCACAGACCTCTCTGAGCTGTGAAATTGAGCAGGACCCTTTGGTAGAGGCCTAGAGAGAGGGGCCCATGGCGGTCAAGAATAATCATGGCCGCTCACCCAGCACTGCCGAACACCCAGACATGGGACCTCTGCTCACAGCTCTCAAAGGACCGCTCTGATCTCACCCAGGCAATATGTGGCCAACTCCATATAAAACAACAGAAGAATAAAAAGAGATTTTTTTTCCTAATAAATATTCTTCTGCCGCTAATCCACCCTTTATAACTGTCAGGCTTCATGGGGCTGGCAGAAAGCCCATCAGATAACAAGGCAGCTGTGACCTGAGAAACGTGAGAAGAGGAGCAGATTAATAAAGATGAAAAACATGTTTGGTAACTGTGTCTGAGGGGAGGTCTCAGGGGAGTCTTTAGAGGGATACTCTGGCAGCTCGGGGACCCCAAAACCAATGCCACCCAGAAGCTGCAGCTACCCCAAGGGGAGGGGTCAGTCAAATGTGGTCCCTGAAAGCAAGCAGCTGACTTCCCTGACTTTCTGCACAGGCATTTGCTACCTGAGCCTTCCTGGGTTGACTTCATAGAATATGACAATAGAGTGACAGAGGCGTCACATCACAAGGCACAGGCTTTTGGTTCCCCCCACCCCGAACATTAGACTGAGGACACATACAGCTCTGTGGGGAGGCAGCCCAAGGCGGTGGCATTCTCCCTTCCTGCTTGCCGACAAGCCCCCGGCAAGCAGCTGTGACAAAGCAAGGATGAAGTTATAGGGAGGAGGATTTGACTAATGGCCGTATTTTCCTCGCCAAGAGCTAGGATAAATGGTCCAAAAAGTGCATAGGTAAGTATGGAGACGTCAGGACAGAAAATTTCTGAGTTAGGCCTGTCCTGAAATATCTGGGATTTGGTAGAGTATAGAATGGAAATACTGGTCTTCTAGACTGTGAGATGACAAGGATTATCACAAAGATGGAAGGGGAAGAGGAAGAAGATGAAGGAACTGAGTTCCCTTTTAAGACCCTACACCCTTCTCTATGATGACGTCACAAAGAAAAGTCCCCCAATTCAGTCCCTCCAGATTTCTTCAAACCCCACTGTATTGTTTCTGCTGCTTTTCCTTGCATCTCTGTCCTGCAATCCTCAGCAAGCCCTGCTGACCTACAGAGTTGTGCAGAGCCTCCAGTCAGGGACCTCTTCCTTTTGCCAATGCCTGGGGACTATGGCATTGGGCCACACAGTCATCTCCCCAGGGGAGCAGACTGACAGCGGACCTGGGGAGAAAAACAATCAGGTATCAACAGGTTCTTCCTGATCCAAATTAAATTCTAGCCCAGGGGACCTGAGCCCTAGGACACAAAGCTCAATGTTAGGTCCTATCTCTGAACTTCTCTACGCAGAGTTACTCAGCCCCTGACTATCTGCTGTTTGGAGCCATTCAGGGGAAGTGGGGGTGCAGGCATTCATTCCACTCCCACTCCTGGAACAGGCTACCAGGGTCTACCAGTGTGAGAGGCAGGAATTTCTGCAAGGCTCTTCAGCTTCATGGCTGCCTCAGGTTCGTGGTAACCAGGAATACAGTGTGAGGGTCTCATTAGCTCCAGGAAAAGGAAGGCCAGTGATAGACCGCTAGCTAAATAATTAAGCGAATGTGCAATCACCCGTAATATTTACAGACCACTCACTATGTATGTTCCAAACATCGTTCTGAGCTCTCCCCATTCACGAATTTGTCCCATCCTCACAACTTACTTTTCTTAAATTGAGGTAAAAATCTATATGACTTAAAATTTGCCATTTTAGCCATTTTAAAGTGTACAAGTGAGTGACTTCCAGGATAGTTCCAATGTTGTGCAACCATCACCACTATCTAATTCCGGGACATTTCAAAATACCCAGTACCCAAGAAACAGTTACTCACAAAAACCTACTTTTGAGGGAGGCGCCCCCTACTGACAAAGCTTAACATCACGCTCTCTCGGTAGAAAGGAGACATCTTGAGAGACCAGTCAGTATTGCAGGGCAGGTCCCAAAAGATGAACTCGGAACTGAGAGGCAATAAATGGGTAACTGGCACGTTACTCAAATTTTACACATGAGGAAATGGAACAAGGGAGGTTAAGCAGCCTGCTCAAGGTCACGTAGCAACTGATGAAATCAGGCTGATTCCAAAATGAGACAGACATTTGTACCTAGAAGGTAAAGGTAAAAGCCAAGAAGAAAGATGCTTTGTATCTTCTCAGGCATAAACAGGGGTTTATAATTGGTAAACAGATAAGGTATCCCTGGACTTGTTGAGCAGATCTAAAACTAATAGGAAAAGGGACATTTCTGGAGCTTTGAATCAGATAGTTTTAGGAAATTCAGTGAAGAATACAAAAAGGTAGTAAACTCCCAAAACTCATTAGCTATAAGAGAAACGGGGCCACACAATTAGGCCAAGAAGTTCTGTAGCAACTGCTAAGCATTTGTTGAGCAAAGCACACTCCTAGACAAAATGGAGAACGTAAAGGGGCAACTCCCCCACTTCAATTCTTCTGCTGCTGATCCCACCTGCTTTCTCATATCTTCCAAGGTTATACACTTTCTTCAAGTCCTGCTGTACATCCCACCATCCTTAACACTCCAGAGGCTTTCCTGAGTCTGTGTTATTGTTGTTGGTGTTTTTTGTTTTGTTTTTCCCTTGTCTTAGTGTACTTAAATCCTATCTCTTCTGATTAGTACAGGCCTCAGTGAGCTCTTTCTGCTGAACACAGCAAGCACATCATAATAGTAAACGCTTATGGTGCATTGTCATGTGTTGTTAACCCAAAATATCGGAGATAGGTCACAGTCAATTCAGAAAGTTTATTTTGCCAAGGTTAAGAAACAACCATGATACAGCCTCAGGAAGTCCTGACGACACGTGCCCAAGGTTGCCAGGGTACAGCTTGCTTTTATACATTTTAGAGAGACATGAGACATCAATTGATATATGTAAGCTGTACATTGGTTTGGTCCAGTAAGGTGGGACAACTCAAAAGTGGAGCCTACCAGGTTAGAAGTAGATAAAAGACAAAAGGTTGCATTCTTTTGAATCCTTGACTAGCCTTCCACTGAATACACAATTTAGTTTGGCTTAGTGAATCTGCATTTTTATGTAAACACTAGGGCAGAGGAAGTAATCAGATATGCATTTGTCTCAGGCAAGCCTCAGAGGGATGACTGAATTCTGTCTGTCCTTTGTCCACAAGCAATTTCCTTGTAGGCAAATTGTAAGGAGGGTAAGTATCTTCTTACCTTTTAGCTACCTTATTTAGGAATAAAATGGGAGGTAGGTTAGCCTGACCACACGGACACCATTACCATCTTGACTTTTCCCTTGGCTTAGGGATTTGGGGGGTCCCAAGATTTATTTTCCTGTGTCAAACAATTGTTAGCATATGACTTCATTTTGTCCTCACCAAAAGAACCCAGATGAGGAAACTGAGACCCAGAAAGGTTGAATAACTTCCTCAAAGTCACACAGCCACTAAATGGCAGAATCAACATTAGAATCTTGGTTGTTTTGATGCCAAAACCTCTTAACCCCAGATTAAAGTGCCTCTCAATTGAGTTTTCACATCACAATGCAACCCTTCACATACGGAGCTAATATTGCCTCTAATTCATTTATACATACCAGCCTTTTCTTTTTACCAGATTAAAAGAAGGCAGTCACCACGTATACAAAAGCAGCTCAGCATGGTCTCACATACAGTGACTAATTTTGTTCTCTTCTATGCCCCCATAGTGCCTCAGTCAGTGACGAAAGGGTTTGATATTCAAAAGCAGAAATTAAAGGACTTATCTGAAGGCAGAACATATTTGTGTACCTTAACCCAGGCAGTAAAGGAGGGCTATATTGTTCAGTATTGTATTGAGAGGTGAATTGAAGGATGGGGGTTCAGGTCAACACATTGCTTTGTGGCTGGTCTAGAACCCCAGGCTCAGTATTAATATTAGCCTAATAAACATAATGATAACTCCCTTTTTTGGAGCCCTTGATGTGTCAGGCACTGTTCTAAGCACTGAATTTACAGTATCTCATGAATCTTCATAGCAAGCCTATGATGTAGGCACTGCCATTATTACCGCTTCATAGATCAGGGAATTGAGACTCAGAGAAGTAACTTTCCTAAAGGGGCATAGCCAGTAAATGATAGAATTGGAATTTGAACACAGAGCATTTTGATTCCAACCAAGAGGCCCCTCCAAAACCTACTTAGGGAATAATACCTCCCACCTAAGTTCAATATTCAAGCTTTTCATATTCTCAAATATTCACTGTTTAATCAACAGAAGTTAACTGATTCACATAATATACGGCCCATCCTGTGCAGAGGCTTAGCATCTAGACAAGAGGAGGGATGGAGGACAACCCCCGGGGCTGGACCACAGTGAAATGGGCTGTCCTGTGTAGGAAATGACCAGAGTGGAGGACAAGCATGGGAAGTTTAGCTAAGGGATCTAATTAGATGACCTCTACGTTTTCTTCCAGCACCCAATCAGAGATGTAAGAACTGAACTCTAGCAACTTGCAGAGCTGGGGACACATACTTGACAGCCTCCAGAATGAAAGTAGTAGATGCTGTCACGATGCTTGGTTGGGATTCCCAGTGGAGGATACAGACATGGAATCAGGGTAGAAGCCAGAGAACTAAATATCAGGAAACAAAGCTAGAGCCAAAGAGACTGTCAGGAAGGTCAGAATTACAAAAAAATAGTTAGAGCACACCAGCACATCAGTGCAAATCAGTAAGCACTTATGAGTACCTACTATTGATTCCTTTGACATTTGATTCATTCAACAAACATTTACTGAGTCTTAATGTGTGTTCCTGGAGCTAGAGAGAAAGGAGAAAGCACAGCTAGAGCCCTGCCCTCAGGTAGCTGACACTCTCAGAGAATGCTGATAGGCAGGGTATTTCGCTGTGGAGCCACGTGAAGGAGTTGGATCCTGGTCCCTGCCTCCCGGATCACTTAAACATGGGCTATGGGTACCAAACAAACACACAGCAAGCAGAATTACAATCCAACAATTAAGTAATATTTAAAGAAAATAACAGGCCAAGCACAGTGTCTCATGCCTGTAATCCCAACACTTTGGGAAGTCGAGGTGGGTAGATCACCTGAGGTCAGGAGTTCGAGACCAGCCTGGCCAGCATGGTGAAACCCCATCTCTACTAAAAATACAAAAGTTAGCTGGGCATGGTGGTGGGTGCCTGTAATCCCAGCTACTTGGGAGGCTGAGGCAGGAGAATCTGTAGAACCCAGGAGGCAGAGGTTGCAGTGAGCTGAGACCACGCTGTTGCACTCCAGCCTGGGCAACAGAGCAAAGCTCCATCTCAAAAAAATAAAGAAAGAAAATAACAGACATGAGAGAAACTAGCAGGTCAAATAAAGTTTTGTTCTGCCAGATAGAAGGGAAACAAATATGTTTGGTGGCACAGAACAGAGCTAATGAAATATTTTGAATTGCTTTACACTGTGTGAAAAAATTAAACCTTCATCTTCCTCAGAAACCAGATCTTACTATTTCTACTTCTTAAGTAATATATCTTTTTTTTTTCTTTTTTGTAGAGACAAGGTCTCAGTATGTTGCCCAGGCTGGTCTCAAACTCCTGAGCTCAAGCAATCCTTCCACCTCCACCTCCCAAAGTGCTGGTATTACAGGCATAAGCCACCATGCCTGGCCTCAAGTAATATATCTGTCTCCCCTGGAAGTAGTTGTAGAAGCCCTTGTCATCTTAACTGGGCCAAGCCAGGCAGACTCTGACTTGGAGGTAAGACAAGAAGGAGATAGTGGCCAGAATTCATTAGTAAACCAGCATCTATTGTTTGCAATGGGCGCAATATAAAATACACTAAACAGTCATAAAATGTACAACAAAGATGGAAGAGACCTTAAAGATCATCCAATCTGATTTTCTGATCTTACAAATGAAGCAACTGTGGTGTGGGGGCATGAAATAGTTTGTCCAAACCTGACAAAAACAAGCAACAGGGAAAGGATTCCCTATTTAATAAATGGTGCTGGGAAAACTGGCTAGCCATATGTAGAAAGCTGAAACTGGATCCCTTCCTTACACCTTACAAAAAAATTAACTCAAGATGGATTAAAGACTTAAATGTAAGACTTAAAACCATAAAAACCCTAGAAGAAAACCTAGGCAACACCATTCAGGACATAGGCATAGGCAAAGACTTCATGACTAAAACACCAAAAGCAATGACAACAAAAGCCAAAATAGACAAATGGGATCTAATTAAACTAAAGAGCTTCTTCACAGCAAAAGAAACTATCATTAGAGTGAACAGGCAACCTACAGAATGGGAGAAAATTTTTGCAATCTATCCATCTGACAAAAGGACTAATATCCAGAATTTACAAAGAACTTAAACAAATTTACAAGAAAAAAACAACCCCATCAAAAAGTGGGCAAAGGATATGAACAGACATGTCTCAAAAGAAGACATTTATGTAGCCAACAGGCATATGAAAAAAATGCTCATCACTGGTCATCAGAGAAATGCAAATCAAAACCACAGGGAGATACCATCCCATGCCAGTTAGAATGGTGATCATTAAAAAGTCAGGAAACAACAGATGCTGGAGAGGATGTGGAAAAATAGGAATGCTTTCACACTGTTGGTGGGAGTGTAAATTAGTTCAACCATTGTGGAAGACAATGTAGCGATTCCTCAGGGATCTAGAACTAGAAATACCATTTGACCCAGCCATCCCATTACTGGGTATATACCCAAAGGATTATAAATCATGCTACTATAAAGACACATGCACACGTATGTTTATTGTGTCACTATTCACAATAGCAAAGACTTGGAACCAACCCAAATGTCCATCAATGATAGACTGGATAAAGAAAATGTGGCACATATACACCATTGAATACTATGCAGCCATAAAAAAAGGATGAACTCATGCCCTTTGCAGGGACATGGATGAAGCTGGAAATCATCATTCTCAGCAAACTGTCACAAGGACAGAAAACCAAACATCACATGTTCTCACTCATAAGTGGGAGTTGAACAATAAGAACACATGGACACAGGGAGGGGAACATCCCACACTGGGGCCTGTTGTGGGAGGGCTCGGGGAGGGATAGCGTTGGGAGAAATACTTAATGTAAATGATGAGTTGATGGGTGCAGCAAACCAACATGGCACATGTATACCTATGTAACAAACCTGCACGTTGTGCACATGTACCCTAGAACTTAAAGTATAATAATAATTTTAAAAATAATAATAAATTTTAAAAAAAATAAAAGCCACTATACTTTAAAAAAAAAGAGTTGGTGTGATAAATAAGTGAGATAATACATATCAAGTACTCCATGTAAATATACCCATCTATGGTAAACAATAAATAGTATAATAATTGTTTAAAAAAAAAAAAAAGTTTGTCCGTAGTGAATTAGTAGCATTGGCAGACTCAAATCCAAGTTTCCTGGCAATCCCTCTTCCTATAGATAGAAAGAGGACCACCCATCCAGGAAGAAATAAGGAGGGCAGGGAATCTCAGAGGTCCTTCCCAGCCCAAGCCCTGAACAATGCCTTCATTGACACCTCTCACCTTTCACTCATCCTGCCTGACCCTTATTCCATCAGCCATCCCAGCGCTGGCTGCAGAATAAGATCTCACCTGACAAGCCTCTAAAGTTCAGACCTCACCTGGCCCTGGGACTCTCCAGCAAGACACAACTCGGAAGGGCCGGCCCAGCACTGGTGCAGGCTTCCCCAGGGCTGCCCGGTTCTGGCCAGAACTCTGAAGTGTAGCAGTACGTGCCCTGGAGGATCTAAAATCCATCTCAAGTTCTCAAAGCAAACAGAAGATGTGTTTGGTGGTTCTGTTGGCCAGAGTACACTAGCACCAGCTGGAACTGAGACAGACACCCAGCAACCCTGTCCCGTTCTCCACTGGGCCAAGGGAAGCCACAAGCCCTGCCCCACTCTCAAGGGCTCAGACCTGGATATGGAAAGCACTCGGGGGTAGTGAGAGAGAATCCAAGGTCTCTTGAGGGTAAGTGGGGACACCACCGCCACCACCGCCACGGGTGGGAAGGAGAAAGAAGGGCTGCTGTTTCCCCAGGAGGCTGCACCCTGCCCTGGGGAGGAGGCAGCTCCCCAGAGATGACACTTGAGGACTTGGCTTGGCACCACGAAAGCATACCGCTCAGGGTTTTGTTTCCCCTTTATAAATGGAGGCAGGCGAGGAAAGGAATTCTTTGGCTGAGTAACATAATACTTCTGGGTCCAGCCCACCAGGCTTGGCCCTGGGAAGAGCAAACAAGCTGCCTACCCTGTCCCAACAGGTTTGTGGACACTCGTGCCCACTGCCACTCACTGTGGATTCTGGGGAAAGGGGGAAACGTAGATCCCCAAGGGGAGCAGAGATGTTGGGGAAGATCTATAGCCCAGCCCTCAACCCCCCAGGGTGAGGCCACAGCCAGATATTTAGTGTTACCATGCAATCAAACACAACTCCACCCCACCCGCCCTAAGCCATCTCAGCTCCCACTTTCCTCACTGACCTGGGCCTCAGAGCCCAGCTGTAAGTCCAAGGTTTATGCTCACAAGCCCCACAAGCTGCACGATTTCCCAAATGCTCTTCACCCAGGCTGAGGACCTCCCCCGCAGAAGAGTTCTGCATGTCACAAAGCCAGAAGCAAATACCCAGAGCCACAAAGAAAATGTTAATAACCACCAGATATATTTTTGCAAAGTACTTTTGAAAGATATTATTTCCATTCTCATAACAACTTCCCAGGTTAGCCATTATTATCACCCCATTTTAAACATAAGGAAGCAAGGGGCTCACAGAAGTGTCTACAGAAATGGCTAAGTCAGGTCTTGAGCCCAATCCGTCTTACTCTTCATTTCACCCTCGATCAGTAGCTGCAAATCCAGCACCCTGATTATCTGAATTTGGTGATCAATAGAACTGGTGACGACCACCTCCAGCTTTGTAACTCCTGGCTTTTTAGACCTGGCAACTGGATAAATGGGGGACTTTTGGACAGGCACAGTGGCTCACGCCTGTAATCCCAGCACTCCCAGCACTTTGGGAAGCTGAGATGGGTGGATCACCTGAGGTCAGGAGTTCAAGACTAGCCTGGCAAACATGGCAAAACCCCATCTCTACTAAAAATACAAAAATTAGCTGGGCGTGGTAGTGGGCGCCTGTAATTCCAGCTACTCAGGGGGCTGAGGCAGAGAGAATCGCTTGAATCTGGGAGACGGAGATGGCAGTGAGCCGAGATCTCACCATTGCACTCCAGCCTGGGCAACGAGAGCAAAACTCCGTCTCAAAAAAAGAAAAAAAAAAAACAAAAGAAGGGCTTTCACCTAACAGGCCTGAGGGGTCCAGGCAGACATGGGTGCAGACCGTACCTGACCTTGCTGGCCCAGGGGCAGGCGGCTAGCCCAGCCCCTCCCCCGGCAGGTGCCCCTTCACCTTCCCGCGCCTGCCCCTCCAGTCCACACACCCAGGCAAGGCGCCCTCGAGCGAGCGCCGTTTGTTTTGCTGAGAGTTTCCGTTGGCTCGCGTGTGGGTGTTTGTTGTATTTCTCCGGCAGATGGCAGACAGCATGCCCTCCCCACCATCACCCCGCCCCACCATCACCCTGCCCTGGGGCTGTGTGGCAAGCAGACGCTGCAGGGCAGAACAAAAGCCTAGCAGGTGAACAGCCCTGTCTGCGGAGACTTTTATCCAACCCAAGTCGCAGACAATATCTTTATAAAATTCCTTTCAACTCCCTCATCATCTGGAACTCTTCCTGCCTGGCTCCCAACCTGCTGCAGCCCCCAGCAGCCCCCACCCTCAGAAGAACATCTGCTCCTCTGACAGGGCACAGGACACGGTGTTCCAAAGAGCAATTTTTTCTTTGGCTTCCATCCACTACACCCCCTCAGAGCCCAGAGACCCCCTGCTCCCAGAAGCTTCCTGCAAAACGGGAGGAGTGTATTGATCTGTGGAATGGAGGAGATCATTCTCCTCCTCCAGTGCTCAGAACTCCTCAGCAAAAATGACCCTCAGTTTTTACCACCCCTGAAAAACCCCAGATGAGTCCAGGGACTCCTGCCAGGAACTGGGTTGGGGGATGAGGGGGATGCTGGAAAGGGATGGAGTTTCTCAATTTCTAAAGCTATTGTTTCTCATTCCCAAATCACCATGCTCCAATCTGGGCCCAAGAGCTGTGCTCAACTTGAGGACTGGTGTGGCTCCCTCTGCAAGAAGGTTAGGCCAATGCCAGTGAACCAGCCACTGAAGGCTGGAGGGGCCGGAGAGCCTCTGAGCATCCTCACCGCCTTGCCTGAGGCTAGAGCTACAACAGCGAGTGCCTAGACCCCCACCTGTATCCCCATTGCATCCCCACCACTACCCAGCAGCTCAGGAGCAGGCTCTTCCCTCCACTCCTAGGCGACACTCTGCAGTTTCCATCCTGGGGTCTCTTACTTGCTTCTGCTACTCTGCCCAGTTTCTCGTGTTGATAGCTTAGCTACTCAGCCTTCCTGGGTTTTCTTTTCAGCCCTGGTCATATCTTTAATGATCTCTATCCTCAACATGTCTAATAGCCCAAGGACCAAGCTCATTCCACTCTCATCCTCAACCCAGATCTGCAGGACCCCAGCCAGGCCCATAGCCCCCCAAGCAGAGGGGAACTGACAGCTATGACTCTGACTATACTAGACAACATTCTACACCCACCAGGAAGTAGAGCCTTGGAGATGTCCAAGCTGACCCTGTTATTAAGGGCTGAGAAGCAGTTGTAGATGCTGCTTAAAGGAAGAGGGGAAGGGGGCTGCCAGGGCAGCCACAGAGGCATCAACAGACGGGACACAGAGGTCTCTGGTGTCACCCTGATGGCAGTTCTGCAAGTGCTGACACGGGGTCCCAGAGTCCCTAGACCTAACTTTGTGGGTTAGACATCTGACTCCAATTTGTGTGGGCCAAATTCTAGCCTGGAACTTGGGCCCCAATATGCACAATCTGTCTTCCCCACAGCCCCTGAGACACCATGTGAGCCAGGGCACACAGCCAGCCTGCACCCTGCCCTTCTCAACAGGAATTCCTTGGCTCATGCAGCCTCCACCTCTGGCCTGACTCTGTTCTTTCTCTGTGAAACCTTCCTCGACCCCTTCAGTTAGCCTCTGTCCAAAGCCAGGCACTCTCATGGGCCATTTCCCCCAGCGCTTACCAAATGTTGCCAGGTATTTTAGTTATCTGGGTAAACATCTTCTCTGTAAACTCCTCAACAACAGAGACATTTTATTCATCTCCATTCTCACCCACCACCGCCAGCACCTAGCTCTGCACCTTGCCAAGAGTAAACATTAAACATTTTCTGGATCAATAAACTCAGGATAATCCTCCCAAGTCCTTATTCTGAATGGCCACAGGAAAACCAAAACATTTCCTCATCTCCTTGGTGACCCCATACATTACCCTAAGCTTCAAAAGAGAGGATGCTAAAGAAGGCGTGATGTGGTCAGGGGGTCCCTGGATATGTGAACCTCCCCCGTCCTAACTGGACACTGTCTTAGGTTTCCATTTATACCTTCCCGGTGGCACCTCTGTCCCTGCTGTCCTATCCATCCACCAGAAATCTCTGGCCAACACATTAAACATATTTTCAAATCCCCAATTCCCTGAACTTAAGGGAAAGCAGGCTGCCCCGGCCTGGGTACTGGGTGTTACCTGACTAGCACGTGGGCTGCCCCCTGTCCCGCACACCCACCCGCTGGGCAGCTAAGCCTCTGCGGTTGGGACCCCAGGGAGGCTTCCTGGTGATTTGCATATAATCACACAATGCCAGGCACAACAAAGCCACTCAAACAGCAGAGCCTTCTCAGCTGAGTTTAAAGTTTAATCTCCTTAATACAAAAGTTTCTGCTTTGCTTTTGATGGGTTCTGGAACTCTTGCTGATGATGCTAAACAAATAGTCACCCTTTCTCCCCCTCTGGAGGCTTTGCCCAGCGCATTGTGGCAGCACAGGCCCCAGTTGTTGTGGTTTACGGGCCAGACCTGCACCTGCACTGTTTGTGTGAGCTCATCTGGATGCCCAGAAGGGCTCTTTAAAGAGAGCCCAGCACAGCCGCAGATGGAGCAGGAGAAGACACCAGCCCAAGGACTGCTACAACCCTTGGCCAGACACCAGCTCAAGGCTGCCTGTACTCTCGGTGCCCCCCACCGCCCTCTACTTCCCTTACAGAAACATTCATCCCCAAGTCCTCCTCCCAGAACCCAGCTCCCTCCTATGTGTCTCTCAGGACCTTCCTCTTCCAGATGCCGTCCAGCCCCCTCGTACTTCCCCTCCCAGACTCACACCCCCTCTCAGTTTCTGCACACTTTGCCTCATCATCTGGAGGCCATTCCTAGGTCAGTTTTCCTATTTACTTCAGCACTTCACCTATAGGAGTCATAGAGCCATCCCAAGCAAAGAGCCTCTAGAAGACCCTTTCAAAGACATGCTCAGCACTTTACGTTTTGGCTCCAGCTCCTCCGCCCGGTCATTTTGAGAATGAGCCATGATCCTCCATCTCTCATATTGATGCGGGAATTGGAAGTTGGTCATTGAACTGGTGGCCTGAATAGGGGTGCCCCAGCCATCTTGGTTATCTGTTTTTGTGTAGCAAACAATCTCAAAACTTAGCAGCCTAAGACAACGGTTGTTTTATTTTATCTCACAGTGCTGTAGTTCAGAAACCTGTTCAGGGCTCAGCTGGGTAAGTCTGCTCTGTTGGCATTGGCTGGGGTTACTCTGTGATCTGGGATCTAAGATGGTTTCATTTTCATGGCTGGTGACTTAGTGAGTATGGCTAAAAGGCTTGGCTCAGCTGGGACTGTTGAGCAAAGGGCCTGCACATGGCCTCTCCAGCCTAGCAGATCAAGGCTCCCAGAGAGAGTGTCCCAAAAGAACTCTGCAGAAGCTTCAAGCCTTCACATGACCTAGGCTCTAAAATCCCAGAATCTCACTTCTGCTACATTCTATTAGTCAAGCAGATTCAAAAGAAAAGAAATTGCAACATCTTTAATCTGTCACACCAGCTAAAGAGGTCTTTTCAGAAGCCACCAGCCCCTGTAACTAGTTCAGAGACAGAGTTTCCTGGTCCCAATGTCTAAATAACCTATCCTTGCAAATAGAACATCACAGTTACCAGCCTGCATGTACTAGGAGCTGACATCCTTTCCATTCTTTCCCCAGAGACTCAAACCAACATCCTACCCCTGGGCGGTGTCCCCATTTGACCCCGTTTGGCCTGCCTCTTACCTACCTTGGCTGTTGGCAGGAACTTTGGTTTTTCTCAGTTGCTGCCAGACCTAGATCTGCCCTTTTCAGATTTTTGTTCACAGATAGCTTTAGATGGGAGATAAGGAAGCTTGAGTCAGGTCAGTGCTGAGGCGAAGATGCTGCCCCAAGACAGGGGGAATGCCCCAGACTTGTCCCATCCAGCCCTTGCAGAATGGCACCAGCAACAAGCACCTGCTGTAGAGAAGGGTTGTCACTATGTTGCAGCTCTGAGACTCTACAGAAGTCAGAGGTGGGTCATGGAGATGAGGGGACAAGGAGAGTGAGGAGGGGATAGGTGACTATCTGCCACACCACTTAGGTACTGAGTCACATCAACATGTATGCAATACCTGGTCAGACAGGCACCCGCAGACCCATCTGGCCCAGACCAGCTGCACTTTCCCAGGCTTAGGCTGGGAGTGGCAGTCATCTGGCAGAGTCTTGGTTCCTGGAGTGAGGGCACAAGGTCACACAGGCCAGGGCCAGAGACCGCTCTCTTTTCTTTTTTTTTTTTTTCACAAATACATTTCAAATGTTATTATGAAATATGCAAGCCATACAAAAAGGAATGAAGAATACAATAATAAACACCCATGTACCCACAACCTAACTTAAGAAATAAAATATTAGCAAAGAAAATCTCATAATGTAATATCTCAGGGCTCTGGGGAGTAGGGGAGAGAACAGGGTCTGCTCATGTTCCCACAGGAAGGAAGGAGTATTGAGAAGGAAGAGAGAAGCAAACTAGAGCATCAGCAGCGGCTCCTCCGAGAGAGAGATGGCTCCTTGAGCACCAGAGTCAAGGGAGATTTTATGGGCTTGGGAACAGACCACAGAGAATACACCACCCTTCTTCTTTCAACTCTCAGCTCAGAGACTTCCCAGATCCCACAGTCTGAATTAGTCATGAGTTCCTTAGAGATGCCTTACGGATTGACTTCTCTGTCCTTGTCTGCTCTTGGGCTGTTTATAATATATCCATGCCTCTCCCACGCCTGACTATAAACTCCGTGACTGTGCCTCGCTTTTGATCTCATGAAGTTCTTGTACAGGGTAAGAACTCCTTGTTATTGACTTGAATGTGTGACTAATCCTGGGAAACCCCCATGGTTGACGGGCAGGGGACAGAAGCATTAACAGAAAGGGAAAAGCAAAGCGAGTTGGGCCGGGCATGGTGGCTCACGCCTGTAATCCCAGCACCTTGAGAGGCTGAGGCAGGCAGATCACTTGAGGTAAGGAGTTCAAGACTAGTCTGGCCAACATGGTGAAACCCCATCTCTACTAAAAATACAAAAATTAGCCAGGCATGGTGGTGCATGCCTATAATCCCAGCTACTCAGGAGGCTGAAGCATGAGAATCACTTGAACCCGGGAGGAGGAGGTTGCAGTGAGCCGAGATCGCACCAGTGTACTCCAGCCTGGGTGACAGAGCAAGACTCCATCTCAAAAAACAAAAAAAGAAAGAAAAGTGAGTTGAACATAAGAGACCAGAGCATAGCTAACACCCAGACTTTGGTTTCTAATAACATTCTCCAATAAAAAGGAACCAGAACTCCTTGGGGATATGGCCAATTCTAGGACGGGGACAGGAAATATACGAGATGAGATCAGGTGCGGTGGCTCACGTCTGTAATCCCAGCAATTTGGGAGGTCGAGGCAGGTGGATCACTTGAGGTCAGGAGTTTGAGACCAGCCTGGCCAACATGGTGAAACCCCATTTCTATAAAAATACAAAAAATTAGCCAGGCATGGTGGTGCACAGCTGTAGTCCCAGCTACTCAGGAGGTCGAGGCAAGAGAATCACTTGAGCCAGGGAGGTGGAGGTTGCAGTGAGCCAAGATCGAGTCACTGCACTCCAGCCTGCATGACAGAGTAAGATTGTTTCAAAAAAAATGTATACACACACACACACACACACACACACACACACACCAGATGAGCCTGGGGCATCTTATAGTGCCAAAAATATAAGGAAGTACTCGAAAAACAACAACAACAACAACAACAACCCACAATCATGAGGTATGTCCAAAGGACCCCGTAGCCCACTGGCAGAGCTCACAACAACCAGCACTGGATCATTTTGAAAGACAGGGAAAAAAAAAAACTCTCTATCTAAATCTAAAGTATGAAATGAATACCTATAAGTCCATATTGATATAAATAAATGTTCACGTGAATAAATAAAAATGAAGAAGCAACAAATCTCACATGCAGAAGAATCTCAAATAACTTGCATTCGATTAACTTACGTTAATTTCAAATAACTTAATTCCACCCTCGGGGAGGGATAAGGCAACTGCCCACTCCTTAAGTGTGGGCTGTACATAGTGATTTTCTTCCAATGAGCATAGTGTGGAAAGGGAAAAAGAGTAACCTCTACAGTGGAGGAAACCTGGCCAACGCTACCTCAGCCAGGTGATCAAGGTCAACACCAACAGTGATACATCATGTTGATTGCATGTACCCTTCATACAACGTGATGAAAATGGCACCTTGCCTCTGTGGTCTTCCTCTCAAAAACCCACACCTCCAGTCCAAGCGTTAGAAAAACATCAGATAAATCCTAACTGAGGAACATTCTACAAAATATCTGACCAACATTCCTCAAAACTGTCAAGGTCATCAAAAACAAGGAAAATTTGAGAAATTCTCTCAACTGAGAGTAGGCAAAGCAGACATGATGACTGGATGTCATATGTGGTCCTGGAACAGAAAAAGACAATAGGTAAAACTAAGGAAATCAGAACAAAGTATGGGTTTCAGTTAATAATAATGTATTGGTTCATTAATTATAACAAATGTACCATATTAATGTAAGCAGTTAATAAGAGAAGAAGCTGGGTGTGAGGTATATGAGAACACTGTACTATCTTTTGAAATTTTTCTGTAAATCTAAAACTGTTCTTAAAAAATAAAGTTTTTCAAAAAAATATCAGCACATTCTAGGAAAAACTTACATAACTTAAAAACAGAGGGAAAAAAAAGAGAGACAAAAGGGACTTTGGGATCATGGAAATTAAGTCGTCCCCCACCTGTCAGACCAGTGGAAAGTCAGGTAAAATCAGAACTGAAAGTGACATCCCGGGGGCACTGCCAGGGTCCTGAGAGAAGGCAGTTTGGGGATACAGTGAAAGTCAGACAGCTGGGGGCAACAGGACGAGGACCTGGGTGCAACAAGTGTAGGGCAGCAATCAGAAAGCGTGGTCTTTAGGTATGGGCATAGATGAAGCAGGAAGCCTCACTTAGAAGCCTCCAGCTCGAGGACGCTTAGCAACACAGGTGAGTATTTAAAACAGTGCAGAGTGGGGAGTAAGAAACCAGGGTGAGACAGCACAACCACCTCTGCAAGCATTTAAAACGGACATGTGCCTAAACGATGCCTGCTTTGCAGGAACTCACAGACACACATTTGGTTTAACAGAATTATTTTTTATGGGGAGATGGAAATAAGAATAAATGGAGAAAAATAAATGAACAAAATAGGAGAAGTTTCCTGCCCAAACCACACCAGCAATGACAATGTTCCATGAACTGAGTGTAATTAATTCAAACCACTACCCTGAGGGGTGTGTGTGTGTGTGTGTGTGTGTGTGTAGAGACAGTGTGTGTATGTATGTGTGACTGAGAGACAGAGAGAGAGGAGAGGAGAGGGAGGGAAGAGGAGAGAAGGGGAGGGGAAGGCAGGGGAGGGGAGGGGAGAGAAGACATAGGAGAGAAAGGAAAAGAAACAGGAGAGTCCTAAGAGGCAATGTCTCACTTATTTGTGGAATCTAAAGATCAAAACAATTGAATTCATGGACATAGAGAGTAGAAGGATGGTTACCCGATGCTGGGAAGAGTAGTGGGGGGCTGGGAGGGAAGGTGGGGATGGTTAATGGGTACCAAAACAAATAGAAAGAATGAATAAGACCTACTATTTGATAGCACAACAGGGTGACTATAGTCGATAATAACTTCATTGCACATTTTAAACTAACTTAAAGATTGTTATTGAATTGTTGGTAACTCAAAGGATATGTTTTTTGACACATGAGATGTTTTAATACATAATACCCCATAAATATATACACCTACTATGTACCTACAAAAATTTAAAAAATAAAAATTAAAAAGTAGAAGAAGAGGTAAGGGAATCAAATGAGATTTTTTTCAGAACTGGATGAAAGGCAACAGAAAAAGGAATGGTGGAAAGAGGGTGGCTGAAGACGTTAGGAAAGAAAGGCAGGAGAGCGCAGCAGTAAAAGCTGGCGTGGGGGATTCCTCTGTGAGAGGCAGGGGAGTGGTCAGGCTCTCTCCAAGGCAACGGTCAACCAAGAAAGTTTGTTTTTGAAAACCATAACCTTCTCTGTCAAACGGGACAAATAGGACATAAGCCTTAGAGGACAAAGACAATAGATATTGGTGAGGGGATAGAAGAAGCAGTGGCGAAGAAGAGAGATGGGGAGCCCAACGGCTACCCTCATGGTACCGTGCTAAGGTTAAGGTTGCCCTCGTGGTACAGTACTGTGAGGAAATTACTGATGGGTATTGGGGACTTGCCCTCATTCTGCCATCAACCAGTTATGTGACCTTGTGAAAATCCCAAACCTCTCTGAGCCTCAGTTTCCTCATCTTTAAAATGAGATGTTGGAATGAACACGCTCCCTTCCCTAATCCAGCAGTTAATGCAGTCTGGGAGTTCATGCAGGAAGGAAGACTAGTGGCATTACCTCCTTGAGGCTGGATTCACAGCAAAGCCTCCAGCATCTATACCTCCACTCCTATTGTGTATCGTGCCAACAGGGTCCGGGGATCCTCTGAGCCTTTTCAGCCTGTGTGGGCTGTCACACAGCTCAGTTCCACATCTTTCATCGTGCCCTCCTTTGTTATATACGTGGCCCTATAAGGGCAGTCCTCTGTATTCCCACAGGACTGAGCCTAGGAAAGAGGTTCATTAAGTATTTTGCCACATTCTAGGCCCAACATATCCCCAATTGCTAAAGGCTCTGAGGCAGGACATTTCAAAGCAGAGAACAATTGTTCTCTAATTAGGATCTGATTTTTAATTTAAACTTCAACCTGAAAAGCAACCTGAACTCTATTTTAGTCTTTTCCGGTTTGCCATTCCTAGAAATCCTGTCCAGTGACCTGACCTTGTGGGAATTTTCCATCTTGTCTTGTGTTGACTCAGGACAAGACACTTCCTCCCTCTGGGTCTGAGTTTCTTCATCCACAAAATAAAAGAGCTGAAGGACACAGCCCCTAGGATCCCTTCCAGCTCTACTACTCTCGCCAGTTGGAGTAATCTGAACCTACTTAGGCCCCCAGGACCTTTCACCAGCCAAGTACAACCTCCTTGTCCCACTCACCAGGTAAGAAGTTACCTTTGAGATGGATTTCACAGAAGGGAGGAGAAGTGCAGAGAGCTAATGGCCATGATTATAATAGAAACAGGATAGAGAGACCACAAGGTTACAGAACATCCCTTAAGACCTCAGAGCAGTAGGAAGCTTTCCCACCTACCTACCCAGAGCAGAAGGAAGGTTGACAACGTGAACCTACTTTCTACTACCTGGGAAATGTATGTGATTGGTATGGAGCGAACAGGCTTCAGAGCAAGAATACCTGGGCTCTACCCTGGCCTCACCTCCTATTACTGGTATGATCTTAGGCAAGTGATTTCATCTTTTTGTTTCTCCATTTCTTAACACAATAAGTGGGGTTCATTACAATGTCAATCTCACAAGGTAGTTGTGAGTACCAAAAAGCGTGGTGCATATCAAAGTTCCTCGCAAAACTTTGATACTGAAAGCATGGTCCAATGAGGTCAGCCTTCACTGAGAGCTTCTTAGAAAGGCAGAATCTTGGGCCCCACCCCAGATCACCCATACTGTTGAATCAGAATCTCTGTCTTTAAAAGATCCTCAGGTGATTGGCAGGGACAGGAACGTTTTGGAATTGTTGCAAAACATTACACAGATGCTAATCTTACTTCCTATAAAAAATAATTAAGATCATGACACCAATAAACACACACACACACACACACACACACACACATCCTCCCCTGCAACAGCATTTCCTCTTCTCCTTCCACTGGACTCCTCCACGCCCTGCTCACCACTTCCTGCAAGCTCACAGTGCCACCATCTGGACAAACAAAGGCAAAGCAGATGACTGAGATGTGCAGGGAAGGACACTCAAGGGCCTGGAACACCCAGAAGAGAAGTGGCTTTGTGGGAGGAAGTCAGCCTGTGCTGAACATTATGGTAACCACCAGCCACCTATGGCTACTGAGCACTTGAAATGGGGCTACTACAAGCTGAGATATGCTGCATATCCAAATGCACTCTGGATTTGAAAGACTTACTACAAAAAAAGAATGTAGCTCCTGGAAGCTAAGTCTTAGTCCTAATTACTGCGTGGCTGTCCCCCCACAGGTAGTCTCTGTCACAACTCACCACCTGCTCCCTGTGCCCCGGGAACTTTCCTCTCTGGAGCAGGACCCTACAACGCCTCCTTCTGCCACCTCTGCCCTTTTGAAAAGTAATTAATGACAAGGCCAGGACCTGAGCCTTTCTCTCCACCACCTGCTGAATGCTTTATCCGATACATCATGTGGTTATCCAAGGATTCACTGGCAGTTTTACAGTTTCCAGTTTTTCTGGGTATGCATATTCTTTAAGAGCACTTGACTGGTTGCCTGAATTTTCAGTCTTTCTGGACCGCAGTCTTCTTTATAAACTGGGAGAAGAGAACTAAATAATCTCCAACATCCTTTCTAAAGCTAAAACCATATGGGTCTCTGAAACCTGGCTGTACACGCACCAAAGGCAGAAGCCTCGGGTTTTATTTCCTTTGCATCTCTCCTGCAGCATTTCACACACGGAGAGTACTTAAAGGAATCTGGCTGGCTTTGCCTTGCAGAAGAAGGGAACTGAGATGTCCCTTGCCCTCACTAAGCCCAGTTATGCACACGCATGCACACACACCCCACCAGCTTCTCTAGGAAGGAAAAGGAGATAGGAGATAGAGAAGAACCGTGGAGAGCAGAGGCGGCAGATGGAGGCATTCCTCCGGAGAGGAAGGTTCCCGGAAGACAGGGAGGTAGGAAAAAGAGAGTGGAGACACTTAAGTTGTCTGGGCCAAAGCTGCTCAGAGGATCCATATCTTAGATTTCATCCTCATGAAATATTCAGTGAGTGCATCCCGGAGCTCCCATGGGTGGCAGAGGCTGCCCTTCCTGGGCATTTCTCTCTGAGTTGGGATCCTGGGTCCACTTGTCCCTGTGCCTCTCCTGTACCGCCACCCTCATCTTGTTTTCTCATAGTGTTGCTGGCACTGGGCCTCTGTGCTTTGCTGCCTTCTAACTCTCCATCTGCCTCCCCAGCGGTCTTTCTCAGCATCTGTCCACCCTCTTACTTCTATGCCTACCTCTCTCTCTGCCACTGTCACCCCACCCAAGGGTGAGGATGCTCCCCTTTGAGGGCACCCCAGTGACATGGGCTTCCATAGCTGTCTTCTGCCATGCCCTCCAGAGTGCCACATGCCTGAGCACAGAGAACCCTCAGGACTGCGGGAATGAGACGCCTCGTGCAAAAGAAGAGCGAGACCCACCAGGATGCAGAGAGGGTAGGAGCTGGGGGTATAGTTGAGGAGTGGGGAACAGAAAAACAGCTCTGGGGGAAGATGCTGGCTTTATGAGACACCTGGGCTGGGCTAGGGCTCAGAAGCCCCCTAATGGGAGAAGAGCACTGTCAGGGGTCCACTTGTGCCCCTGTGGGATCGTGGGTGACCCACCGCTCCTGGAAGCTAAGTCTTAGTCCTAATTACTGCATGGCTGTCCCCCTACAGGTAGTCTCTGTCCTAACTCACCACCTGCTCCCTGTCCCCCGGGAACTTTCCTGTCCGGAGCAGGACCCCACAATGCCTCCTTCTGCCACCTCTGCCCTCCCAGGTTCTTCAACCCCTGGCCCGGCCAGGATGCCTGTTTCCCCTGTGGCTCAGAGGCCACCCAGCCAGAGAAGGGCAAGGACACGTGTGTCTGCCGGGGGCCTGGGCGAGTGTTCCAAGTATGTCCTCTGGCAGGGGGGCCCAAGGACAGGCTGCGTTTCCAGGACTGTTTTGGTCTCAAGTCAAACTCGGCTCAGGTGTAACTTGACCAGGGTTGGCTCAGGTTTCCAAGTGACTTGGGGATAGGGTTGCCAGATAAAATACAGGGTACCCAGTTAAACTTGAATTTCAGATAAATAACAAACTTTTTTTTAGTCTTGCATGGGACATAGTTATACCCAAAAAAAAAATTGTCTAAAATTCAAATTTAACTGGGTGACCTGTGTTTTCATTTGCTAAATCTGGCTCGCCTTCTCCAAGAAAATGACAGACTTTATGTTGCTTTTTGCCACGATCACTTCCAAAACACATCCTAGCCCAAGCCCTTCCAACTTGAACGTTCTCTGCAAGCCAACAAATGTGCATGTGAATTCTTCCTTTGCTGAATGTCTCAAGTCTCTTTTTTTATTGAAATGATAGCACCAGCCAGACCCTTACCAGAACAGGCTGGTCTCCCCCTGACTCCTCCCCTGCCCTGTTTATTGCTCATTTCCCCGCCCCTGCCCTTGTCTTCTGGCCCATTTCCAAAAGGGTCACAGCCAAAAACCTGGGCATGGTTCACCACAACGAAGTATTAACCAACCAACATGAACCAGCACTCCTCCCTCCCCCTCCCCGCCCCCAGCCCAGTGACAGTCGGTACCCCTGCCTCCCGGGCCACCGAGACTTTGGAGAGCCAATGGGCTGTGTCCAGTGGGAACACAGGAGCTGCAAGGACGGAGCCACTGGAATCAGGAGGGGCTATGTTTGACCAAGGCTCAGTGGAATGACCACTGTGCCCACGAGGTAGGAGAATGCCCATCTATTATGTCCTTGGCCTTCCTGCCCCTCCACCCTCCCATTCAAATGTCCACCATTCCAGCCACTGGGCTCATTCCATTGCCCCTCTCTGGAAATATAGAGGTCAGTACTTTGCACTCTCAGGCAGTTCCTAGAAGCAGCTGGAGAGAATGAGGAAGAGCTTCCCCAGGGAGGTGTCCCCAAGAAGTTTGAGTCTTTGTGCAGGTGTGTGCCACACCAGGAGATGCCCATGGACATGACCCAAGCCCTGGGGCTCTGCCTGTGCTGGGGACAACAGTCAAGCAGAATGTGCAGCCCTCTGTGCCCAGAGAGACAGAGACACATCTTGCAGCTCAGCTGCCCTGATGGCATCCCACAGATTTCTGTCACTGAAGGCATGGGGAGTCAGGTACAGTACTCTGAGGTCCTACCTCATGCAGAGCCAGGGCCTGTGACTTCTGCCTCCAAAGAGGGAGCATGCAGGACATGCCTATGTGCAGGGTCCAGAGGCTGCTGCTGCCTGGCCCACATCACTGGCACCTCACCAACATCAGAGGCTCAGAACCAGAGCAAGGCCCCTTTGTTGATTTTATTTCATCCTACAAAACTCCTTGAATAAGAGGTCATTGTGTTCATGAAAGAAGAGGGACACTGTCCAAGAGGTCATGACTCCAGGCTGCCCCTGCCCCATGGAGTTCTTGGAACTATTCCCACCCCCACCTCCCTTGTGTCCTTTCAGGACACTCAGACACAGCTCAGGGAAGGGGCTGTGTTCGCCCTCCCTTCCTACTGGGCAAGTGTGTGACTCCGTGTCTTGAGGGAAGATCTGACACTGCCTCTTTTCGTTTCCAGGATTTTTACCTTCTGGACCAGCCTTCCCCACCACGTGCTGTGGGCCATCCCTGCAACTTGGACTTAGGGCAGAAGTCTGTCCCCCTCTATGTGGTCAAGATGGATGGTAAGAGAGCTGGACAGATGGAGGCCACAGGGAGGCCTGTGGCTCGGGACCACACACATGCAAGCCTTGTCCTTACCAGGGCGTGTGCTCTGTCCCATGACCAGAAGCTGAGGTTTGACAGGGCAACCACTCCCCTAGGGAGGGCTCCCTGAGAACTGCATGCAAATTCTGACCCCCCTCAATGTTTCAGAAAGTTGAAGCTACCACGTGCAAACCAGGCTGAACAGCTGCTGATTATATACATGCTCTTGGGAAAACTCTTACCCCGGTCCCTGCAGGGTCAGAGGGAATCCCTGCTTGTTCTAGCGCTTGGCTTCCTGGGCCTGACCTGACCAGATGGTGAGCTACTACACTCCCTAGGCCTTCCCCTCGGGGATCCCAGGTGTCCAGACCAGGATCCAGGTGGGCATCGCAGCTCACCTGTTGCCCCTCCTATCCCTCCCCTACCCTTCCCAGGTCCCAGCACAAACCCATCTGAAGAGTGGCAGCTCTCCCTCATTCTCTGAATCTTACCTAGGAAAGTCTAGGGAAGGACATCTGGACTCTTCTTGGTCACTGAGCCTCAACTCCACACATCTTGGGGATCTGCTGCCCCCAGAGCCAGGCATCCGAAACCCCACAGTCTGCCTCCAAGTCAATGATACCCTGGCCTTCCTGGTGACTCATGAGCATTACCCAGAGTATGACCTGTGAGTGTCCAGAGACCACAGCCCCATCATCATGGAGGCCCTAGAGAGGAAATGCCCCTGCATCAGCCACCACTCCCAAAGGCAACGTATTCCCTCCTTTCTCTCTCCTCAGGGGCCACTTCTATAACACACTGGAGCAATATGACTGGCGGCGCTTCCGGGCCCTGGCTGAGGAGTCCCAGCTCTATGAGCAAAGCCTCAGCCTCTTTCTGCAGCAGTTCCAAAAGCCGGGCATTTATGTCTTTCGTCTGAGCAGCAACCGACATCGGAAGATGGTTTGTCTACGATAATTTGCCTCATTTAAGACATTATCCCATTATTTCCCCTCTCTTTAAAAAATACTGCTGCAGGCCAGGTGTGGTGGCTCACACCTGTAATCCCAGCACTTTGGGAGGCCAAGGAGGGCAGATCACCTGGGTCGGAAGTTCGAGACCAGCCTGACCAACATGGAGAAACCCTGTCTCTACTAAAAATACAAAATTAGCTGGGCATGGTGGTGCATGCCTGTAATTCCAGCTACTTGGGAGGCTGAGGCAGGAGAATCGCTTGAACCCGGGAGGTGGAGATTGCAGTGAGCCGAGATCGTGCCACTGCACTCCAGCCTGGGCAACAAGAGTGAAACTCTGTCTCAAAAAAAAAATAAATACTGCCTCATAACCAGCTCAGACAGATCTGCAGGGAAGGAGATGCCCTGATGTCCCTATCAGTTTCAGGGTCCCACAATGCTAACAGATGGTCCTGGGATGCCAAAGTTCATTTCACAGCAACCCAGCATGTGCTGTGCAAGGAGGGGAAGGTTGAGAGGATGGGAACACAAGTATGTATTCAGGGACATCAATGGCATTGAGCGGCTTAGGACCTCTGGCTATCTCTCCCAATCCTCCACTTTGTCTCCCCCCGACCCCCATCTGCCAAGCCCACCTATGCATGGTTTTATCTGTGTGACCTGCACATTGCACCACCACACTGATCCAGGTGTGCTGTTAGTGCCACACACAGCATTTAGTATCTCCCTGTCAGCACAACATCCAAGAGGTTTTACTGGCTTAGTCCCAGAACATGCACACAGCTCCCTCATACAGATAGTCATCTGATTTGAGTCATCTGATGTGAACAAGTTTCCCAGGAAAACTCTGATTCTGCCTCCCAGTCCCCAGGTTTACACAGTCATCCAACTATTTGGTCGGTGTTGGCCGGCGTGGGTCCCACTCTGTCTTGTGGCCAGTCTCTGGCAGACAGTGGGACAAAGACTGAACAGACTTCTTTCCATCCATTATGTCCGGGCCCTCCCGCCAGGGGGCCAGTGCTGTGGGGAAGGGCCCTTTGCCTCCACAACTCCCAGGTATCTCATCCAGACTGGCATCGCCAGGATCCCCCAGGCCCTGAAGAGGTCTGGCTGGCCAGGACTCCTGGGGGAGATTGTGCTGCTCCTGGGGCTTTGAGTAAAGCCAGACAAGCGACATCTTAACCACTCCACAAGACCACCTCTCCAATCCCCTATAAGTGGGTCTTCCATTCCTGTTTATGATAAGCATTCTAATAGTTGCTAAGATGCAAAGGTGACAAAGGTGCAGTTTCAAGCCTCCAGGGCTTGAAACAAATACATGTCAGCAAATATAATGGAGCTAGCTAAAGCATGTCCAGGGTGCACACCAAGGCAGGAGTTGACTGTTCTCCCTGGAGAGGGTGGAGGTCAGGACAGACTTTCCGGAAGAGTTGATGCCTGAATGAGGTTTGAAACAGGAGAATTATTAATATAATGTGGTCCCTGTACTACCAGAGGGTTGGTAAGTTGAGGAGGGGGTACGCAGTGGGGAGGAGGAACAGAGATGAGAAGGGGAGTATTGTGAGCACAGCAAGCACATAGGCATGAAACAACACACATCTCCTCTGGTGACCAAACGGGGTTTCCCATGACTGGAGCTGAGGTGTGAGGACAAGGATAAGGCTGGAACTGGGAGGGAGACTAAAATGGGATGGCCTCCAGGCCCTGCTAAGAAGTTTGGACTCTAACCCCTAGGCAAGGGATAAGAACTTTCAGCAAGTGAGAAAACCTGGTCCAACTTTTATTTGTACTCTAGCAGTAGGGTGGAGGACAGAGATGGATCAGAGGGGGAAAAACGACAGAGACCTAAACAATTAGTCCAAGCAAGAGAGGATGAGGTGCTCCCTAACCACGGTGAAGTGCGACCTGTTTCCTTTCAGAGTCTTCAGGAAGGATGCTGCTCCCTCAGCTCGCCCTTCCCTTCCCACTCCCCATTATGTACTCTGTAGATGCAGTGTCACAGCCTGAGCTGGGCTCGGAAGGCTGCTCCCCACCCCACCTTCAGGAGACATCAGCAAGAATGCAACCTCGATGCCTACACTTCCCCAAGAACTGGGATAATGTCAATAAGGAGAGGCCGATCTCACCAAGACTCTGACGCCCCCAGGGTTGAGGGGGGTCCTGGTGAGTGACAGGTGGGCTAGAATCCCAGAGGCACCCCCAAATCCAACTAGCCAGCTCCTGCTTCTTTTTTCCATCTTCCAAGATTGCTCAATTCTCAATTCCTCTTCATTCATCCACTGATTTGCTCAAAAAATCTTTTCTGAGTGGTACTGTATGTCATAACACTGCCGGGCACTAGGCATAGGCAATATAGAGCAGGAAAGAGACATCTAAACACACTTTCCAAAAGAAACATAGTATAACCGTGTACAAAGCAGCCAAGTTACACAGTGACCAGTACTATCTAGAGGAGCAAGTTGCAGAAGGTATTTATTGTATGTCACACTGAAGGGTTCCCCTTCTATCCTTGCTACTCACAGCATGGTCCTCAGACAGCCACACTGGGATTTGTTTGTGCTCCTAGAACTTTAATGTAGATATGAATTTCCTGGGGATCTTCTGCTTCAGTAGGTCTTGGATGAGGCCTGAGATTCTGCATTTCTAACAAATTCCTCAGTAGCACTGATGCTCCTTACCCAAGAACTACACTTTCAGTAGCAAGACTGTGCCTGGACTGTTGAGGCTCTATAGGAAGAAGATGCATGGAAGATCTGTAGGGAAGCTCATATTTGCATTTCAGGAGGATAATCCTTCTTCCCTCCGACCCCCACAGGTGGGAGCTGGGAGGCTGAGGAGCAGGTAGATCTGGAGTGGTTTGACACAGAGGCCTTCTTTGGAGACTGCCTCAGGCAGTCTCTGTCAGTGACAGCCAAACTCAGCCACACGAAGGAAGAGGTAACTGGCAGCTCCAGGCAACACTTCTACCCAAGACTGGAGGAACATGTGGGGCTAGAAAGAGTCTCCTCTTCAGGAGAGTTGGTTATAGGACATAGAGTCCAAAGAATATGGAACATAGAGTCCTAAAGGAATCAGAATAAAGGAGAGTATATGGGAAGGGGAGATAGAGGATTTCAGATTAAAATTAGAACTGATTTCATGAAACCTAGGGCTTCGGACCAGTAATAGGGATTCTACCAAGGCCACCATTGGAGTTCCTTCTCAGATCTCCATCCCTAGTCCTCGGTAGCCCAACTAGGTGAGCAAATTTATGCCAGTAGATGGCAGGCATTAGAAGCAAAAAGAATACATTAGAAGTCCAAGTACCAAAACTGGGCCAGGGCTTCCCCAGCAGAATGTGCATGCTGAGACTGGCTGGGACGAGCCAGTGTCTGTCCTCATTCACTCTTTCCAAGTGTCTGGGTTGGGGGTTGGGGGTTGGGGGGTGGGGTTCTGGAGTCTCTCCAGCTGTTGGCAGCAGGGGGCGCTGCAATCACAACAGTGAGAGGCTGGGTGGCTCCGGGAACAGAGTTCACACACACTCAATCCACCCTCTCTCACAGCTCAAACTCCTCTACCTTAAACTTCTGGGTGAAGCCCGTTCTCTCCAGCAGCTGTGGGGAACAAGGCGCTGCCTCCCAGCCTCCGCTAACCGGCTTCTGAGGAGCGTGCAGAGGGAGCAGCAGCAGGTGGGCTTGGTTCACGCCTTCCTCTCTGGTCTCTGTGCCCAAACACAACTCCCTCCCCTCACTGAGGTCCAGGCTCCCTCCCTTAGCACCTCCCCAACCTGTTCCATCTCCCTGGCCCTAAAGCTCTTACCTACAGTTCCCACCATCTCTGGGAATTTCTCATCCCCTTTGCCGCTGCTGCCATGCCTGTCCAGAATAACTCTGGAGTTCCCAAGGTGAGTGGGGTGTCCCCGAGCTTGCTGTCCCTGGTGGCTGTAGCGCCTGCAGGTGAGCAGGCAGGGTTGTCTCTGACCCAGGCTGCTGAGGCAGCTGCCTGGGCTGCAGAAGAGAAGGCCAGCCGGAGGAGGCACCTGGCAGGCGAGTACGCAGCCAGCCTTCGTCACCAACTCAAGCTCCTTCGCCAAAACCTCCTCGGGAGGCAGGAGCAGTGGGCCTCTTTCTGCTCGACGCTGAGGGAGGTTCAGCAGCAGTTGAAAGCACAGATGGGCTCCAGGTCAGAGAAATCCTCTCCGGCTGGGCAGAACCCAGAAAAGTGTGGATCTGGCCAACCTGGATCAGACTTAGGGAGACATGAAATGGGGAGGAGAGAATGTGGCTGCAGGGGGTCCCGGAACTGGCCAAAACAAAACGTCCTTTTCCCACCCCTGATTGCTCCTGTGCCCCTGCAGGGCAGTTCCCCAGCTGGACACGGTGCTGGGCCACCTGTCCCAGGTCGTGCTGCAGGAGGGCCACCGCCTGAAGGCCTGGGGCATTCTGGGCACCGGCACTGGGGCGGAGCTACTGAGGCCAGGTGAGCTTTGCTTGGGCCTCAGCCAGGGCCCCCCAGGAAACCTGGCCCTGAATCAGGGCAACTAGCCCTGTAGAAACTCCAGTTCCACCCCCAGACACCCAGCAGGGGAGGAGAGGTAGAAGAGGGCAAAACAGAGCGGACACCCCAAGGTCGGGAGGGGCTTCCCATGCAATGCCTGCCCAAAAGAAGAAGGAGCCTCGAAAGTGGGAAGAACCAAGGAAGAAACAAAGCCATGGCAAGTCATAGCTTTATAGATCCGGAGGCACTTCCTGAAAATAAAAGCCTGGCAGATGAAGGCAAACGGCCAAGTTTGGTAAATGATGAACCTGTCTTGGGGTCTCGCAGGCCTGCTGAGTCCTGGGAATCCCGTAGCCCCCCTGTAGGCTGTTGCCACCATTTCCCGAGGCTTTTCCAGTCTCTGCCGGCCTGCGCAATGATATCACAATGGCACGTGGAATACTGCTCTGGAGTTAGCAAAGATGAGACCCCTGCCCCCTCAGGAGCACAATGTCTGTGGAGGCTGGGGAGGAGTTCTCACCAGCTCCTTCCAGTCACCAGCCAAGGGAGTCCCCGCATGTTCCCTCTCCCACCGGCCCCCAGCCCAGGGCTGAGCAGGCAATGATTGCTTTCCTGCAGCCCCAGCAGGCCCTCCTGGTGCTGATGACATCAGTGTGAACCCCGTCACCAAGTTGATGGTCCCTGGCCCCAACTCCTTGATGCTTCCAGCCAGCGGCCACGCAGGCTCCATACCCCCTGGCTACTTCATCCACCCTGACACTGGGAGGGTGCTGCCCGAGGCTGGACACCTGGGATATGATCTGCTGAGAGCTACCCTGGTGCCCACTATGGACACCAATGCCGGTGAGCCCCTGGCCCACTGACTATCCCCAACTCAGCTCTGGGCTTCAGAGATGAGGCAGGGCTTGCTGGGACTCTCAGGAATGAGCTCCCAGGGAGCACAGCACAGGACGCAGGGCTCTCTCCTTGGACAGTGGGGCTTGGTGACCAGCAGAGTAGTAAATACTTCCTTCCCCTCCTCATCTTGACATTCTTGCTGGATCCAGAAGGTGCCATGAGCTGCATGGTAAAAGGAGGCAGGTCCCAAGGCCCCTCTGTCCTGCTCTGCAGGGCTGAAGGAGGCTGGTGCATTAAAGGGTACCAACAGCTCCCTGTATCCCTGTCCAGGTGGTGTCCGAACATCAGAAGCTGCCATCCTGCCCTATGTGCCCTACCCAACCAGTCCCACCACAGGTTCCCCTCCAGCCACGCACCTGCCCATCCTGCAGCCAAGAAGGACGTCCCCGCTGGGGGCTCTCATGACAGACCCCGTCACAGGCATCAAGGTGCCCGTGCTGGCTGTGAATCTGCACCCCCAAACAAGGCAGTGGCTCACTCTTGGGAGGACATACTGCAATCCTCTCACCAAGACCTTGGCCCCTCTGGAGATGGGGGGCCCATGGAGGATCCAGTCACAGGAGGCATCTCGCCCATCCTGGGAGTCGGGTTGGATGAAAACACAGGTCTCCCGGCAGCCCTCAGCATTGTCCTCCCTCGCCCTCCTCCATGCCTGGCCTGGCCTCCCAGTCCCCTTCCTCTCAGCCCCCTACACCCTCCATGTTCTGATCTGAGCCACAAACTCCACCCACGACCCTCTTTCCACCCTTCATCCTCTCAGCCTCTTACCCCCAACCTTCCCTCTCCCCTTCCCCATCTCTACTCCAGTGCCCCTGGGGAGGGGAAGAGAAGCAAGGTACTTCTATAAAGTTAATGGACACTTTTCAACCAAAAAGGACCATTTCTCCACCTGTCACCACCATGCTCTACCCCCTGCCCCCTCCCTCTCCCCCTCCTCCTTCCCTCCCACAGCTCACTTCCACCCTTGTGCCCTAGTTCCCCTTATGCCACACCTGCCTACATCCCTGCTGGTTCCCTCTCCCACCTTGCCCCCTTGGTTTCTTTCTTCCAGCTCAGCTACTTGTACTGGGAGGGCTGCGAGATGCTTCGGGGAACCTCTTGCTGCCTGGTGACAGCTTTGTGGAGCCACTGAGCAGGAAGACAGTCCGGCTCCAGGGGGCTTCCTGACGAGAGGGCCAGACATTGCCCCATATGGGAGGGCCACAGGCCCTGCTGGACACCAATGTGCTAGTGGCCCAGAGGCAAGTGATTGCAGTGCTTCAGCCGTGCCAGGAGAGTCCAGAGTCGGGTGTACAGGAAACTCTGGAGGCTGCCATTAAGGACATGAGACAGCCACTGGCCTTGACTCTGCACCATGTCCTGCAGCAGGCTCAGAGGCTGGAGAGGCAGCTGGTGACAGCAGATGACATTGAAGCCAGTGGTGGCAGGATAGGTATGGATGAATCTGGGCCAGAGGCTCTCAGGCCCCGATATCTCGGGCCCAGAATGACCTGGTGCTTTGATGCTCCTAGGCCCATAAGCTCAGGGACAGGGCTGCAGCCCTACTGGCCATGCACATGCGTGACCAAGGGAAGAGAGAAGGAACTCCATGACTTCATACCCCGACCCCATGAGTGCTTGACTGCCTCCCTGTCTTAATTTCTTGCCAATGCCATTGAGTTATGTTATGGAGCATACATTCTCTTGTTACTTCATGGCTCATGAAACACCACCAACAGGTGCTATGATACCCATTTTAGAGTGGGAAACCTGACATTCAGAGAGTTAAATGAGTTGCCCAGCTGGGGTCCTCTAGCTGCAAAGCCTGAATCTCCTGAGTCCTCAATCCCTTCTCACCTTCATTCTGCAGCAGTCTTCCACTTCCCACGAATAAACGCAAGAAAGGAGTTCATCCCAAAACTCCACCTCCCACCGACAGCCCTGATACAAGGAAAGGCAAGGAGAAGTAGGAGTGGCATCTTCCTGGAGTTAATCTCACTCATTCTAGAAATTACCCTCTTCCCACAAATAACAACAAAACAAAAAGAACCAGGTCAGAATTGACTTGAGTTTGAAGACCTGCCCCACAATTTATTAACTCTTTGACCTTGGGCAAGTTATTAAAACTAACCCCTCCCTGCCACTGTTTTACCATCTTTTAAAAGGAAGAGTAAAATCGTGCATACTGGCCGGGCACGGTGGCTCACGCCTGTAATCCCAGCACTTTGGGAGGTCGAGGCAGGTGGATTGCTTGAGGTCAGGAGTTCGAGACCAGCTTGATCAATATGGTGAAACCCCGTCTCTACTAAAAATACAAAAAATAGCCAGACATAGTGGTGGGAGCCTGTAATCTCAGCTACTTGGGAGGCTGAGGCGGGAGAATCGCTTGAATCCAGGAGGTGGAGGTTGCAATGAGCTGAGATCACATCATTGTACTCCAGTCTGGGTGACGGTGAGATTCCGTCTCAAAAAAAAAAAAATTGTGCATACTTTATAGCTTGGGTTGTAGGACTGAGTGAAATATAACTTCTACAGAGTCCTGAGTTCAGATTCTGAGGAATGGCAGGTGCTCAAGAACACAAGCCCCCTTCTTTTAGAAGTTGTTCTCAGCTTCTCAAAAGGTCTGATGCCACTCAATTCCCACTTGCTTCTTCCAAAACAGGCCATTAGGGCATTGTCCTTTCTTCCTTTCTGAATTCAGAATGCTAAGTTGAGCCTAAAGAAAACAAATGTAGTGTTTGCAGGGAAGCCTCTCTGGTCAGGGACGTAGTACTTTGAACCTGGAAAGACTTCAGGGTGATGCTTAACCCGCAACTCCTCCTCTTCACTCCCTCTCCCCCTGGTGTTGGGAATGATGCGCTATCCTGGGACAGAGCTGTGGGCCCCAGCCCTGTATGGAATGGAGATCCCAGATCCTGAGGGCTCGGGGCTCATGGTGCCTATCCTGGGCATGGAGCATGATGAGAATTCTGGCGATGCCACACCGCTGGCAGGCTCAATGGAAGACGCTGATGGCAAAGGTAGGAGAGAACTTTGGACCTCTGAGAGCTCAGGAATGTGACTTAGCTCTGGGAGAGAAAACCCCCTAAAGCTCAGGAGGGGTACCCATGTGCCAAGGGAAGGGGTCATTCTGGTCTTCTGCTAGGGCTGCTGAGACCCAAAATTAAAGGTGCCCAAAGATTCCAAAACCCCAGGACCATAAATCATGTATGTCTCCCCTAGATTATTGGGTCCTTTCAAAGACCAGCACTTCAGAAACTCACCACCCACCCCCACGCCAGGGCTGTGGCCACCAGGAGCCCTATAATCCAGCTTAGAGCCCTTTGAAGGGCAAAAGGAGGTCAGGGGCTCTTCTGGCTTCCTTTTTGCCAGAAAAAGGACCTGCCTTCCTTCCCCATCTCTGGTTTCTAAAGCCAGTGGTGGGCTTGGCATCCCACAGGTCTAATCCCAATCTCGATTGGGGCTCAAGCCATAGACCCCTGGACTAGAAAGCCTGGTCCTGTCATTGGAGCTCAAACGGATCTCTCTGCCAGAGTGGTGGTGCCCGTTGTCCAGGTGCTGGAGGCTTTACCTCGGGGAGTGAGAGACCCTGGTCTGGTATGTAGGGGGGTTTATTGTATTCATTTATTCATTCATTCATTCACTCAGCAACTACATATTGAGAGCTGTGTTCCAGGCAACATGTTAGGCATTGAGATACAAGGACAACTAGATAGGGCTCCCAAGGAACTGGCTGGCCATGGGTCCCAAACAGTGGGTGGTTCACAAGGGTGTTAAGAAAGCTCAGGGGAGGGCATCTCAACACACACAGGAGAGCTCAAGGCTTCCCAAATGAGGTAATGCACGCAGCAGAGAGACAGCAGAGAAAGTCACTCCAGCCTCGGGGAAAGCAAATGCAAAGGCAGCAAGTATGAGAAATGTATCTTCTATCATGAAAGCCACGGGGAGCTGCTGAAGGGTTCTCAGACATGGGATATAATCAAATATAAATGCAAGACTTTAAATTTTTGAAAATATGAAACAATACAAAACATAAGTTACTCATACAATTTTAAAGTATGTCAATGAAGAAGCAAAAGCTTTCCTGCCCATTCCTCTCCCTCCACCCACAGTCAACACCCCCATGGCATCCCCATCCAGGCACTCTTTACCTCTCCCCCTGTCTCTCCCACCAAACCCAGCCACTTCACAAGTTGGCACACCTCCTCCCATTTATTTTTATGTTTATGTATGTGTAGGTACAGTCAGCGTTCTAGAAAGCTCTCCCTGGCAGCTGTGCGGAGGATGGATGGGAGTGGGGCCAGACTAGCAGAGGAAGCCCCGTCAGGAGGTTATTGCGGTAATTCAGCCATTGGCAGATCTCCACCACAATGAAAATGATTTAGGGCCCCCATACATTCTCAGTCTGGTTACGTTTCAGAAACTGTGATAAAAGGTATGTGATAAATAAAAGGTTCTTGTTAGAAGCCAAGAAATTTCAATTCTAGCCCTGACACCACTGTTTCACAGGTCAGTATGTCTTCACGATATGAGGAGGGTGAGAACAATTTCCTGCCGCCACGTGCCTGTCTCCTCTGGACTTCCCAAGAGAGGAGTGGGGGCAGGAGGCATGGGGGACTCTGGAGCAGGTGTCACCAGGAGGGAGGGAGGAACCAGGGAGCTTGAAGAAAATGTATGGTTATTTTTCTAGCTAAAACCACGTTGTTGGAAGGCAGAGGTGGGAGGATCACCTGAGGTCAGGAGGTCAAGACCAGCCTGGCCAACACGGTGAAACCCCGTCTCTACAAAAATATTAGCCGGGTGTGGTGGCAGTCACCTTTAATCCCAGCTACTTGGGGGGCTGAGTCAGGAGAATTGCTTGAACCTGGGAGGCAGAGGTTGCAGTGAGCCGAGATTGCGCCATTGCCCTCCAGCCTCAGCAACAACATGAGACTCCGTCTCAAAAATAAATAAATTAATTAATTAAATAAAACCAAGTTGATGGCCTCACCAAGTTTAGTCATAGATACCCAAGGTCAGGGAGGGCCATTACCCTGTGAAACTTTGGGGATCTACGGCTGGACCACGTGGGGCCATGAGCAGAAAAAGCCAGTAAGCCCTAAACAGGCTGGATATTGTAGCTGGACATCCTGGAGCAGGAGTTGAGAGCCCAGGAGCAGTACTGGTGCCACCAGGAACAGGAGGAGGAGCAGCTACTGGAACAGCTGGGGCACCTGAGCCAGGAGCTCCACTCCACGGCAGAAAGTGGCGCTGAGCAGCAGGTGAGGCCCAGAGGCACCACCTCACAGTCCCCACCCATCTGCCAAGATTGCACAGTTTTCTCTTTGAAAGTTTGGAGTCCTTTTCTCCCTCAACCATGGGAATGAAATCCATCTCAGAAAAGACACAGTCCCAAGATTCCCCAGCCCCAGGCCCAAGATTTCAGTCACCCCTAAGTATCTAAGCAGGACAGAGGTAGGGGAGGAAAAGCAAACAGGAGCCCCACCCAGAGCTCCTGCCTTCCCCTCCGAGGCCCATTCCTTTGTCCCTTCTGTCCTACATAGCTGAAGGCTGAAGAGGAGGCCTGCCAGGCCCTTGAGTCCCGCTGCCTGCAGGAGATGGAGAGAAGAGCCAGGGCTCTGAGCACACACAGCAGCCCAGAGCGGGGCCTGCTCTCTCAAGGTGGGAAAGCATCTCCTAGGCTCAGATCCCCACAGCAGAAATCTCCAGGGAGTGCATCACCACAGATAGCTGCCCCGTGGGGAGCCCCTCCTGCCCTCTGAATGTGCTCAGCTCTCCCAGGCTCAGCCAGGCCCTGGCTCTTACCTGCAGGTTCCCCTGACTCCGATAATCTATTGTCTTTTCTTCTCCTCCCTACCCCTGGTGGTGGTCGCTGCCATGTGGCCTTTTCTCTGCCATTTGCAGCAGAGAGGAGTGGGAACAGGAGGCACAGGTGGTGCTAGGTATGCAGAAGGTCCTGCAGTTTAGGGCAGGCAGCAGAAAAGCTTAGGCAAGCAGCTGGCCGGCTGCAGGGCCAGGAGGAGGAGATGCGGCTGCAGCAAAGCAGGAATCAGAGCCCACAGGTCTGGAACCGCCCCAGGAAGGTGACGCTCTGAGGCTGACAAGGGTCCCCACATGTGATGAGCACATCCTCCCACATCATCAGATGTGGCTCTTCAGGGCAATGTAATATTCAGGGGTAGGTGGGCTCAAGGAACCTTGGATGTGCCAGAAGGGGAGTGAGAAGAAAGAAGGCTCATCTTAACTTGGCCATTACGTTCCCTGTGTTGTAGGTGGTTCAGCGTCCCTCTGATGAGTTTCAGTGGGTGGTGAGGGAGAGACAGAACTTCCTGGCTAAGGCCCTGGGTCAGCTGCAGTACCGACGGGAGTGGAGCTGCCTCCAGCTGTTGCACACCCAGGTGCTGATCCCTGGACTGGACTTGGCTGAGGAGATCTGTATTTCCATCTTTGATAGGGGGCCTCAGAAAGAGACTCCCAAGGCAACCACGTGGGACAGGTGGGGACCAAGCATGGAACTCTGTGCTATTTCATCCTAGATGATTGCCTCAAGAACCCCTGTGTGTTTGGAGAATTACCCTGGAGACATATTCTATGGAACAGTCACCACTTCTCTCAGGGACCGGGCTGCTACCTGCCCCCTGTTGATCCCATTCCTGAAGCAGCTCACTGCAGCGCTAGTAGGAGCTCCAGGGCTGGAGGATCAGAGGCCAGAAACAGGTCAGGCTGGTCCCTATTCCAGCGTTGTCTTCTGCAGCCAATCCTGGCCATTTCAATAGGTCCTAATGCTACACTTAGAATTCCCAGCACCATAGGCGTGTGTCCCCAGTAGGTTCTTTAGGAAGAACATTAGAGGAACCAAATGCATTAGTTATTGATTGCCATGTAAGAAATGACCCTAAAATCTGATGGCTTAAAATGACATTTATTTTCTCACAGTTTCTTTGGGCCAAGGATCTGGGTGCAGCTTAGCTGGGTACCTCTGGCCCAGGGTCTCCACAAGCTACACTCAAGGTGTGGGCCAGGACTGCAGTCATCTCAAGGCTTGACTGCTGGAGGATTCACTTCCAAGCTCACTCTTATGGCTATTGGCAGACCTCAAGTCCTTGCCTGCTGTTGGCCAGAGACAACAATTCCTGCCATGGACTTCATGGGCAGCTCACAACATGGCAGCTGGCTTCTCTCAGAGGAAGGAGGCCAGAGAGTGAGAGAGGGCGAGCAAAGTGGAAGCCAACGTCTTTTTTTGAGATGGAGTCTCTCTCTGTTGCCCAGGCTGTAGTGCAGTGGTGCAATCTCCACTCACTGCAACCTCTGCCTCCCAGGTTCAAGTGATTCTCCTGCCTCAGCCTCCCGAGTAGCTGGGATTACAGGTGTGCGCCACCATGCCCAGCTAATTTTTTTGTATTTTTAGTAGAGACAGGGTTTCCCCATGTTGGCCAAGCTGGTCTTGAACTCCTGACCTCAAGTGATCAGCCCGCCTCAGCCTCCCAAAATGCTGGCATTACAGGCATGAGCCACTGTTCCCAGCCCCACAGTCTTTTTGACTCAATCTCAGAAATGACAACCCATCACTTTTGCCATGTTCTATTCATTTGGATGAACGACTAGATCCAACCCACATGCAAGGGGAGGGAATCACACAAGGGCATGGATACACATTAGGGGGTCACTGGGGCCATCTTAGAGGCTGCCTGTCACATCCAATGCTACAGCTGGCTCCTTTTGGCTTTGGCCACAACCCTAGGCCCTCACCTCAATAACTATTTTATTCCCCTCTGTTCGGATACAGATAAAGCTGACATCATCTGGACTTCACCATTCTTCTCCATCCTGAAGAAAACAGACATCTGGTCCCAAGCCCACAAGGAAGAAGCTGAATTGCAAAAATAAGTGTATCACAAACCAGGTAACCTTTTCCCTTGTAGCTCCTGTTTGGGATTCTCATGGGGGGCACTGAAGGTATGTGATGGGGTAACCCCTGGGATCTAGGAATGTTAGAATCCTGCCTTGCCAAACATCTCTTTCTCTCTACCCCCACACTAAAGTTCCCCAAGTGATTTTCCCATATAAGGAATAACAAATAGGAATCAAAGTACCCTTATAACTATAACTGAGCAAATTTCCAAAAGGGAATTTCCAAAGGCCCCCTGCCTTCCCCATCAAACATGAATCTAAATCTTGGGACTTCACCCCATACCAGCCAGCCACATGTTAGAAGGAGCTAATGTAAAGGTGTGAGGCAGGAAAGGGAAAAAATGAAAAGGGAAAAAAACAGAAGAAATGAACGAAGAGAAGACCTTGCTCCCCAAAGGGACCCCAGATCACTTTACCAATACCACTCCTTGGAATTGGAAGTCAAGAGAGCACGTGGCTTTCCTAACCTGAAGAGCCAGGTCCGTTTCAACTCACACACATCCCAAGTGGAAGAGAAGTAACAGAAAATGCATGTGTGCCTTTCAGTAGACCACAGTGCAGGGCTCCAGGTAAGCACAGCACCATGAACACCCCTGAACTTGAGCAGGGAAGTGCAAACTATGGCCCACTCCATACCTCCAACTCCAACCTGCTACCTGTTTTTGCATGGCCCACAAGCTAAGAAAGATTTTACATTTTAAAATGATTAGAGAAAAAATGACAAAAGAAGAATAAAAATTTTATGGAGTGCTTTATAATATGCCACATACTATTCTAACTCTTTAGATGTATTAACTCATTTACTTTTTACAACAACCCAGTAAACTATGTACTATTACTCATCTTATAGATGAGGGAACTGAAGCTCCTGGATAGGTCAAGAAAGTATTCAAAGATCATATTGCTAGTGAGTAGTTCAGCTGGAATTCAATCCCCAAGAGTCTTTCCCCAGACCCTGTGCTCCTCACGTGCTTCCTCAAATGAAAAGTTGTTCAACACTATGAAGGCAGTGCCAAAAGAAGATGCAGGTAACACATTTTGGTGAGTTCCCAGGAGGGCAGATCACTTGCTTTTCTGGACCAGAGAAGCAAGAGAAGGCTTTGTAGGAGAATGAGGCCATGCTTCTACCGTGAGGAAAGGGAACACTAACTTTGAACCCTAATTTTGGCTTTTGGCTAACAAAGCCTAAAATACTTACTATCTGGCCCTTTCCAGAAAAAAAAAGTTTACTGACTCCAGAGAACTTGACCAATCTCATTATTAATTCCTCCTTTCTTTGGGTGAAACTAGGAAGGGAATGGCAGAGAAATGAGCTCTCCTTTAAGGGTTCCCAGCCCCACTTCAACCTTCGTCTTGCCATTATACTGGCCTTGTAATTTTGAGAGTAATTTTATATACATTATCTTGTTTATATCTTCTAGTTCTAGAAGATAGTAGAAGGTTATTAATTACTTTTTAATAGATGAGAACTGATGCTCAAAGAAGTTCAGTGACTTTCTTGGGGTCTTATAGAACCTGGGCCAGAACACAGGTCTTCTGACTGCTACTTCAGCAGTCTTCCCTAAACTTTGCTACCAATCCATTCTTTATTGTTCTCTCAAAAACAATTAAAAAAATAGAAATTTTAAATACTCAAGGCCATTACAGACATTCCGTACAGATATTGTAGGGAAGTAAGATTCTTAAATATATTTAACATTTGCTGAATGCTTTCTATGTACTAGACACTGTTCTGAGTATATTACATTTAATGCTCCAAGCAACTCAAGGAAATAGAAGAAGAAAATCTGTTGCCATCTTCTGTGGACCCTCATTCTGTCCTAGCCCCTCTGTTCCTATTGACTGAAAATCATTTTTTCCATAAAGGTGGACAGAAGACCATGTAGCATGATGCATATATAGCACAGGAGGATGGATGGGTGGGTGGATGGATGGATGGATGGATGATAGATGGTTGCAATAAACCTTTTCCTAAATTGAGTTGTGTTGTTAACATATCATTATTGTACAGAAAAGTTAGTGAAATTATTACTGGTTTCTCCTGATCTCTGTAGACCCAAAGAGCTCTCTGCAGGATCTTCTAAAACCTCAGACACTGCAGAAGGAAGAGTTGATAACTGTGCAACCCACTGACCTTTCTGCCAGGGAGTTTGTGGTTTACCAGTATGGCCTCTCCATCCTGCACCTCCTTATCCCCCAGCTTCATGTAAGTCTTGTTTCTGGCCTCTCTATGGAGCAGTTACTCATGGAGCCTAGAAGGTCAGGGTAGCCAGGAAGAAGCCTTTGAGATGGCAGATATTCCCTAGGATTAAGCACCTGGAACAGCAAACTTTCTAGTCTCTCCTTTAAGGGGATTTATGGGAGTTATTTTACCAATCCAAAGTCTAATCTCTCGAATGATATTAATCACAGGTAGAATGAATTAGTCACTTTCTACATGCCAGAAAATATTCTAATAACTTCCATTAATTAACTCATGTAATCCTCAAAAAACCCTATGAGACAGATACTATTATTTTTCCTATTTTAAAATTGAGCAGAACAGACACAGTGGTTACATAAACTTACCCAAGATCACACAGCCAAAAAGGCAGAGCCAAGGTTAAAATCTAGGCATCATGGCTCAAATCTCTCTAGTCTAGTCAAGTTCTATTTAGAAAAGTAGTAAATTGATTGTCATATTTAGCATAAATATTAAATATGCAGTTACTCTTTCCATTTTCCTGTATACTAAGCCTACTTACCCTGTTGCAATTTAAATTAATGCCCCAATGCATTTACTTCTCATCAATTTGGCTGATGCCACGTAGCTGAGATGCATGAGAATTTTTTAGCAAAAGGATAGGTTTGGTTTTGTTTTTTATTCTTTTCAGGCTCCAGAAATCACCCTGAAGATTTCTTCTCATCTTCCTGCCATGGAAGCCCAAGGCAGTGCCTTCCAAGGTGCCTTCTTCTACCAGGTGCTGCAAATTCATTCCCAGATGTGGGTTATAAAATTCTGGGGTCCAGTATAGATAAATGAAAGCAAAAAGAACAAATTTTATAATTTTTTCCTAAAATCCTGACATATTTTATTCCCTCCTGGAAATAAGTCATTTAGCTAAGGCATAATAAATGTCACAGTGTAAGAGCTTTCTCTAATCAGTAAAATGAATATGTTCTGGCTTGTGCCCAGAGAAGCATAATAGCTTGGTGCCCTTTAATAGATCTCTGTCATTATCAAAGCCAGAGGTTCCAGGCTGGTATTTCCTATAAGAGTCATGGTTCCAGCTTCAGAAAATCCTGGACAATCAGCATCTTTCTACAGAAAAGGATCTAAATTGTTCCTGTCCTGGCAGTTCTTCAGATATGTAGATTGGAAGTGCCTTGCTGGTAACTGCCTTAAACACTGATGACAGTCTATTGCTAAACAATTCTGAGAGGAGAAACTGCTCATCGATACTGGAGGGTTAGAAAAAGGTTTATACTTGACTAGTAGGTTGTTGGGGGGTTTAATAAAACCAGAAACTACTCACATATGGTACTCTCCACACATTTCACTTGATCCTCAAAGCAACTCGATGAAATAGACGAGAATTTAATCCCATTTTATGGATGGGTAAACGAACTCAGGTTGTGGTGCAAGTGCCGTGTGCCAGGAACTCAGCCAGGTGCCTTACAGGCATGGTCTCATTTACGACTCACAACACTATGGGGTACTTTTGTTATCTTTGTTTTAGAAATTAGGAAATTGAAGCCCAGAGAGGCTAAGTAACTTCCCCAAGATCACAGAGTTAGCAAGAGTTAAAACTCGAGCCCAGGTGTGTTTGACACCAAAAACTCATAACCATGAGTCTATGCAGCTGCCACTCACAGCTGAGTCAAAGGATAGATCTCAGATTGTCTGATTCCAAACTACCTGAAGTTTTTTCATGCCAACCTACTGTCTCTTAAGAGAATGAACAAGAGAGTTACTTCAAATCAACAGGCAAGAGAGGCGATTTGAAAACTTGATTACAATAAAGGCATGGAAGATGAAGAAAGCCTTGAGAGCCCTCTAAGGCAGTGATTCTCAAACTGTGATCCTTAGACCTCCTGAACCAACCACTTGGGGAACCTGGGAAAAATGGAAGCACATAGACCCCACAGATCCAGGAATTTGGGGATGGGTCTCGAGAACAGAATCACCCCCTTGTGATTCTTATTACACAAAAGTTTGAAAACCACTGCTTAAGGAAACAGTGATTGGAGGATATTGACAAAAGAGATACACAAGTAACTCTGAATTTCTAAGTTTGTTTTCTGTAAGATGGAGGCAGTAGGAAAACTTGGGAGACAGTGGAGCAAATGACTTATTCAGAGAGTTGAACTCAAACAATTTTTCCCCGGTCATCTGAATCTTCCCTTCAGCAAATTTCCATTAGGGCCAGAGAGTATTGTTTTAGACCATGTGCCATAAACCCTGAGAAAGAAACGGGCGGTGGGAATGTTCCCAGGGGCGGACATCTCTGTGTTTGGGTGTTTTCTCCTCTCACAGTGCTGAAAACACACTGTTCATTGGGAGAGAATGTTTGGCCTCTGTGGGAAGCTTTGTTCTGCTGCTGATCCGCTGCCTGGCCCACATCACTGCTGGGGAACCCCACCAGGACTCCAGCCCTGCCTTTCTGGGGTCATTTTACAAGGTATTTATAACATGTACAGGGCATTTTGCTTCTCTTTCTCTGTGACTCAGACCCCGTTCCCCAGGAGAATAAATGCTTTAGGCTTTGCAACATTTCAAATCTACTTGAGTCCCCTTGTGGCCTTTGGTTCCTCCTGCCTGGCCAGGAAGAGGATTTTCCTAATCAGATTTCCCGTGGCAGCATATGACAAAATGCACGTACCACTGCTTCACAGAAGTGGTTTTCCTATGAGCACAGCATCTCAGCTTTCTGTGGCTGTTTAACAGTTCACACATAAACTGCACCAGAACTGCTAAAGACAATGATAACCCATGGTGAGGGCAAGTAAAGATGAGAACTCTCAAGCCCCATTTTTCTTTCAACTATTATTTTAAAGCTTTAACAGCAATTGTATAGAAGCCCTACTGATCTGTCCCCCTTGCCTTCTCTTCCCTTGACCAAGGGCCTGGAGGCCTATTTCAGGGAAGCATTCCCTATCACACTGAGAATGGCAGCAGTTTCCAGGGACAGTAAACTTGACCAAAGCATAAGTGCTATCCTGCTGGAAGAGCAGCCCATCTCTGACAGAGAAAGGGATCTTCTGTCTAAACTCATTGAAATGAAGCATGTATCTCCCTTGGAGCCAGAATCACTAGAAGAGGTAACTAACTTTATCATGTGTATCACATGGTCTTGACTAAAATGGACTTCTTCACAGAGTAAATGCCTCAGTGTATTCAGATATTTCTGACCTCAAGCCACATATGACAATATTTTTTGTTTTGTTTTTGAGACAGGATCTCGCTCCGCTGCCCAGGCTGGAGTGCAGTGATGCCATTACAGCTGACTGCAGCCTTGACCTGCTGAGCTTAAGCGATCCTCCCATCTCACCCTTCCAAACAGGTGCACACCACCATCCCGGCAAATTTTCATAATTTTTTGTAGAGACAGGGTTTTGTCAGGTTGCCCAGGCTGGTCTTGAATGCTTGGGCTCAAGCATTCCACCTGCCTCAGTGTTCCCAAAGTTCTGGGATTACAGGCATGAACCATGGCACCTGGCCTCATGACAATAAAAATCCTATTCTACAGGGCAGACAGTAGTTACATGACTGAGTCATGAGGAGTACAAATGTGGGCTAACTTCATGTCTCACTAATGTATTATCAATAATTAAGCAGAATCCCATCTGTAAAACTGTGACTCATACTAACTTTAGATGCCCAAGTGGCAGCATGTTTACCCAAACTTATGGTGTGCTGTTTTCTGTGCAAGCTTGATAATGATATTCTTAATATCTTGTTAAAGCACTTTTGCCAGGTGCAGTAGTTTACACCTGTAATCTCTGCACTTTGGGAGGCCGAGGCAGAAAGATCACTTGAGCCCAGGAGTCTGAGACCAGCCTGGGCAACACAGTGAGACCCCATCTCTACAAAAATAAAATAAAAATAAATTAGCCGGGCATGGTGGCACATACCTGTAGTCCCAGCTATTCAGGAGGCTGAGGCAGAAGGATCCATTGAGCCCAGGAGTTTGAAGCTGAGGCTGCAGTGAGCTATGATCACACCACTGCACTCTAGCCTGGGCAACAGAGTGAGATCCTATCTCAAAAAATACAATAAAACACTTTTTTGAAAGTATCTCAGCATTTTAACTATTAAAAATAAAAATCATAAAATTTAAGTCTATGATAAGAAAAATATCATCCTGCACTAAAGGTTAATTCATTCTTATGAACAAGAACATATCATGTTTCAATATTTATATCAAACTATAATTTTCAAAGCCACTTTTATATATAGTGTCACTCGATCCACCCAACAAGCCTGCAAAGTAGGTAGTGTCTATACTTTTAGCCACATTATTGAAAAAGAAGATAAGGAATTTGCCCAAAGTTATAAAGCTATTTGTAGTGGTGGATCTGAGACTAGATTCTAGATTTCCTGAATCCTGCTAAGTAATTGTCCCGTACACATATCTCCATCATTGAATCTCTATTAGTTACTAAGGCAGATTTATTTTGTGGGTTTGATAATGATGTCGGTAATCCAGACCACAGAATTCTGTTGGACCCCAATTCCCACAAATCACAGAGAACAGTCCATTTTCTGTGCTCATCCATCAGCAGCATTTGACATATCTGACCATATTCTCCTCCTTGACATATTTTTTTCATTTGGCTCCCAAGACACTGGCCTCCTCTGGTTTTCCTCCTTCTCTGATTGTTCCTTCTCAGTCTTCTTTGCTGATCCCTGCTCTTTTCTCCGGCCTCTTAATGTTGGAGGGCCAGGACTCAGTCCCGTCCCCTTCTCCAGTCTATATTTTCTGCCCTTGAAGGTCTCTTCTAGTCTTCCAGCTTTAAATCTCATCTATATGTCAATGACCCTCAAATTTCTATCTTCAACCCCAATTCTCTAACCCATACCTCCAACTGTTTATTGGCCATCTCCACCTGACTGTTTCAAACTCAACATGTCCAAAACGCAATTTTTAATTTCTTTCCAAACCTGCTCCACTCAAAACCTTCCCCCATCTCAACTGATAGAAACTGTTCTTCAGGTTTTTCAGGCCAAAGCATCCCTTGAAACTCATCTGTTACACACACCCACAACCAATCCATCAGGAAATCCTGTTGTTCTACTTTCAAAGCATATCTAGAATCCAACCACTGCTCATCAACTACAATACCACCCTTGTGAAAAGGCCACCATTGCCTCTTGCCCGGATTACTATAATCCTTACTAATGGCTTCCTCAAGTCCACCCTTGTTTCTCTTCAGCCTACTTGCAACACAGCAAAGTGATCCTTTCAAAATGGAAATTGGATCTGCTCAAAATCTGCTGTGTCTCCCCAATTTACTCAGAGCAAAAGCCAAATAATATTGTCATGAGGCCTTATATCTCACTCTCTTACCTACTACCCTTCCCCTCATTCACTCAACTCCAACCACACTTTCCTCCTCACTGTTCTTCAAGCACTAGGGACACTTCTCTCGAGGGTTCCCTGTGCCTGGAATACTCTTTCCCCTAGGGCAGTGTTTCTCACCCAGGAGGAATTTTTGTCCCCCAGGGGATATTTGGCAATACCTGGAGATGTTTTTGATTGGCATGACTCAGGAGAAGGGGTTGCCACTGACAACTAGTGGGTAGAGGCCAGGGATGCTGCTAAACAGCCTACAGTGCATGGGACAGCTCCCAGAGCAAAGAGTTACTCATCCCAAAATAGTGCCAATCCTGGTCTACCCCTGACTCCCTTACCTCCTTCTTATCTTGGTTCAAATATCACCTTCTCAATGAGGCCTTCCCTGACTATCCAATCTTAATTTGCAACTCTTTTCCCCCTACTCAGCAGCTTTCTCTTAAGTTTTCCTATATCCTTTCCTAACACACTACATAATTTACTTACACTTGTTATTACTTTCCTTCCTCAGCTGGAATGTAAGCTCCATGAGGGCAGAGAGATTTGTTTCATTTCCTGATGTAGGCCATGTGCCAGGCTCACAGTAGGCTTGAGATGTATTTACTGTGTTAATGAACAAGTAGATTTATATGGGCCCTGATGCAATATACTGAAACCACAATCTACCTGAGCTAACTATAAGACAGATAATAGCAAACATTTATTACCTTGCCATGTGCTACATGCCATGTTATGATTGAGAGTTTTACATACATCATCTCACTTAATCTTCTCATGCTCTTATAAGGTGGAAGCCACTCTTATTCCTAACTTATGGATGAGGAAACCGAGGCCTAGAAGTGAAAAAAAAAAAAACACCAAACTTGCCTAAGACATAGCAATAGTTGTGGAGCTGGAATGTTAGTCCTCTGCTAACCACCCCCTATGAAGAGATATTGCTTTAATTTAAAAGCAAAATTGTACATAGTACTCTCAGGTCCACATTCTGGCTAACAAGATCCAAGGGCACTTAAAATAAATGGTAACAAGAGTATTAACTCTGTCTTCCACATTCTCTACAGTATATTCATAAAAACAAAGATCTTCTGCTCTTCACCAGTATGGAACATTTCCTAAAAAGCATCCTCGCTGCAGAACAACAAATCCTAAGAAAACCAAGAAATCAATTTGGGAGTGAAGATAAGGTGAGATACCCTTATGATCAATAGCATTAAGATAACAATTAGCTATATGCCAACTATTATTTATTATTGTGTTTGGACCATATTTATAATTGAACATGTCCACAGAATAAAAGGTTGGAAATGAGTGATGGTATGAATAAGTGGCATCACTTCCTTTAAGAGCTTCTCCTACAACAACAGAGGGTGGATCTTATATTTCAGAAAGGATCCAAGAGAGCATAGAGCATTGGTCATCAGGGAAATTTAAAACTACATTGAGATACCACACACCAGAAAAATGAAAATAGTAAAAAAGTTGTAGTTTAAAGCATAGTTTATCCCTTTCCCTTTAGGCAGGTAACATATTAATCCTAGAGAGAAGGAACTGAGGATTAGACTTGCCCCCATTCATCAAGCTGGAGGAGAACAAAAAGTAGCTAGAACATGGGTCCACTGTCTTCTCATTCAGGGTTTCTTCCACTACACCACAAAGATACCAACTGCTGTTTTACAAAAGTTTATTTTTAATCCTAAGCATTTAAAATGTTGTATCTTTAAAAATCACACGTTTTGGTTCCAAATCATCACTAATATTTTGTAAGGTCAATGGAAAATATTAGCAAAGAGAGAACCCCAAAGTCTTCATCTTCCCCATGCACAGTAGAGACCTATCATGTCAAGATCAAGATCAGAAACTAGCAACCTAGAGAAATAACCAGGCACTGACTCCTCCTGGGCCCCAATCCACTTTATTTAAAGTTATTGCCAGTGTCTGGGATGAAAACTTTTAAACCTTTATTAAAATAACAGCTTTAAAAGTGAACAGATAATAAATTTATACCTCAACGAGTTGTCCAATGTGAATACTCCCATATAACCAGCCCCAGATCAAGAAATAGAACATCACCAGTTCTTTAGAAGCAGCTTATGCCTCCTTCTAGTCACATGTTCCAAGATAGAGTAACCACCATCCTGACTTCAAACATCATCAATAGTTTTCGCTTATTCATGAACTTCATATAAATGGAACCATAAGATATGAGTTACTTTATTGCTTATTTTGCTCCACTTTCTGAGATTCATTCACATTGTGGGAGGTAGTTGTAGTTTGTTCATTCTCTTTGCTATAAACTATCCCACTGTGTAGATACATTACTACTTACTCATTCAACTGTTGATGCATATGTGGGTATTTTCCAGTTTGGGATTATTACAAAACAGCCTTGCACACCTTCTGGTGATGATACATAACTATATTTAGCCAGGTACATACTTAGGACTAGAAATCTTGGGTCTTAGGACATGGATATGTTCAGTGTTAGTAGATACTACCAACTAGAGTTCCAAACTATTTACTGCCAACAGTGAAGGTTCTGGTTGCTTTCCATTTCTATCAGCACTTAGTATTTTACATCTTTTTTACTGTTTTCATTTTTCTGGTGTGTGGTATCTCAATGTAGTTTTAAATTTCCCAGATGACCAATGAAACTGAGTGTTTTTCATGTTGATATACCATTTAGATACCTTCTCTTGTAAAGTGCCTAATCCAGTCTTTTGCCCATTTTCCATTAGATTGTGCCTATTTTTTTTCTTGCTGATTTGTAGGAATTATTTATTCTGCAACTATTTCCCCCATTTTGTGGACTGTCTTTATAAAACAACTATATAATGTTTATTTTTTCCATTTTATTTTTAGATCTAGAAAGAAAATGGTAATCTCATTTCAGTCTGCATTATTAAAAGGTCTTAAATACATCACTACAACATCTGATGAAGCTGATAAGAATTATTGGAAAATCTATAATATTCATGGTAAAACACATAAATGTGTATCATAGTTTTAAGTGTATATATAATAGGGGCTAATATTTGCCACAGAGGTTGAGGACCCCTGCTCACTGTGACTAAAATTTTCAGTGTGACTAAAAGATCATTAGATCACGTATCTTATTAAAATATGTATTAAAGATATTGACTAAAACTTTCTGGGAATGTAAAACTTGTATATGTCATTATTCAATCAGGCTAAGGTTGTCTATTACTGAATCACAAAGTAGATGGATATATATATATAATATTTGGTGATCTAGAATGTGTACTTAAAATATAGGCCATGTCACACAAAATTCACTTTGGAGGCCCTGGTTGAAACACCACAAAGAGATAAGCAGTCATCTGAAAGTGAAGTTTTGGAGTGCTGATCAGGAGATACAACACCATCACATGAATTTAGGTTAAAAAAAATCCAGATACAAACTTCAACTCAAAAGCTGCTCAGATTACAAAGCCAATGCTTGAAATTCAAACTGCTTCTCACATGGATAATTCTGTATCATGCCCTGTATTTATCTGTTCTCATGCTGCTAATAAAGACATGCTTCAGACTGGGTAATTTATAAAGGAAAGAGGTTTAATTGACTCACAGTCCCACATGGCTGGGGAGACCTCACAACCATGGCTGAAGGCAAATGAGGAGCAAAGTCACATCTTACATGGCAGCAGGCAAGAGAGCTTGTGCAGCGGAACTCCCATTTATAAAACCATCAGATCTTGTGAGACTTATTCACCACCACAAGAACAGTATGGGGGAAACCACCCCCCATGATTCAATCACCTCCACTCGACCCCAAGGAAGGATCTCTTAACACATAGGGATTACTACAATTCAAGGTGAGATTTGGGTGGGGACACAGCCAAACCATATCATGCACCAAGAGAAGTACCAGAATAGATACACACACACACACACACACACACAATAAAATATTTGTTAACAAGTCTCCTAAGCAATGCAAGGAAGATAGACGATAGACTACTAAAGAATTAAAGCTTTCTTTTTAAAAATATTATTTGGGTAGATAATGAAAGATGACTAATTTATGAATTCAGTGTCCATCTGGTATTCAACATTTTTAGCTCTGTAGGTCTTTTGTCATAATTAAGAGACATCCATACATGGCTGAGGATTTAGCTGTCAATCCAACTGATGAAAATACTAATGGTAGATTACTTTCAAGAAAATAAAATAAAAACAGTGAAATAACATGAAAAGAAGATTTACAATTAAGTTAAACAAGGATTTTTAAATCAAGCTATCAGGAACTTCTGCTCAGAATCAAGTCACTACATCTAACTCCTCTATTTTGAGTTTTTTGTTGTTAGAATTGGCTACTTAGTCATCTTAATTCAGCTCACATAGTTAGATTAGTCATCAGGTAAGTACCAAATTAGACAGCCTTAAAAATACCTCATTAGTTACCATTTTGATTGAAATCGTGCTTTCATGGCACAGATACTAATAAAATGGTAAAATAGTCATTGCCCATAAGACGGGCTATGAGGGAGCTGTCCTCCCATTTATTCCATTAACAGGGAATTCTTAAACAGAGCACGCCCTCAAACCAATGCATAACTTTATAAGATTAAAGACTCTCTAGTATTTTAAGAAGAAGGCAAGTCTTAGTTTGATTTAATATTGGGTATGTGTCTTCAAGAACTTTATTTAGCTACCCACATAAATTATGAAATGTATTTCCCAGAAAGCAGAGTGAAGATTAATTAAGCCAGACACACAAGACTATTTAGGATAGTTAAGCCACGAGTCCAGGGCCCCTGGGAGAGGTGGCAAAGAAAAAGTAGTACAGAACTTAAAGACCTTTTTTCTATATTCCTCATTCTTGGCTGATCAAGGCATCTACCAGGACATGATCCTATTAATTTCCTGGCTGACTTCTTGGGCTCTGTGTCTTATTTCCATTAATACACTAACAGCTGCAGGCTTTTAGTAAGCACATGCTTTTTAATGGAAATGCCACAGATTACAAGACAGGGATCATGTTCTCCTTACTGCTGCATTATGCGTTTTTATTGCTGAATCAAATCAATAGCAAGTTCTTTTTTAAAATCGACATTCTAGTTATCTGTAAGGAACAAGCTTGTGTACACACACACACAGCCCACTGACTAGAAAACAGATAAGAAAACCTCAATAAATGTAGAAGCCATATTTACCAACTATTATCAAAAAAGACCCTTTTCCAAAAATATATTCAATTGTCTTAAGATTTATTATTTCAAAAGTGATACATAGAATTCTATCTTTGAGGAAGATGGGATAGGTGTTTTTTCTGTACTCCTCCCACTAAGAACAACTAAAATCCCTGGGCAATACACATAAAAGAAAGAAGATAAGACTCTGAAAGGTGTAGAGAAGAAGGCAGACTGGCTAGGGAACCTCAGATTCCAAGGGAAGATATGGAGGTGAGTTCTAAAGATTTTCTTTCCCCATCGTATATTCCAGACTTGGAAATAAAGAAGCCAGCAACCCATAAATACCAATGGTAACCAACCAAAAGAGACCACAAAAGCCTGCTCTTTAGCGAAAGGACCAGGAAAGGGACAGCGCAGCAAAAAAGAAAACTTTAACAATAAATCCTATAAACTAACAAAACAACAAGAAAAAACTGGCCCTACCCACACCAGCATAAGTTGAATGGGGAGTCTAGAGCTCCATCTTTGCCAGTATGGATCAAGTCATCCCAGCCTCCTGCTAGGTTGGTATCAGAGACGACCGAGCAGAGAACTGGGAATTTTCATCCCCACAGGGTAGTTCAAACCCTCCTCCACCTCATGGTATCAGTAGAAACCACATAGAAAGTCTAGACATCCCCACACCTGGCAGTAATAACCTCTCCCCTCCCTGCAGCTGCCATCACCACCACCACCTCCCTGCTGTAGTGGAATCAGAGGAGGACAAGTAGAGAGTTAGGGCTTATGCCATTGTCCAGTGATAATGAGGCCACCCTGGCCTCAGTGTTAGTGGAAGCCACATAAGGAGCTAGAACTCCTATACCTGCCCAGCAGTAATGAGAGACCCTTTCTTGGGTATTAATGGAGGCCAAGAGGGAAACCCGGACTTTTACTTCCACTAGGAAGTAGCAAAGCAGCACTCCCTTCTCTCCCCCACTGGAATAGGGTCAAAGGAAACCAGTTGAAACAAAGTTTAAATAAAATCCCAAGTCTCATGGTATCAAAAGCATCCAGGTTTGGCAAAAATCATTCATCACACTAAAAACCAGAAAGATAAACAAAGAGTGAGGAGAAAACCTAATCAACAGATTACAACACCAAGATGACAAAGATGTTAGAATTATGACAAAGATTTTAAAGGAGCATCAGAAAAGTGCTTCAACAAGCGATTATGAACATGCTTGAAACAAATGAGATAAGTCTCAGCAACGAATGGTAAAGTCACAGCAAAAAAATCGAAGACAGAACTAAATGAACGTTTTAGAAATGAAAAATGTAAAAACTAAAATATAAAGCTTCGTGAATAGGCTCAACAGTAAAACGGAAGAGATAGAGGAAAAATCATCAATGTTTTTAGATAGAACAATCAAAAATTATTTAATCTGAATGAAAGAGAAAAAAAGACTGAGGAAATGAATGCATAGAGCACCAGGGGCATATGGTACTATAGCAAAAGATGGAGCATTCAAGTAATCAAAGACTCAGAAAGAGAAAAGAAAGGGGTAGGCTGAAAAAAAATACTCAGAGAATAGCTGAAAACTTTCCAAATTTGGAAAGAGATATAACCCCACAGATTTAAAAAGCTGAATGAATCCCAAACAGGAAAACCCAAAGAACTCCACACCACCACATCATAATTAAATTTCTGAAAACAAAAAGCAAAGAAAAAATCTTGAAAGCAGCCAGAGAAAAATGACACCCTACCACTAGAGGAAAAACAACTGGAATGACAGCAACCTTCTCATCAGAAACCAGGAAGCCAGGAAGAAGTGGCACAATATTTTTCTAATGCTGAATGAAAAGAGCTGTCAACCCAAAATTCTATACAAAGGGAAATATTCTTTAAGAATGAGAAGGAGAAACAATACATTCTCAGATGAATCAAAGCTAAGAATAAGCCGGGTGCAGTGACTCATGCCTGTAATCCCAACACTTCTGGAGGCCAAGGTGGGAGGATCATTTGAGCCTAGGAGTATAAGACGAGCCTGGACAACAGAGTGAGACCCTGTTCTCTATTTTTAAAAAAGAGCTAAGAATATATCAAGCATAACTCACCTAAAAGAATGGCTAAATGAAGTTCTCTAAATAGAAGGGAAACAAAAGAAAGAACTTGTAACATCAGGAAGGAAGAACACAGGAAGTGAAATTATGGATAAATATGATAGACTTTCCTTCTCTTGAGTTTCTAAATTATGTTTAACAGTTGAAGTGAAAACTATAACATGGTCTATTATAGCTCTAAATATATGTAGAGGAAATATTTAATGCAAGTATATTATAAATGGGGGAAGATAACAAGACAAAGGGAAGTAAGGTTTTTATATTTTACTTGAACTTATAAAATAACACTGGTAGACTGTGGCAAGTTACATACATATAATGCAATACCTAGAGCAACCACTAAAAAAGCTATACAAAGAAATATGCTCAAAAACACTAAAGATATGCCAAAATGAAATTCTAAAAAGTGTTCAAGTAACCCACAAGAAGGTAAGGAACAGAAAATTGAGAAATGAAAAAGAACAGAAAACAAAAACTAAGTGGTAAACTCGAGGCCTAACATATTTATAATTGCAATAAATGCAAATAGTCTAGAAACACCAGTTAAGAGACAGAAATTGGTAGAGTGAACTAAAAATAAGACACAATATGCCATCTACAAGAAACTCACCTCGAATATAATAAAATAAGCATATTGAAAATAAAAAGATCAAAAATAGATACTATGCAAACATTAATCAAAAGAAAGCAGGAATGGCTATATTAATATCAGATAAAGCCGACATCACAGCAAAGTAGATTACCAGAAACAGGAACATTACATAATGATGAAAGGGTCAATCTACCAAGAATACATAGCAGTCCTAAATGCTTATATACACAACAGAACTGCAACACATGTGAAACACAGAGAAACGGACAAATCACAATTATAGTTGGAGACTTCAATACCTCCTCTCAGCAATTTATAGAACTAGACAGAAAATCAGCAAGGATATAAAAGAACTCGACACCATCAATCAACATTATCTAATTAACATTTATGGGACATTCCCCCCAACAACAACAGGATGTACATTCTTTTCAAGTGCCCACAGGATATGCATCAAAAATCATATCCTGGGGCATAAACAAACCTCAACAAATTTTTTTAAATTGAAAACATGCAGAGTGTATTGTCCAACCAGAACAGAACCAAATTAGAAATAAATAACAAAAACCGGTAAATCTCCAAACACTTAGAAACTAAACAAAATACTTCTAAATAATCCAATGGTTAAAGAAGTCTTAGGGAAATAAAAGATACATTGAAATGAATATCAAAGAAAATACAACATATCAAAATTTACAACACACAGCTAAAGCAGTGCTGAGAGGCAAATTTATAATACTAAGTATATACATTAGAAAAGAGGGAAAGTGTCAATTCAATAATCTTAGCTTCTACCCCAAAAATCTAGAAAAAGAGTAAAATAAACCCAAAGCAAGCAGAAGAAAGGAAGTAATAGCAAAAATAAATGAAACTAAACACAAAACAATAGAAAAAAACACAGTAAAGCAAAGAGCTATTTCTTTGGAAAGGTCAATAAAATTGACAACCCTCTAGAATTAAACCCTCTGACAATTAAAAAGAAAGTGAAGACACAAATTACCAATATCAAGAATGAATGTAGGGATACCACTGCAGACCTGCAGACACCAAAAGGATAATAAGGAAACACTATAAACAACTCCACATGCATAAATTTCAGAGATAAAATAGGCTAATTTGTTAAGAAACACAAAGTATTACAACTCACCCAATATGACACATATTATTTAAATAATCCTAAAACTATTAAGGAAATTGAATTTATAATTTTTTGATTTCCAAGGAAGAAGTCTCCAGGCCCAGATAGCTTCATAATATAATTCTACCAAACATTTAAAAATAGGATTAACATCAACTCTATGCAATTTCTTCTATAAAATAGAAGAGCATTACATTCTGATCTACTTTATGAAGTGTTTACAGTATGTATATAATAAATTACATATTGTACTATATATTTATAGTATTACTCTGATAACAAAACCAAAGATAGTACAAAAAATTAGAACTGTAGACCAATATATTTCATGAATATAAATGTAAAAACCCTTGAAATATTAGCAAATAAATTTCAGCAATATATAAAATGAATTATATGCCATGATCAAGTTGGGTTTATTTCATGGATGCAAAGCTGGTTCAGTATATTTTTTAAAAAAATCATAGTAATCCACATGTCAATAGGCTAAAGAAGAAAAATTATATGATTATATAAATGGATGCAGAAAAAGCATTTCACAAAATCCAACATCCATTTATGATTAAAACCCTCAAAAAATGGGACTAGAAGGGAACTTCCTCAATTTGATTTTTTTAAAAGGTAGTATCTACAAAATTGATGAGTATCTACTTAATGGTGAAGGATTGCTTTCTCCCAAAAAAAGGAACAAGTCAAGGATATCTGTTCTTAGCACTCCTATTCAACATAGAGCCAAAAGTTACACCCATGAAAAGCACAAAAAAAAGAAATAAAATGCATCCATATTGGGAAAGAAATAAATAAAACTATCCCTATGCAGATGACATGATTGTCAATACAGAAAATCCCAAGCAATCTACACAGAGATAAAAAAAATTCCTGGAATAACTAAGTTCAGCAACATCTAGAAAGGACAAAAGGAAAACACACAAAAATCACCTGTATTTCTATATATTACCAATGAACATATGGATACTGAAACTAAAAATATAACACCATTTATAATTGATCAAAAAATGAAATTCTTAGATATAAATCTAAAAATCATGTACAAGAGTTGTATAACACACACACACGAAGAAATTGATCTAAATAAATGGAGAAACATATTGTGTTCATAAATTGAAATACTCAACATAGTAGAGACATCCTTTCTCTCCAGATTGATATATAGGGTGAATACAATTCCTTTCAAAATCTCAGCAAGATTTTTCATAGATATAGACAAGATCATTCCAAAATGTACATGGAAAGGGAAAGAAACTGGAATAGCTAAAGTAATTTTTAGAAAGAATAAAGTGGGAAGAATCTATCCAGTTTCAAGATTTACACAGCTACAGTAATCAAAACTGTGTGGTGTTGGCAGAAGAATAAACACACAGGCCAAGAACACAGAACACAGAAATACACCCACAGTGATATACTCAACTGAATTTTCACAAAGATGCAAGAACAATTTGATGGAGGAAAGATAGTCTTTTCATTTTAACAAATGGTGCTGGAGTAAGTGGATATTCATAGAGGAGAAAAAAGCACTTTAATCTAAGTCTGGTATCTCATACAAAAAATTAACTCAAAATAGATGGCAAACTAAATGTAAAACATAAAACTTTAGAAAAAAAAAAACTTCAGGATCTAGAGCTAGGCAAAAAGCTCTAAAACTTGACACCAAATCATGATCTATAAGAGAAAAATGAATGAATTCGACTTCATCAAAATTAAAAGATTTTGATCTGTGAAAGACGTCATTAAGAGGATAAAACACAACGTAGAAGTCTGAGCAAGATGGCCTAATAGAACCCTCTAGCAAGCATCCCCCTACAGGAACACCAAATTGAACAACTACCCATGCAAGAAAGCACCTTCGCAAGAACCAAAATAACCCAGCCCACCAAGGCAGTTCCTCAAGGAGCCAGCAGAAATTGCAGCATTCCTGTGCTTAGGGTACACCCCAGTGCTGATACACCTGCAGTGACCACAAGCTTAGATCACAACACTCAATCCCCTTTTAATATGTGGAAAGCCTTCTCAAGAAGGGCAGGTACAAATAAATCCAGATTACAAAGATTGGAATACTTAATTCTTCAATGCCCAAACATTGATGAGTGGCCACAAGCATCAACAACATCCAAGAAAACATGACTTCACTAAATAAACTAAATTAGACACCAGTGACCAATCCCACAGTGATGAAGATATCATCTTTCAAACAGGGAATCAGAATCACCACCTTGAGGAAGCTCAGCAACATAGATAAAAAGATAACAGAGAAGGAATTGAGAATTCTTTCAGAAAATTCAACAAAAAGATTGAAATAATTTGTTTTAAATCAAGCAAAAATTCTGGAGCTAAAAAATTCAACTGATAAACTGAAAAATGCATCAGAATCAACAGCAAATTGACCAAGCTGAAGAAAGAATCAGTGAGTTTGAGTCAGGCTACATGAAAACAGACAGTCAGAGAAGAGAAAAGAATAAAAAAGAAGCACACCTACAAGATCTAGAAAATAGCCTCAAAACAGCAAATCTAAGAGTTATTACCCTTAAAGAGGACAGACAAAGAGAGACAGAGAGAAATATCAGGGTAGAAAGTTCATTCAAAGAAATGACAGAAATTTCCAAGCCTGGAGACATGAATATCCAAGTACAAGAAGGTCATAGGACACCAAAAAGATTCAACCTAAATAAGACTATCTCAAGGTATACAATAATGAAACCCTTAAAGAACAAGGATAAAGAATCCTAAAAGTAGTAAGAGAAAATAAGCAAATAACATAGAAAGGATCTCTGGTATATCTGGCAGCAGACATCTTCATGGAAATCTCACAGGCCAAGAGAGTGGAATGACATTCAAAGTGCCAAAGAAAAAAGAAAGTCTAACCTAGAATATCATATCTAGCAGAATTATTCTTCAAACATGAAGGAGAAATACTTTCATAGAAAAACAAAAGCTGAGGGATTTCACCAACACCAGACCCACCTTACAAGAAATCTAAAGAAAGCTATTCAATCTGAAAAAAAGGGATGTTAATGAAAAAGAAGTAATTTGAAGATATAAAAATTACTCGTAAAAGTACACAGAAAAATAAATACACTAACACTGTAGTTGCTCTAACAGTATAGTTGCACTAACAGTGTCATATAAACCACTTGTATCTTTCATAGGAAGACTAAAAGACAAATCTATCAAAAATAATTACAACTACATTTTAATAGATACACAGTATAAAAAGATAAATAAAGAGATCAAAAAGTGAAAGCAGGGGGTAGGGAGGAGATGGAGTTCAAGTGTAGTGTTTTAATTTTATCTTTGCTTTGCTTTTCTTTGTAATCACAGTTGTCACCATTGTCACCATTTTTAAATTGGTTAATAAATGCTATTTGCAAGCTTCACGGTAATGGCAAAGCAAAAACCTGTAAGAGATACACACACAAAAAAAAAGGAAATTAAGACATACTGTCAGAGGGAATCACTTTTACACAAAGAAAGACAGGAAGGAAAGAGGACCAACAAAACAACCAGAAAACAAACAAAATGGCAGTAGTAAGTTCTTACCTATCAATAACAACACTGAAATTTAAATGGACTGAATTCTCCAATCAAAAGACATACAGTGGCTGAATGGAGTTTTTAAAACACCCAACTACATGCTGCCTGCAAGAAACTCATATCACCTATAAAGGCACACATAGACTGAAAAAGATATTCTATGCAAATGGAAACCAAAAAAGCAGGAGAAGCTACAGTTATCAGATAAAATAGATTTCAAGACAAAAACTGTAAAAGAGACAAAGGAGGTCATTATACAATGATAAGGGGGTCAATTCAACAAAAGCATATAACAATTATAAATATATATGTACCCAACACTGGAGCACCCGGATTTATAAAGAAAATATTACTGGAGCCAAAGAGAGATGGACCTCAATACAATATCTGGGAATTTCAACACGCCACTTTCAGTATTGGACAGATGACCCCAATAGAAAATCAAAGAAACACTGGACTTAATCTGTACTGCACACCAAAAGGACCTAACAGACATTTACAGAACATTTTATCCAACTGCTGCAGAATACCCATTCTTCTCCTCAGCATATGGAACATTCTCAAGGACAGACCATATGTTAGGCCACAAAACAAGTCTCAAAAATTTTTTAAAAAATGAAATCATATCAACTACTTTTTCCAACCACAGTGGAATAAAACTAGAAATCAATAACAAAGGAAACTTTGGAAACTGTACAAACACATGGAAATTTTAAAATATGCTCCTAACCGACCATGAGGTCAATGAAGAAATTAAGAGAATATAAAAATGTATTGAAACAAATGAAATACAACATTCCAAAACCAATGGAATACAGCAAAAGCAGTACTAGGAGTGCTAGTTTATAGCAATAAATGCCTCCGTCAAAAAATAAGAAAAACTTCAAATAAACAATCTAACAATGCATCCTTGAAGAACTAGAAAAGCAAGAGCAAACCAAACTCAAAAACCAGTAGAAGAAGTGAAAGATCAGAGCAGAAGTGAATGAAATTGAGACTTTAAAAAAATACAAAAGAACAAAATGAAAAGTTGGTTTTTTGAAAAGATAAACAAAATTGACAAACCTTTAGCCAGATTAAGAAAAAAGATCTTTCCTGTAGGAGTAGCTAAAAAGGAAAAAAGAGAGAAGAACCAAACAAATAAAACCAGAGATGAAAAGGGAGGCATTACAACTGATACCACAGGACAACTATGCATCAATAAATTGGAAAACCTAGAAGAAATGGATAAATTCTTAGACATACAACCTGTCAAGATTGAAACCTGAAGAGATCCAAAACCTGAATAGACCAATAACAAGTAATGAGATAGAAAGCTTTTTACTACTGCTTCTATCAAAGAAAAGCCCAGGACCTAAAGGCTTCACTGCTGAATTCTACCAAACATTTAAAGAACTATGATGCCTGTAATCCCAGCACTTTGGAAGGCCAAGGTGGGTAGATCACTTGAGCCCAGGAGTTCAAGAACCAGCCTGGGCAACATGGTGAAACCCCATCTCTACAAAAACTCAAAAATTAATCAGACACGGTGGTGTGCACCTGTAGTCATAGCACCCAGGAAGCTGAGGCAGGAGGATTGCTTGAGCCTGGGAGGCAGAGGTTGCAGATCACACCAAGATCACACCCCTGCACTCCAGCCTAGGTGATAGAGTAAGACCCTGCCTCCAAATAAATAAATAAATACACACATACATACTATTCATACTATTCTAAAAAATTGGGCTAAAAAATTGAGCAGAAGGTAATACTTCCAAACCCATACTATGAGGCCAGTATTACTTGGATATCAAACCCAGACAAAGATACAACAGAAAAAAGAAAACTACAGGCCAGTATCTCTGATGAATATAGATGCAAAAATCCTCAGTGAAATACCAGCAAACTGAATTCAATAGCACATTAAAAAAGTATTCATCATGATCATGATCATGTGGGATTCATCCCAGGGATGCAAGGATAGTTAAACATATGCAAAAAATAATGTGATATATCACATTAAGAGAATCAAAGACAAAACCACATGCTTTTAATTGATTTTTTTAAATATTTAATTTTATTTCAAGTTTGGTGATACATGTGCAGGACGTGCAGGTTTGTTATATAGGTAAACATGTGCCATGGTGGTTTGCTGCACCTATCAACCCATTACCTAGGTATTAAGCCCCCCATGCATTAGCATTTTATCCTGATGCTCTCCCTCCCCCCGCCTCCTCCCTGACAGGCCCCAGTGTATGTTGTTCCCCTCCCTGTGTCCACGTGTTCTCATTGTTCAGCTCCAACTTATGAGTGAGAACATGCAGTGCTTGACATTCTGTTTCTGTGTTAGTTTGCTAAGGATAATGGCTTCCAGCTCTATCCATGTCCCTGGAAAAAACATGATCTTTCCTTTTTATGGCTGTGTAGTATTCCATGGTGCATATGTACCACATTTTCTTTATCCAGACTATCATTGATGGGCATTTAGGTTGGCTCCATGTCTTTGCCATTGTGAATAGTGCTGCAATAAACATACACGTGAATGTATCTTTATAATAGAATGATTTATATTCCTTTGGGTATATACCCAGTAATGAAATTCCTGGGTCAAATGGTCATATGATAATTTTGATCGATGCTGAAAAAGCACTCAAAATTCAACATCCCTTCATTTTTAAAATACTCAACAAATTGGGTATAGAAGGAACATACCTCAAAATCATAAAGCCACATATGACAAACCCACAGCTAGGATCATACTGAATGGGAAAACTGAAAGCCTTTTCTCTAAGATCTGGAACAAGACAACGATGCCCACTTTCACCATTTTTATTCAACATGGTGCTGGAAGCCCTACCCAGAACAACTAGATGAGAGAAAGAAATAAAGGGTATCCAAATTGGAAAGAAAGAAGTCAAATTATCATTCCTTGCAGACGATATAGTCTTATATTTAGAAAAACCTAAAGACTCCACACCAAAAATCTATTGAAACTGAAAAATAAATTCAGTAAAGTTGCAGGATATAAAAATCAACATACAAAAATCAGTATCATTTCTATATGCTAACAGTAAACAATCTGAAAAAGAAACCAAGAAGCTACTCCCATTTACAATAGCTACAAATAAAATACCTAGGAATAAACTTAACCAAAAAAGTGAATGATGTCCACAATGAAAACTATAAAATATTAATGAAAGAAATTGAAGAGCACACAAAAAATGGAGACGTTCCATGTTCATGGACTGGAAGAATCAATAGTGTTAAAATGTCCATGGTACCCAAAGCAGTCTACAGATTCAATGCAATCCCTATCAAAATACCAATGACATTCTTCACAGAAATAAAAAAAAATTCTAAAATGTATATGGAATCACAAATGACCCAGAACAGCCAATGCCATCCTAAGCAAAAAAGAGCAAAACTGAAGGAATTATGTAACCTGACTTCAAATTATACTACAGAGCTATAGTAACCAAAACAGCATGGTACTGGCATAAGAACATACACATTGACCAACGGAACAGAATAGAAAACCCAGAAATAAGTCCATGCATTTATAGTCAACTCATTTTCAACAAAGGTGCAAAGAACATACACTAGGGACAGTCTCATCAATAAATAGTGTGGGGAAAACTGGATATCCATACACGAAAGAATGAAACTAGACCACTATCTCTTGCCATATGTAGAAATCCAGTAAAGATGGATTAAGAACTTAAATATAAGATCTGAAACTATGAAACTACTAGAAGAAAACATTGGGAACATGTTCTAGAACATTGGTCTGGGCAAAGGTTTCTTGGGAAGACCTCAAAATCAGGCAACCGAAACAAAAATGGACAAATGAGATCACATCTCGCTAAAAAGCTTTGCACAGCAAAGGAAATAATCAACAAAGTGAAGAGACAACTCACAGAATAGGAGAAGATATTTACAAACTACCCATCTGACAGGTATTAACTGCTAGAATAGATAAGAAGCTCAAACAACTCAATAGGGAAAAAAATTCAATTTTTTTGGACAAAAAATCCAAACAGGCATTTCTTTTGTTCTCTTTGTTTTTATTTGGCTCAGAAGGTACTGAATAGAGATTTCTTAAAAGAAAACAAACAAGGCCGGCCACGGTGGCTCAAGACTGTAATCCCAGCACTTTGGGAGGCTGAGGTGGGCAGATCACCTGAGGTTGGGAGTTCAAGACCAGCTTGACCAACACGGAAAAACCCCATCTCTACTAAAAATACAAAATTAGCCAGGCATGGTGGTGCATGCCTGTAATTCCAGCTACTCGGGAGGCTGAAGCAGGAAATCACTTGAACCCAGAAGCAGACGTTGTGGCGAACTGAGGTCATGCCATTGCACTCCAGCCTGGGCAACAAGAGTGAAACTCCATCTCAAAAAAAAAAAAGACAAATGGCCAACAGGTATGTGAAAAAAATATTCAGCATCACTAATCAGAGAAACACAAATTAAAACTACAATGAGATATCATCTCACCCCATCAAAATGGCTTGCATCAAAAAGACAAGTAATAACTGTTGCTGGTGAGGATGTGTAGAAAGGGGAACCCTCATACACCATTGGTGGGAATGCAAACTCCTACAGCCACTATGGAGAACAGTATGGAGGTTCCTCAAAAAACTACAAATAGAACTACCATATGATCCAGCAATCCCACCGCTAGATACATATCCAAAAGACAGGAAAACAGTATATCGAAGAGATATCTGCACTCCCATGTTTATTGCAACCCTATTGACAACAGCTAACATATGGAATCAACCTAAGTATCCATCAACAGATGAATGGATAAAGAAAATGTGGTACATATACACAATGGAACATTATTCAATCATGAAAAAGAATAAAATCTTTCATAAAAAAGAATAAAATCCTATCATTTACGAAGAATAAAATCCTTCATAAAAAATAATAAAATCCTGTCATTTGCAACAACATGGATGGAACTAGAGGACATTAAGTGAAATAAGCCAGGCACAGAAAGACAAATATTATATGTTCTCATTCACACTTGGGAGTGAAAAAAAAAAATTGAACCCATGGAAATAGAGTAGAATGGTTGGTTACTAGAAGCCGGGAAGGGTAGCAGGGAGGGGTTGGGTGAGTGGGGATTGTTAGTGGGTACAAAAATACAGTTAGAATAATTAAGATCTGGTACTTAGTAATACAATAGGATGACCATAGTCGATAAGTTACTGTACATTTTTAAATAACTGAAAGTGGCCGGGTGCAGTGGCTCATGCCTGTAATCCCAGCACTTTGGGAGGTCAAAGTGGGTGGATCACATGAGGCCAGGAGTTTGAGACCAGCCTGGCCAACATGGTGAAATCCTATCTCTACTAAAAATACAAAAAAAAAAAAAAATTAGCTGGGTGTGGTGGCGGGCACGTGCTACTCGGGAGGCTGAGGCAGGAGAATCGCTTGATACTGGAAGGTAGAGGTTGCAGGGAGCTGAGATCGTGCCATTGCACTCCAGCCTGGGCAACGAGAGCAAAACTCCATCTCAAAAATAAAAAAAATAAATAAAAAACTGAAAGTGAAATTGAGATGTTCCTAACACAAAGAAATGATCAACGCTTGAGGTGATGAATACCCCAATTACCATGATTTATAACACAACATGTGCCTCTATCAAAACATCACATGTACTCCACATATATAACTATTATGTACCCATAATAATTAAAAATAAAGAACTTTTTAAAATACAAGGTACAAACTGGAAGAAAATAGTTTCAGGCCACACATCTGACAAAGCACCAGTGTCTAGAATATATCAAATATTCTCAAAACTCAGTGGAAAAATAAACAACGCACTCAATTAGAAAATGGCCAGAAGACTTACACAGATATTTCATCAAACAAGATATTCAGATGCCAAATGAGCACAAGATGTTCAACATCACTAGCCATGAGGGTCATGTAAATTAAAACCATACTAAGATACCCTACACACCCATCAGAATGGCTGAAATAAAAAATTATGACAATACCAAAGACTGGTAAGTGTGTGGAAAAGCTGAATCACTCATACATTGCTGATGGGAACATAAAATGGCAGTTTCTTTAAAAACTAAGCATGCAACTACTATATGACCCATTAATTGCACTCATATGTTTTTATTTCTCTGGAATAAATGCCTATGTTCACACATTGTCTACACAAATGTTTGTAGCAGTTTTATTCCTAATAACCAGAAACAATCGGTTGTTCTTTGACAGGTAAATGGCTAAACTGTGATGTATCCATACCACGGAATACTGCTCAGCAACAATAAGGAATAAACTACCAATACATGCAGCAACCTGGATGAATCTCCAAAGAACTATGCTTAGTGAAAAGAGCCAATTCCAAAAGGTTACCTACAGTATGATTAATTTATAACATTTTTGAGATGACAAAATTAAAAGAACAGGGGGAAGATTAGTGGTTGCCAAGGGGTTAAGAAAGGGATGGGAGTCGGAGGAAGTGTGTGCAACTATAGAAGGGCAACAAGAGGAATTCTTGTGGTGATGGAAGTGTTCTGTATCTTGACTGTAGCAATGTCAATATCTGGTTGTGATACTGTACTAAAGTTTTGCAAAATGTTACCAAGGGGGAAAACTAGGTAAAAGAATGCATGCAATCTATGTTATTTCTTACAACTGCATGTGAATTTATAATTACCTCAAGATAAAAATTTTTTTAAAAAGAGAAGGCCAGGCATGGTGGCTCATGCCTGTAATCCCTGCACTTTGGGAAGCCGAAGCGGGAGGATCCCTTGAGCTCAGGAGTTCAAGGCCAGCCTGGGCAACATAGCGAGACCTCGTTCTCTACTAAAAATCAAAAATTAGCCAGGTGCCTGTAGTCCCAGCTACTCAGGAGGCTGAGGCAAGAGGATGACTCAAGCCAGGGAGTCAAGGCTGCAGTGAGCTATGATTGCACCACTGCTCTCCAACCTAGGTGACAGAGTGAGACCTGATCTCAAAAAAAAAAAAAAAAGAAAGAAAGAAAGAAAAGAAAAGAAAAATAAGTGGTACATACTCATCATAGAAAATTTTCAAAATGTAGATTAGGAAGATCTAATTTGGTTATTATACAAATAGACTAATAGATATGACATTAATATATTTAGGGGCTTTTCAAGTATATTGACTACTTTTTATCACAATAAAAATATATAGTTGATTATATTTTTTCCCCTACACATTTGCTCAGAGCCTCCTGAGAGGCTCTAAAGGATTACACAGGGATCATATGCTCATGGATGGCTGCCTCTGAGCCAAACCCTAGCACATTGTGGAATTGGTTTCTTCCTGAGTACCAATTTGGAACAATTAATTATAATGGTCATCTCAAGTACTGTGCTACAAGAATTATGAGGCAATCTCTGAACCCAAATCAGAACACTGTGATTGACTAGCAGTGTCCATCAGCAGCATGGGGTTCAGGGGTACAGTGTCACCTCTGCTGGCTGGAAGAAATGTTTTTAAACCAACCTTGCAAACTGCAAGGGACACTATTAATAAAACCCTCTGTGTAAAGGTTCTTGAAAAATCACTCAGTCTTCTGTCATATCCAAATATTATGTTGCATTTTTTATCTAGCAACTATTATATATGGTTGATTTTTCTTTTTTTAGTCCACTAAATTGTACATGTAAAGACCAAACAGCTTCAGATTTTTACAGCGATTAGTTCTCCATGCCCAGCCTAGAACACAATACTTCTTACTCTGCTGAGAGAATGATCAACCAACAAGCATTATTTAATGCCGTGTATCAGATTATATATTAGGCAAGCATTTAATCGCCAATAAAGTCATTCAGTCTATAAATCTGAACACTGCTATATGCCAACATTAAATGGGAATATGAGGTATCTGTACTCTGAAAACTCAGTCTATTGGGAGGATACTGATAACTATGAAACAATTATAATAGATAAGTGCTCTTCTAGGGGCAGACAGAATGCTGTAAGGAACCCCTAACATATGACTGTAAACTGGACTTGGGGATCAGGAAGTCTTCCTGGAAGAGGTAGCATCTCAAGTGATACCCAAAGATCAAGAGGGAAGGGAGAACAATGAGGCAAGGTGAGAAGTATCCCAATCAAGAAGTCTCAAATACCAGAGTCCCCGGTAATCCCAGCACTTTGGGAGGCCAAGGTGGGCAGATTACTTGAGGCCAGGAGTTTGAGACCAGCGTGGCCAACATGGTGAAATGCCGTCTGTACTAAAAATACAAAAATTACCCGGGCATGGGGGCGCACGCTTGTAGTCCCAGCTACTCTGGAGGCTGAGGCACGAGAATCACTTGAACCTGGGAGGCGGAGGTTGCAGTGAGCCAAGATCTCGCCACTGCACTCCAGCCTGGGCAACAAAGTGAGACTCTGTCTCAAAGGAAACAAACAAACAAACAAACAGAGTCCAAAAGAGTCGAGGTTAGGCTGAAAAGATATGCAAGAACTCAAGTCATTAAGACCAGAAGTCATATTCTAGAATTTGAATAATTTCCTGATTGAAACATTTTAAACTGGAGAGTAAAGATTACCTTAGGATAGGGAACAAGATGAGAAACAGTTACTGTTGTTAGTAGACTGTTGCAATAATCAGGTAACTAATGACAATTGCCTGCACAAGGGCAGAAGGTAGGGAGGCAGAGAAAATGAAATGTTACCAGAAATTCTAACTTGATGGTTAAGGATTAAACTAAAGTACATTCACATACATGCCAGCATCCTAAAGCCTAATACTTACACCCATTGCTGGTAGTCTTGTTTCTGCCCCATTATCTGGAGACCAGAATTCACCCACACACGTATGGAGGCTGGCAAACATCACAACCACCTCCAGGAGATGGTTTGCTGAGGGGCCAGTAAACTAGTGTTGTGGTTGCCTTGAGAGAAATCTAGGGAGGTTCACAACAACTCCCACACTATAGTAGAAAGCTCTTCAAGAGAGGACAAACTCACTTTTCAGCAGAGAAACTTGACCTCATATGCCATTAAGGGTAGGTGAGTTTGTCCCACAAAATAATGCTGCTATGTGCCCTAATGAACCATCGTTTCTAGAAAAAAAAGAAAAAATGATTACTAAGAGCTGCACCCAAAGTAATGAGGCTAGAATCAAGCTCCCTCCCCCTTCATCAGCACTAGCATGACTGCTGGCATGTCGTACCCAAGTTGGGACTCAAGGTCACAACTTTTTGTATCCACTCAGAGCCACTGGCCCAAAGCACAAGTCTACTCACAAGAGAACCAAGCTGTGACTGCTCCAATGCTACCAGCTTCCTGGATCCAGAATCACCTAACAGCAGAAACTCAGCAAGAAAACCAAGATGTAGGGAGAAGATACAAGCGGCTGGAGAAGAGCAAAGCCTTAAAATGGAGATGAGAGAGGAGAAGGGAGGGATAAAGTTTTGAAGTAGGAGAAAACAAAAAGAACAAGTCCCCTGCTGAGAGCACAGGAGGGTGGAGTAAAAAGAGATTGAGAAGACAGCTACTAAATGGCTTAAGTGGAGATTAACAGGATCTGCCAAACAACAGCAAGGACCTGGCTGAGAACAAACAGCATGAGTAGGAATGGGTCCAGTCAACAAGGTTGTGGGAATTTTCTAACAACTAGAGACACAGAATTTAGAAGAGTCAAACTATTTTTGGCTAATAAAGTGAAGCTGGATTGTAGAATCTCCCTTCCTAATTTTAAAATCTATAAAATCTAACAAAGATAAAATTCACCAGCAGCAGCCTAATGGGCATTTCCTCATACCATAAACATTGAAAAGTAGCAGCCAAAACAATTCTCACTGCTATCAAATTTGTAGAGACATGGACTGCAGAGTCATCAACTTTCCCTCTAGCAAGTGGTAGAGGGTGAGGGGAGAAAGAATGAATGGTGGCCGGGCACGGTGGCTCACGCCTGAATCCCAACACTTTGGGAGGCCGAGACAGGAGGATTGCTTGAGCTCAGGAGTTTGTGACCAGCCTTTACAAAGATAGGGAGACCCCTTCTTTACAAAAAATAAACTTTTAAAAGTTTGTTTCTTGCAACAAACTGAACTAAGAAGTATTAAAAACACTGTACGTTTATTTAAACCATTACTTTTCATAATTCATTGAGTCTTATTAGAGGTCAACATCTTCATTCTGTTACCTTACTGGGTACATTCACTGATGTTACATAAAACTTCATGTAAAATTAAATAAGAATTAAAAGTACAGCTAAGAACAGTGATGATCTGTATGAGAGGATTTACCATTGTGTACCCTAGTCCCTAATATGGTCATTTTTTGTTTCATGGGCCTCTCAACCTTAAATTCATTTTTATTTTAGAGAGAATAAAGGCACTCCTCTGAGCTCTTGCCCACCACGTGCCCAGTCGCTGCGTCATCGGTGTGTGTTGACCCAGTGGTACCTGTCCAGCCGGTGCATAGCAGGCCTGTAACACTTAGGATGCTTCTGCGAGCCATGGTAAGTGTTTCCCAGGAGGCCAACACGGCCGTCCACCACATTCTTTTTGCGGGGGATTTGTAACCAAGATTGAAAGGGCTGTTTCAAGTTTTCAACCTGGAAAAAAAAAGTATAAAGATCTCTAATAAGCTAGCTGTAAGGACTAAATATGAACCCATAATTCAAAAGTCAGGCACTTCAAAAGCATAGGGAGCACAAATGAATAGAATTGAAAGTGCATAACCATCTTTGAAAAAAATTTCTAGCACTTGGCGGGAACATAAATCACTTTATACTGTACCTTTTTAAAAAGTTAATTAATTCAACTAAAAACTTTTTAATATGCTTATTCAAGTTTATGTTTATTCTTGAATTGTCCCTCTTCCATCCCTACCTCACCACTGCCAACCCAATCCAAAACTGCATGTTCATGATCTCTGGGGCCACAGCCTAGAAATCTTCATTTTAAACACCTAAGATGATGGATACAGATGTTTTACAGATCACACTTTGAAAAGACATTGCTGTAAAAGAATATAGCTGATTACAGGTCTGATCCCCAAATGGAAGAAGACCTTTCTAAAAATAAAAATAGAATTAAGGGCAAATACTGTAAATCCTCACTCAACAACCTCGATAGGTTATTGGAAACTAATTTTAAGCTAAATGACATATAGCAGGTCTTTGAATAACATAGTTTGGTTATAAGACTGAGGAAAAAAATGGCTTTGTCATACATCATTTTACTTAAAGTCACTGTTTCCAAGAAACTATCAATGACACACATAGTTTAAAAAACTAGGGACAAAACATTTGCCAGAAATATGTCAAGGGGTTAAAATCGTTCTGGCATATAAAGAACCTACAATAATACATTAGAACTTCAAATAATGAATGGCTGAATAAGAGAAAATTTGTAGGGCAGTAGGTGCTAAAACATTTGGGCACATGGAAAGTTTTAATGTTTAATTTCACTAATACTGTATTATATATGCATATCATGTTAATCAAATTATCTGTTTTTTAAATGAGAATAGCCAATTCTAGAAAAAAATGGCAAAGTTGGCACTTTTACATACAGCTGGTGAGACTACAAATAAATACAACTTTCTACATGGTGTTTCGGCTGCATATTAAAAACCAGTAAAATGTTCATACTCTGCGACCCAGTAGTTCTGTGCTTGAGAATCAAATCTCAAGAAACAACCTAAAATTCAGGCATCACTATACGAGTTACCAGCTTTTAAAAAAATATTACAACCATGTGGAAACAGCCTAGAATATCTGCCAATAATAAGTTACAAAGGAGGCAAATGAATATTAAAATTTTAATTGCTTTAACATTTAATACATAGGTGATTAAGAGAACATACAAACAAATATATACATATAGTGTTAACAAATTCTCTCTAGATCAGTGTTTTTCAAATTGTGGGTCATGAAATCAATTTAGATACTTGAAATCAAATGAATTTAATTGGAAGTATTGGGAGCATTGGGAGCATTGCTCCTAGTAAAGATAAGCACTGTTTCATGAAACTTTTTAAATGTAAATATACATATTTTGAATGGGTTATGGTTTAAAAAGAAGAAAAAAATAGCTGAGAAAAACTGCTCTAGTGGCAGAATTTATAGGCCTTTGACCTTTCCTATATCCAAATTTTCTATAAATGCCGTGGTATTTTCAATTGACAGAAAAAAAAATCCCACTAATCTTAATCTTTGATTCTGTAGGAATTTAAGTGGAAGGAAACCTGTGTATCTTCAAATACTGTATGAAGAAATAGGACAATAAAAGATTATGTGGATCCTAAAAGCTCAGCCAAGTGTAGGGAATACATTGTGCAGTGAAGGAGACAGAAAAAGTTTTGCCAAAATATTAAGAGTCTGGCTTTTAAAAATCTACAGTTTTGTTCTTTCCATGTTTTTTTGCTTCTTTGTTTTCATAATGAGTGCATTCTTTTTAGAATTAGATAGAAAAAAAGTATAGAAAAGAACTGGAACACTCTTGACCTGATAAATACTCTTCGGATTGCTGACTTTAGGAATGACACGAGGTTCCTTGCTACAACTTTCTTCATCGCAGGAAGTGCCAGAGGAAACGTCTGATGAGGCTCTACTAACGGCATAACTGATTTGTTGATATAGTTCCCATTCCTCCCATCTGCCTTTAAAAGAAGCAACTGTAAATGGATGGTTTTTCTCACCATACCTAAGTAGGAAAAGAAATTTAAGTGCTAATTAGCGATTCAACTTTCTACAAGATCTCCAATCTTTCCTGGAGACAATATGCTAACTTATTTTAAAAGAAATTGCCTTAAAAAATTGAAGGACATTATGACCTTCACCTACTACACTGTTATAAATTAGGATATTCTATAAGAGCTATTTTGGTTAATTGTTCAGAAAAAAACAAAGACTAGTTTCTTTTGATTCAGTTAATGAACTGAATTGTCCCATGGTAGATAACTCTCCTTCCTTTCTGATGTTGCCTATAACACTTATCTGTTATCAACCTACAGTTTGTAATAGATACTGTTACCAATCTATAGTTTGTAATAAGGTGCAGTGATTAAAGCCACATTTCAAATATTTTGCAAAATCATTGTGCTTTCCACCTCACCCACTTTGAATAGAAGTCTGCATTGTCTAACAGAAGTTTGCATCTAAAATCTTAACCAAGAAGTATCCCTGCTGCCAACTCAAGGCTTTGGGGCATCATCTTTCATGAAGGTATGTAAAGTTGTCTAACTTAAGGTTTCCAGGTATCACACAGCACACAAACTATGAGATTACTCACCTACAGCATACTTCAAAGGGATCTACCCATATGGTCATCTCCTTCGGAAGTCCCAGGTGAGAAAAATCTACATTACTTTCCACACATGCCCTTTCTAGAATGGGATCTTTATTCTGATTGTTGTTTATCCTGATGCACCTTTTTAAAAAGCGAAGGGAAACGAAGACATGATGACAGACACTTTAGCAGGAGAATCACATTATGCACATACTGTTCCAATACACATAGCTCCCACCTCATCCCCTCAGCCTCCTTCCCCTCAGCCTCCTCCACCCTCCACTCTTACAAGTAAGACATCATCAACTTTTGATACAGTGGCTCAGAATGTATGTTGCATCACTAAGTCACAAAATTAGTTATCTTTCATGGCAAAGACAAGTTAGAAATTGTTTAATCTACCTCACATAAGGGGCTTTGCTCTGTTGTTTCCAGCCACAGTGTCATCTACTATGTCTCCTCCTTTCAATTCCACGTTCAAACAAATAAACTCGAGCCCATAAAACTTTTGTTACTTATATGCAGAAAACAAGATCACTCCATTTTCCTAGGAGCTGGCTGGTTGCTTGGTGATTGCTTCCCTTTGCCATCCCACATACTAGCTCTCACCTGAAGGCTTGCCCTTTAGAAGGGCAATCAGAGTGCCAGTGACTTCTGTATGTTTCAAACAAGATCGTCATCAGCTTTTCTGCAAAGTCTTCTATTTGCTGTTTACTTAGTTTATCATGTTTTTTCACCAATCTTGTGACAAAGAAAACTGTTGTTGCAATTTCATCTCTCATGATTCAAGAAAAATAGATAAGGAGGTCTGAATCATTAAAAGGAAGCAAGAAGAAATAGAAAGAAATGGTTTAACTTATTATCAATATTTAACTGCCATTTGGAAATTTTACATACCTTAAAGTTAAAACTGAGAAAATCTGCTAGAAAGAAGTCCTTAGTAAACTAGGTAAGTACATGAACACTATCAATCAACATAACAGCCAAGAACAGCAATTCCTCAAATAGCCCAGTTTTAAAGGTTTTCAAAGGAAAAAAAAAAGTCTTTTTAAAATTTTAAAGCACTTAAGTAATAAATGAAACATCACTACAACTTAAAAAAGATCCTGATATGGGACAGTAATTACCTCAAGCATCACTTTTTAAAGATATATTAACAAAGAGCAAAATATTTCAGGAGAGAGTAATTCCAAAATGTGGCTCCAAGTTGCATGCTTTAGGAATAATCAAACACATTATACTTGCCAACAAAAGCTCTTTAGCCCCTAAGAAAAGTGGGCGAGACTTAGAAGACCAACCGCACTATCCCTTATGTTTCCAACTCTCACCCACACCTGTTCGTGAGTTCGAGGCTGAAGTTTATATAAGCCTGGGCCCTAAAGGCTGATGGATGTTTCACCTTACACAGGTGCTGCCTATTGAAATGATCATACAGCTTTTTCATATGCCAATCTGGTCTCCATCCGATTGCTCCTTGGCATAAGTGGAGTGGGTTCTCTATTTGAAGTGTTTAAAATTTTCAAACTGGATCTATATTTTCTATTTTGCTATTATAATCTTATCTTTTATAACACAGAGTGAGAATCAAGTGTTCTCCTTCCATATCCTAATATCGTACATTCCAATGATGTCATCTCTAACTTAGCTGACAACATATTAAGGAATTTTGCCTTAGATTTCTTACAAAATTTGTTACGACAACTTTGAGCAGTCATTATGTTGACTACACATTTTTTACTAAAGTGTTTATTTGTAGGATAAGTGGAAGAGATCTGAGTTTATCTAACCTCACCAGTTCTCAAAGGGCGGGTCAGTGACCATGTGATCTGGACTCACTGTGTTTCTTGTTAAAAATTCAGATTCTTGGCCAGGCGCGGTGGCTCATGCCTATAATCCCAACACTTTGGAAGGCCGAGGCAGGTGGATCACCTGAGGTCAGGAGTTCGAGATCAGCCTGGCCAACATGGTGAAACCCCGTCTCTACTAAAAATACAAAAATTATCCAGGCATGGTGGCATGTACCTGTAGTCCCAGCTACTCAGGAGGCTGAGGCAGGACAATCACTTGAACCCAGGAGGTGGAGGATGCAGTGAGCCAAGATCACACCACTGCACTCCAGACTGGGTGACAGAGCAAGACTCCGTCTCAAAAAATAAAAATAAAAATAAATTTAAAAATTCAGATTCTTGGACCTTATTTCAGATCTGCTGAAGCAACTCTTCTCAAGGTAAGGCCTGGCAATCAGTAGTTATCAAGTTCCCCCAGGTGATTCTAATACCCATTAAGCGTTAAGAAGCCACACCTGACATACGTTAAGTCTTTAACGCTCAGGATTAGTGATCATTCAGTTTCTTCATTAGTGAAAAGGAATTCACTGTCTTACAAGGAAGTCCATTTCATTTCTAAAAAGCTCCAAATAACAGCCAGACCTTCCTTTCTGTGTGGAGCCAAATCTACCTCTGATTTTCCTATATGTGCAGCCTAGTTTTTCCTTCTGGAACTACACCAATCGTGTCTAATGTTCCACCACATGATGACATTTCAAATACTAGCTACTCAGCCTCCCTCAGCTTTCTCTTTGTGGAGCCTAAATAGTCTCAGCTTTTTAAGAGTTTTTCCTACAGACACAGCTCACCATGCTGGGTACTCACATCACAATGAGTGTCAGGTGTGTGAGTAATCCTCTTTTTTTTTTCCAGCTTGCACACAATGCTCCAGGTGTGCTCCACCCCTAAAGACTAGCATGGGACTGTTGCTTCCCTCCCTCTGAATACTGTATTCCAGAACACAACCTCAGGTGGCTTTTACCTTGTTGGCAGTGGCATCACACCACAGACTCACATTGAATTTGCAAGTACTCTTTTTCATTAATGCTATCATTTTGTCATATCTTTCCATTCCTGCACAATACAAAGTTTAAAAATATGGGCATTAAGATCGGATAGACCTGAGTGTGAATTGCAACTTTAAGACTCACCATCTGTGTAACCTTGGGCAACTTAATTTTCTGCCTGTGAAATGGGAGGTACAATAGTGAACTCATAAGGTTGTAATTAAGATTATACTAGATAACAGTAAAGCACTTGTTCTTGAGCTGGGCAGATGGCCTCATGCCTGAAATGCAAACACTTTGGTCCCAGGCGAAAGGATCACTTGAGGTCAGGAGTTTGAGGCCGGCCTGGGCAACTCAGTAAGACCCCTGTCTCTACAAAAATTTTAAAAGTCAGCTTGATGTGGCATGTACCTGTAGCCCTAGCTACTCGAAAGGCTGAGGTGGGAAGATCACTTGAGCCCAGAAGTTTGAGGCTGCAGTAAGCTATGAGCTATGATTGTGTCACTGCACTCCAGCCTGGGCAACAGAGCAAAGACCCTCTCTCAAAAAAATAAAAAAAACCTTTCACTAGTGAAGAACTGAGATGAAATACATATATTAGGTAGTGTGCTGGCTATTGTAATGTCTTTGATGCTTGAGAGGTATAAGAAATGTAAGTATAAGGATTATCAAAGTTGGTTAAGGATACAAAAATAGATAGAAGAAATTAGTTATAGTATTCCAGTACAGCAGAGAAAAGGATACAAAAATAGATAGAAGCAATTAGTTCTAGTTATTCTAGTACAGTAGACAAATTATAGGTAACAATTGTTGTATATTTCAAAATAGCTAGAAGATTTGTAATGTTCTCAACACAAAGAAAAGATAAATGTTTGAGGTAATGGATATCCCAATTACCTTATTTGGTCATTATATATTGTACACAAGTATTAAAATATTACATGTACCCCCAAAGTACATACAACTATTATATATCAATTTTTAAAAATTGTTTAAAAGGACTATGAAATGGGTGGCTGAGCATCTTGATATCTAAGAATATGATTTAAGATTTAATTAAGATTAATTTAATTCAATTTAGTAAATATTTAAACATCTACTATGTACCCAGAACATATTAAAATAAACAAACGTGAAAGTAGGACCTTAATAATCTTCCAAATCCATAGTATCTTGTTTGTTTCAGCTGTCCATGATGTAGTTGTCATTCCTCTTCCTCAGTGGCTGGGGTACCTAAACTGTTGCACTTTGGAATCACCTGAAGATCTTTTAAAAATACCAATGTCTGCCTCCTATCCCTTACCCCAGACATTTTTTTTTTTTCAACAGAGATGGAGTCTCCCTATGTTGCCCAGGTTGGTCTTGAACTCCTGGGCTCAAGGAACCTTCCTGCCTTGGCCTCTCAAAGTGCTAGGATTACAGGTGTGAACCACCACGCCCGGCCAAGACATTCTGACTTAATTGGTATAGAGTGCAACCTGCACATCAGGATTTTTAAAAGTTCCCCAAGCGATTCTAACGTGCAGCAAAAGTGGAAATCATTAAGATAGATACCGCCTTAGCTGTGAAGAAGATTTTAAGCTTATTTTACACTTTTGATTGCTTAATAATGCCTTAAGTTTAACAGATTATTAGGACAAATTTGCATCATTTATTCTCGTATTTTCTAGCCATTTGCTAGGGTAACTTTTGCAAAGATTATTTTTTAAAATTTATGTTACAAGGGACAAAGCTGAAAATTAGGGTAACTCCTTGTATACTGCTGAAATTTTGCTTCTGAACTAAAGGCAACAGATGCATTAACAAACACAAAATTTTTTTTCTTTTCAAATGGTCAGTTTGCATTTACAATAATAGAATGGTGCCAGGTGTTTTTATAATTCTTTCATTACTTCATCTTCCTGATGACAAACTGTTCCCTTGCACTTTGAGTTGGTGAAGTACATTAATGAGGTTTTGAACCCTCTCCTAGCATTATTTTCTGCAACAGGCCCAGGCAGGCCTTGAAAGTTATGAATAGAACAGTAGAATAACAATGTACTTAGATTTCAGGAAAGAACAATCAAATAAAAAGTAAACATCATGCAAGGTTTCCTTCCGTTACTTGTTTATGACTTGAAACACCTTATTTAAATCACCTCCTTTACATTAATGACAACTACACCTTCTGTTTTAATTAACACTCACTTAGTGACTATTTACTGACCACCTACTTCACAGACACTAAGTATTAGTGGGGCTGGGGGTAAAAACAAAATTCAACTTTCCTTTCAAGAGGCTTATCATCTAGAGAGGGAAACCAAATACATACACAAGTGACTACTTGGATGTAAAGTTTGGGAAATGAAATACTCAAAATTTACCCCAAGTTTCAAACACTTGTAACCAACAGATTAATGTTATCATTGAAAGAATGAAGTTCAGTGGAAGAGTCGGTATAAAACAAATGGTGATTCATTCAGATTGAGGTATACTGAGCTTTCAATGGCAATTAAATACCCAAGTAGTAATGTCCACTGACAAGATGTCAGAATTTAGCAGAAAGACCAACCTGGTCTGGCCTAAGCCAATCCCAGAGCTAAGTAGAAGAGAAAATTACTGCTGAAATTTGAACAACTCTCCCACTATCCTTGTGTCATGTCTAAAATTCTCATTATAAGACATTTGTTCCCTTGCTTAAAACCTTGTCTTTCAAGGATATCTTTTTGAAAATGTCCAGTGAACTATCCATAGTAGAGCAACAGGATGGTGTTCTGTTTGGGTGAGGGGATTATGTCTGGGCGAAGAACCACAGAAAACAAGAAATAAGAGGTTCTGGCCATTTGGAGTGAGGATGAAGAACAGAAAGGCAGTGAAGCAACATACACATATTTTATTTCCTATTATGCCTGTAACAGAGAATCAAATGGTATAAAACATGAATATGACTGACATGACCTTGTACAAGTAATAGTTTCTAGAATTGCATTCTTCATTTTAAAATTAGGAAATTCAACTTGATGGCTAAGGAATAGTCAAGCCCCAAAGTTCATCGATGAAGGTAAAACTCGAAAATCTGGTTCTACATTTGTCTTCTTGGTTTTTGCTAAACTTCACTTATAAAATGAAAATAGTTATGCTTATAAAAGTTTTAAAATAGACAAAGTAATTTTAAAATATCATCTGAATTGAATGTTAAATTTGCTGGACTTGTGATGTAATAACCAGTCTTATCATAACCCCATTTCATTTCTTTAGCTTCCCTCCCTAAACTACAAGTTATATCCGTAGTCTCACCCCTCCATTCACAAATACATGTTATTGCTAAAGAGGGGAAAGGTATAGATGTTTTAGCAAAAGTCCACTTCTGACAGAAAGTATTTTTTTAACAACAGCAAGCAAGTAGCACTATTTTATAAAATAATGAACTGATTCTGTAACCCACACATAAACTCAGTTCCATTATGGTCAAGCCACATAAAAGGAAGTTACATTAATTGCTGAAACAAAATTGCATTTCCCAAAACATTATCTAATAAAATTCTACAGCCATACAATGTTGATTTGAACTCAAAAGAAATTAATTTTAGTGCAGCCTAATCAAAATAAAATTCCTTTACCAATAATACTAAGCAAGTGTTTTATCCGCCACAAGCTTCTTCCTAATTTGTATTTTCTATCTGCATTACTGAGCATTCACAATGTAAGTGGCATTGTTTGAAAGACCACAAAAAATACATACATTTATATAACGTTTCAAGTTAGAAACCAAGATAACTCCTATTCAACATAGTACTGGAAGTCCTGGCCAGAGCTATCAGGCAAGAGAAAAAAATAAAAGGCATCTGAATTGGAAAAGTAGAAGTCAAATTATCTCTGTTCACTGACAATATGATTGTATACCTAGAAAACCCTAAAGACTCCTCTAGAAGACTCCTTGGCCTGATTAACAACTTCAGTAAAGTCTCAGGATACAAAATCAATGTACAAAAATCAGTAGCATTTCTATAAACAGTAACATTGAAGCTGAGAACCAAATTAAGAATCCAATCCCACTTAGGATAGCCACGAAAAAGACCAAAATACTTCAGAACACATTTAACCAAGGAGGTGAAAGATCTCTACAAGGAGAACTACAAAACACTGATGAAAGAAATTGTAGATGACACAAATAAATGGAAAAACATTCCATGCTATGAATTGGAAGAATTAATATGGTTAAAATAACCATATTACCCAAGCAATCTACAGATTCAATGCAATCCCTATCCAATTACCAGCCTTGTTTTTCACAGAATTAGGAAAAACAGTCCTAAAGTTCATAGGGAACCAAAAAAAGCCCAAATAGCCAAGGAACTCCCAAGCAAAAAGAACAGAGTCAGAGGCATTATATTGCCTGACTTCAAATTATACTACAAGGCTATAGTAACTAAAATCGCATGGTACTAGTACAAAAATAAACCCAGAGATTAATGGTACAGTATGGGGTTCTCTAACCTAGAAATAAAGCTACATATATACAACCAATTGATCTTCGATTAAAGTCAACAGAAATAAACAATGGGAAATAGACACCCTATTCAATAAATGATGCTGGAAAAACTGGCTAGCCATATGCAGAAGACTGAAACTAATTCCCCATCTCTTAACATATACAAAATTAACTATAGATGGATTAAAGACCTAAATGTAAAACTATCAAAACTGAAACTATAAAAATCCTAAAAGAAAACCTAGGAAAACTCCTTATGGACATCGGCTTAGGCAAATAATTTATGATGAAGATTCCAAACACAAACGCAATAAAAAACGAAGATAGAGAAATAGGACATAAACTAAAAGTTTCTGCACAGCAAAACAAATAATCAATAGGATAAAAAGACAACTCACAGAATGGGAGAAAATATTTACAAATTATACCTCCAACAAAGAATTAGTATTCAGAATCTACAAGAAATTCAAACAACTCAACAAACATAAAACAAACCAATTGAAAATGGGGCAAAGAACATGAACAGACATTTCTCAGAAGAAGAAATACAAACAGCTAACAAACATATGAAAAAATGCTCAACATCACTAATCATCAGAGAAATGCAAATTAAAACCACATTGAGATACCATCTCACTCCAGTCAGAATGGCTTTTATTAAAAAGTCAAAAAACAACAGATATTGGTGTGTATGCAGAGAAAAGGGAATACTCACACACTGTTGGTGGGAATGTAAATTAATTCAACCTCTATGGAAAACGGTATAGCGATATCTCAAATAACTAAAAATAGAACTATCATTCGACCCAGCAATCCCACTACTGGGTATCTACCCAAAGGAAAAGAAATCATTATATCAAAAAGATACTTGTACTTGTGTGTTTATTGCAGCACCATTTACAATTAGAGCAAAGTCATGGAATCCACCTACATGTCTGCCAACTGTTGACTGGATAAAGAAAATATGGTGTATATATACACAATGGAATACTACACAATCATAAAAGAAGAATGAAATCATGTCCTTTGCAGCAACATGGATGGAGCTGGAGGCCATTACCCAAAGTCAACTAACCCAGAAGCAGAAAATAAAATATTACGTATTCTCACTTGTAAGTGGGAGCTAAAGAAATGGTACATGTGGAAATGAAAATAGAGAAAATAGACTCTGGGGACTCCAAAGGTGGGTGGGGAGGGTTGAAAAATTACCTACTGGATACAATGCCTAATACTGGGGTGATAAGTACAGCAGAAGCCCAACACGCAACATTATGCATGTAATACCCATGTAACAAACAAGAATATGTACCCCTTAAAAAAAGAAACCAAGATAACTCACTAAAATTAATTCAGAGTGTAAGAAAATGTTCCTATGTGCAACACTCTATACTAATATAAATATGTGTATATGTATCAGCACTCTATACCATTATAATAAAATGCTGAATTCAAAATACAATTAGAATATAGAATAATACTCTCTTATTAATGGAACATACTAATTTTAGAGTGACTATATTAAGTGTCAAAGTGATTAGAGAAGAGAAAGGATCAGGAAGAACTAAAGGTACTAGGGAAGATTTTACCCAGGAAGTAGAATTTGAGCTTGAGATTTCAAGAAACTATAGAGGAGCTAAGAGCAGAAAGGACAATGTGAACTTTACTAAATGTAAGCATGATGAAATCCTTGAGATATATTCTATGAATATAGAGGAAATAAAGATAACAAATGAGGATTATGTAAATTTTTTAACTAAATATAAGTTTCCCACTTTAAAAAAAAAAAGCTTAAGTGCCAAATGAGGACTGTGGAAATAAAAACAAGAATAAGCAGACACAGAGTGATGTTTAAGAGGATGGCATAAAGTATTTTCATTCTTGTAAATCAATTAATTAGCAGGATAATCAGTCTGTTTTCTCCTTTTGGCTTAATAGAGTTACAGAATACACCCTAGAGCTCTTAAGAAGGGGAAAGTTTATTAACTTTCTTCAGCTGTGCAGACTACTAACTAGCTTATTGAAACCTTAAAATTACTTTTATAAACCTGAAAATCTGAGGGTTTTTGTTTTTTGTTTTTTTGTTTTTTATTGTTTTTCATTTTTTATTTTTTTAAGAGAGATGACAGAGGCCAATCAGTAGTAGGACAAGGCCAAGAAAGTTCATCTGTTTAGTTCTAGCCTACAGAAGATCATTGATCCTTCATTGACTCAATGAATAAAGCCCTGGACAAAAAAATCTGGTAGAGCCAGTCCAATCATCTGCTGCCTATGGCTAATTCTTTACTGACCAAACCTTGGTGATGTGGTGGTGCCAATGCAGCAGATTCTCTTGAATTCGTAAGCGTATGAATTTTAAAATAGCTTGGTTTTTGTGAGAGTCCTCTCTTCTGCTTCCTGTGGGCTAACCCTTCCCAAGATCTACTTCCTCCTGTCAGCCCCTAAAGAGGAGAGGGATCCTCTCAGATTTGATCCTGAGCCTTCTGTTTTCCTCATTCTATTTTCTATTCGAGATTAATACATTACCGTCATCACCTACTCTAGTGTCCTTGATAGCAGGGACTGGTAGGTCAATGAAGAATCAGCCAGCAGACCTTTCTTGGAGAACTCCTCGTGACTTCAACTATCAAGAGGATAAAAGAGCTTCAATCTCTTTTCAGTTCTGGCCTCCTACCAGAGTTCTAACTCCACATATCTAACTCCACCACAATATTCTTCCATGACCTAAAACTAAACATGCCTATACCTAAAATCACAATTATTCTCTGACTAGATTTTCCCCCTCAACACCTCTACTTTTCGTCGAAGTCTGGAAGTTAATCTTATTCCGTTTGTTCACTTGAACCAGTTATCAACCAAGTCATGCAAAGTTTCCTTCACAAAGTTTCTCTCTTCATCCCATATTTTCTACATCACCTCGTACTGAAATTTACTAATCTCCTAAATGGTCTTTCAGTCTCCTCTGTCTCTCCCTCTTCTAATCTATGCTACTTTATGAATCCTTATAAAACAACACATTGTATACATCTGGGGCTCCTTGAGCAGAATAATGAAATTGAAACTCCCTGGGCTTTTTTTTTTTTGGTGAACTTCACAGAAACGTATGAGCAGGCAGGTAAGTAGGATCATGGAGGACTTTAAATGTTAAAGTCCTCTTTAATCTTATTTCCCCAATGGGAACACACTCATTGCTCTTCCAATTGGCCTTATACATTACAATCTCCATAAATTTGCTTGTGTTTTTCCTTCACAAATTGCTCCTGCTACCAAAACATTCCCTCTTCATCTCTAGTATTTTTGCTTCTAGGCTCATCTTTTCCATATAGCCTTCTCTGTGTCCTAACCTTTGATAATTTTCCTTTTCCTTTTTCCTAAATGTTGGCAATAATGAAGTTTGTATTAGTCATCAGGATTCCTGAAGCACTTTTTCATATAACCATCTTGATATTAAATAATTATATATAATATAAATAGAATATATAACACAAACATGAATTCTTAATCTATTACTATAAGTTATATTAAGATATATTCATATTACATACTAATATAATTAACATATTAATTATCTATATATACACACATTGTCCATCTCACCAACTAGACCACATAAATCCTTAGAGATTGTTCTCTAAAGATGGAAAATATGCAACCTGTTTGCTCCTACTGAAGCCATACCTAAGAGCTCCGGCAACTTTAATTATAGAGACTATTTTGTTAGACTGCTTATGATTTACCTGAAAGATAAATTAACATTTTATACTGAAAGCAACAGTATTGATTAATCAATAAATATAAACAAGAAGCTAATTAAGAATCTGGTGCACTCTTACTAATGAGAGTACAATGAAATGAAACTAGAAATATGGAATTATAAAAACCGCTGGCAGTTCATTTTAGCTCAAAAGAAAATCTTCTCCCATAAATAGATTCAATTATTTTTAGTTCTTCAAAGGCACTGAATTGACTTCAATTTAGTCTTGCTTCAACATATAAACTAGTTTCTAGGTATACTATCAAGAAGTTTAATAATCTGACATTTATTGATCTATAAACCAAGATATGGTTTTATATTTCCTATGAGTAAATATGCATTTAAAAAAACAGGTTTAGGCCAGGTGCAGTGGCTCACTCCTGTAATGCTAGCACTGTGAGAGGCCAAGGGGGGTGCGGTGGATCGCCTGAGGTCAGGAGTTCGAGACCAGCCTGGCCAACATAGTGAAACCCCATCTCTACTAAAAATACAAAAAATTAGCCAGGCATGGTGGTGGGCGCCTGTAATCCCAGCTACTCAGGAGTATGAGGCAAAAGAATCGCTTGAACCTAGGAGACAGAGGTTGCAGTGAGCCAAGATCACGTCACTGCACTCCAGCTTGGGCAATAAGAGCAAAACTCCATCTCAAAAAAAAACAAAAACAAAAACAAAAACAAAAACAAAACAGGTTTATAAAGAAGCTGCTAAAATCCAGTAATTTCTAATTAGTCTAATTCTTCATTTCTTCCTCTTCCAACAACATCCTTCAAAAGCTGTGGGAGATGGTGAGTTTGTATGTATTGAAGGGAGGGATATGTTGTCTCCAATTGTCTCCATCTTTTTTTTTCTTTTTTCTTTTTTCTTTTTTTTTTTTTTTTTTGAGATGGAGTCTTGCTCTGTCACCCAGGCTGGAGTGCAGTGGCACGATCTCGGCTCACTGCAACCTCTGCCTCCCGGGTTCAAGCTATTCTCCCACCTCAGCCTTCCAAGTAGCTGGAACTACAGGCGCGCACCACCACGCCCAGCTGATTTTTGTATTTTTAGTAGAGACAGGGTTTCACCATGTTGGCCAGGATGGTCTCTATCTCTTGACCTCGTGATCCGCCCGCCTTGACCTCCCAAAGTGCTGGGATTACAGGTGTGAGCCACAACCCCCGGCCTGTCTCCACCTTTTCTAATTCCCAATTCCCATCAATCTAGTCTTGTATCTAGAAGTGGTAAATTAAGTCAATATAAATGTGCCAAAGCTAAAGCAGAAGGTATTTGTTTTCTACACTCTTCTTGGCTTCCTCCTAGTCATCAACCTTGTCTCTCCTGATAGCTCCTTTTCCATCTCCCTAATCACCAAAAGCCCAGAAATTAAAACAGTAAACAATTCCCCTGAAAGGTGCCTTCCTTGTACTGTCTAAAACAAATGCAATCCTCTGTGTGGGCATTTAAAACACCACAAGCATTCTTACTTAGATTAAATCATGGGTCTCCCTGGTCTCCAGGCATGCCTAGACATGAACCATAAAGGGAATGAGATCCTTGGAGTTTCTCTAGTAACTGCAGGCCAAATCAACAGCAACCCTAAGAACAAGCATTCTTTTTTTTTTTTCAACAGAACTAGGCCACACATATTTTTTGTCGTTATTTAAATTTTTAGTTGTACTACATAGAAAATAAACTCATTTTAAAAAGTTATTTCAGTAGGCAATGCATCTTCATGACTTTTACATATGAGTTTTATTTTTTATTACTTTTGAAGAAAAGTCTGTAGAAACCTACTTTTCAAGGCATCTGACCCAACCATTGCCTTGGATGGCAGCAATCCAGCTCAGGTAAGATATTTAAGATGCAACTAATAATCATAAAACATCAGTTGGGAAGAAGTGTTCGATATAGTATTGGGTAAAAGTGACTAACAATTTGGTAGAAGAGAATCATTTTTATAACTATCTCCTAACCAAGATTTCTCTAAGTCTGCATATTGTTAATGGAATGAAGACTATTTTGCTCCTAGTTTCATGTATGTATATTTAGGTGAATGTGAGTCATTTATGTAATGTGTGCTAAAACACCGTGCCCCTCACAAAGATAAGATGAATACAAAATACAGTTATTGTAGATGGCTTGTCTTTCACAATTTAATTCTACGAGTTAATTTTTACAATTAACATTTTCTGTGCTACATATTTTGTATTTTGGTTTCTTTCCCTTCACTATGGGGTGTACAGAACAAAGTATGCATTTGGAAAAAAAGTGCTGTCTTTCATATGCAAAGAAAATGCTATAACTTATTCAAACATCCTTGGGCAGTTCTTTAGTTGTTTTAATAGTGTGAGTTTGTAGTTTGTATTGAATGATCCAGATGACCTGCCCCTGTTCATGTTACTTGTGGCATCTATGAGACCATTTGCTGGTTTTAGGGAATCAATCTATAGGTGGGAAGTTTTCTTTTGCAGAAACTAATTTAGAACTAAGCCTTTGGTGTCAGCAATGGGTGCTCTATACTGGATGCATGAAGACCATATTTCTAGGGGAGGCTGCTTCCAGCTGAATTTCACAAGGTGAGGATAAAGAGAACATTCCTTATCCTCTCCTGATTAATTCATTAAAGGCAAAGGAGGGGAAGGAAAGTTATTAGCAGAGATCTCCCAGAAGTCCTCTGTAACTGTCCCTTTTGCCCAACTGTCACAAGATACTGTTTTTCTGGCATCCACAGCCCTAACCCTGAATATCCAAATGTACTCGTGCATCAAGGATCTACTCAAGTCTCACCTCCTCTGGGAACCTTCTTTGACCTATTACAGCTCTCATTGAGGACCTCCCTTCTATTTCTGATACAAATAGTTTCTACTATTCTAAATAGTCCCTAGTTTAGTAATTTATTATATATATACTGTCTTGAATGGTATGGCCTTGATCTCAAGAGGACCACGATTTGATGTAACTAACAAGCTGCCTGGCTCACTATTTGACTAGAAGGCCCAGGCTTCACATCACTGCATGGCCCTCTAAGAGTATAAGGCCAAGTCCCCAACAGAGCACAGAGGTGCAGATGAGACTCTCCAAGCCATCCTCCCATATGTCAGAGGCTACCCAAGCCCACCTCCATTTGGAAAATTCAAACCTATAATTTGAGGTACCTGGGAAGCCGCTTTCCCAGGGCGGAATGGTCACGGAAACTGGGTAGGCTGGGGGCCTTCTTGGGGAATGAGGGAGTGGAGGAGCTCTTTGTCCCTCCTGCTAGATCAGAAAGAGAAACGTCTCAAGAATCTGGGCCTCCATCTTCTAGGCGTCTCCCTTGGAGGCCCTTCAGGGACCGCCCACAGCGCTTTCTCTCAGCCTCCTCCCCCCCCCCATCCCCTCCCCCACCCGCCCCGTCTCGCGCCCGCCCCGCCCCTCGGCCCGCGGGGTTCCAAGGACGGTTGGTCGCCCCCGCCACAGTCACTCGGCCGCTCAGAGCGGCGGGGCGCACGGGGTCGAGAGAGCCAGCTCTAGGGTTTGGGGCTGGGAACTGAAGCCTGGCGTGAAGGAAGTGGGAGCCCGGGCCGAGGAGGCGAAGGGGAAAGGAAAAGCGAGGGGAACCTGAGCGGGAGGGCCCTGAGAGGAGCGGGAGGCTGCGGGAAGGGGAGGCCTGGCACTCCTGGGGGTCATGGGGGTCGGGGCGCGGCTCCCGGCCTGGGAGGGCGCGGGTCCTCCCCGGCAGCGCCGCCCGCTGGCCCAGCTACGCGTGTTGTGCGCTGCGAGGCCGGCGGGGGTCCCGCTGGGCCCGGGGGTGTCCTCGGGGGCCGCTTGCGCCCAGCCATGGTAGGGCGTCCCCCGGTGAAATGGGGTCCGAGGCGGGCCCCGACCCCGCGTCGGCGCTGCGGACCGTCCGGGAGCTGCAGCCGCGGGTGCCCGGTGCTCGGTTTGTAGGCAGTGTCATTAGCTGATTGTACTGTGGTGGTTACAATCACTAACTCCACTGCCATCAAAACAAGGCACAGCATCACCGCCGCCCGGCCGGGAAGAAGACGCCGGCTCGGGCAGCCCGCAGCCTTCGAGAGAAGATGCCTGAGAAGCGCGGCGTCGGCGTGGGTCCTGCGCAGCCTGCCCCGCGAGCGCCCGCTGCAAGTGCGAGGAAACCCGCGGTTTCTCCAGATACAGTTAAACTGTTAGCTCTCTCTAGGAGTCACAGAAGATGAAACAGTCTCATGCCAGGAAAGCAAAATCCCTGGAGGTGAAGCCCCTCCATCCATGTAACGGTTAATACTGTATGCTGTGATTCACTGTGTCTATTTGCCATCGTCTAGTAGAGTATTCACCAAGCTAGCAACTCAGTTGAGCTCCAACTCAACCAATGAATTGCCTGCCTGTCACAACGTGTTGGGGTACCAACTTGAGACTGCAATTTTTTCTATGAGTCTAGTTACTAGGCAGTGTAGTTAGCTGATTGCTAATAGTACCAATCACTAACCACACGGCCAGGTAAAAAGATTTGGGAATTCGTCCAAATGAGCTGCCTGTGCATCATCAATGTGCGTGGGGAAGAGGGGTGTTGGAAAATGCTGATTTCATCCATTGCCTATTAATTGCTCAGCCAAAAGAAAAAAATCAACATTTCAGCTACTAAGTTTACAATGTATGTAATGTGTATGTATGTGGGGTTTTGTTTTGTTTTTTTTTCAATATTCCTTCAGGCTCTTAACCAAAATTTTAGATATAAGGGGGAATATGATTTTTTTCTTAGCTGACTGATGTATGTTATTATATGAACATGTGATTATTAACTTCTTGAGACTATATTGTTAGTAATATTTTGAAAGTAATATTGTTAGTAATATTTCGAAAGAATAAAGTGCCATAAAGACATAAATTGTGGTTATTGCTATGTGTCCATTTCCTTTGCTAAATTGACTTTATGATGTCCATCTCAGTTCCTGCCACAGTAATCTTAACTTTTCTATCAATGAAGTGGTTAAGTTGTTCCTGCCATGACAAAAATCTCCCGGGAAAGCTACTCATACACACAGACTTGTTAATACTTTTATAAGAAATACATTAACAAAATTTTTCATACTTCTTTTTTCCATGAAGAGACTCTGTTCACTCATTAAGATGTATCCCTTCTTTTAAGTAATCATTTACAACTGTTGGAGTCTATGCAACTTTTAGTGGGAGTGATTAGTAAATGCACTTACACTTTAAATCCAGCTTGTTTCCTAAGATTTAAAGGATTCAGAATTTTAAAATCACAGAAACTGTACACATGGGCACGTATCCGCCCAGTTCAGGCCTCTAGCTCCCAAGGGCTAGGCTTTCAGGCGTGAATTCTCCAGCGCAACGTTCTCAGAACTTCCACCTAGCAGGTGCTGTCCCTGGCAATCTGGTTTGGAAGTGGGGATTGGGGCAATGGGGCTGAGGAATTTAAAGTTTATTTAGCTATCTTTCTGGGGGGAGGGGAGAGGATGTGGCAGCCCACTGAGGATATAAGAAGCTAAACTACTCCCCCACTGACTCCGACAGGACACAACCCAAAGTTGACGTTTTGACTCTCCCATATCCAAGATTTGGACTGGTCCTAAAACCTGATCACCGCAGGGGTGGGCTTCCGACGGCCCCCACGCGCGTGGCGGATCCCAACACCTACCTAGGAAACCGAGGGCAGCCGGCAGGGGCTGGTACCAACTTGGCGGTTCTCGGAGGGGCGGGGCAGGGGCGGGGCGGGGGGAGGGGAGAGGACGCTTGCAGAAGCGTCCTCAGTTGCCATGGAAACGGGACCCAGCGAAGAACCTAGCGGCCGAAAAGAGTCCCAGGAAATGTGCCCCCCGGGATTACTGGTATTTGCTGGCTCCTCGGAACAAGATGCCAACTTGGCTAAGCAGTTCTGGATCTCGGCGTCGATGTATCCCCCTAGCGAATCTCAGCTGGTGCTGCGCAGAGACAGCAGTCAGCGTCTGCCGGTGGCGCGGCCCAGGAGGAGCAGAGGGTCTGGTGAGTAGAATAGCGGCCTCCTGTCAGTCATATCTGCCTCACCGTAACTGGCCTGCAGGTACCAGAGCCCTTTCCAGGAGAAACTGCAATGGTATATACAAATAGTTATAAGTACATACAAATGCATGTATAAATATTTCCTGAACCCTTCCAGCAACCCTTCCACCCGAAAAGGATCAGTGGTATATATGTTACATCTAAAAACATATAAGTTTCCCTTAAATTATGGCATCTATTTGGTAAACAGTATAGAATAATCTGAGGAAATGCTATGTGTTGGCTGAAAGGATAGTTTACATAGTTTAATTCAAACATGAAAAGCCCTGGAGAAAGATGAAGGTGGAGTCAACATTACCAATGAACTTCCTGGACCTGTGAGCCCTTAGTGAGGCCTAGGATGTGGAAACTGTTATGCAATTGTTATAGTATAAAAAATTCAAACGCCTTTAATGTTGTTGACTTTTCCAATGATTTCTTTACTTCCCTTTTGTATTTTTTAGAAAACAGCCACTCCTCGCAGTCTTTTCACCTTGCGAGTAACAGTAAGTACCAAGTTTTATGCCTTTCAACATTCTGACTCCTAGGTTCATCAGAAAATAGACAATAAGTACAAGGGTACTACTTTACACTGTGGTATAACTTTCTGAATTGAACACCTAAGTCCCTGCTCAGGGACCACCCTGTTTATCCAGAGGACAATGCCTAAATTCCTTTAACAGTTTGAACAGGAATGTAGAAATTGGAATCTCTGATCCTGCAGATATGCTCTCTTTCGAGACTTTTTCTTGTCTCTGGACTCGAGCTTACTCATCATCTAAAGAGATTAGAGGTTCCCTGCAGCCATAGCTAATTAACTCAGTCTCCAGTTGTTTGCAAATCTGGTTTGTAAAGTTCCAATACACCACATGTATTTTTGTTTACCTTCCTACTCTATGTATTCCCTTTCAACCCATGTCCAATTTTATATCAATTTTAGTATAAAATCATAATAAAATTATTTCAGATTGAATTTGACTTTATTCCCTCTAGAAAATAGAGACATCTTTGCCGAAGCCCTAAAGATACAGGAATCTGAGGAGAAAGTAAAGTATCTCCAAAAGGTAGGCCAATATTTCAGAAGGTCATCTGATCATCATTAAATTTCTAAATAATCTTGATTTTTTAAACACATGTATATTTAAAAATCTGCTACTTCTAGTGCATCAGCTTGAGCAAATTAAGGAAACCTTTATTAGAATTTTAATTGAAAATTTAAAAATTCTATTCAACATTGGCTATTATCAATCTCAGCAAAAGTCCAAGAATGTATAGGAACAACAGAACCAGAGAGAAATAGAAAGAGGTAGAGTCACACACTTTCCATCCAGTAAGGTCCCCAACCATATACAGTGTTCTAAGAACAGAAATAGCATAAGAGGCCAGGTGCAGTAGTACACACCTACAATCCCAATGCTTTGGGAGACCTAGGCAGGAGGATCCCTTGAGGCCAGGAATTCAAGACCAGCCTGGGCTACATAGTAAGACCTCTAACTCTACAAAAAAAAAAAAAATTTTTAATTTGCCAGGCCTGCTGGTGCATACCTGTAGTCTGAGCTACTTGGGAGGCTGAGGCAGAAGGATCCTCTGAGTCCAGAAATTCAAGGCTGCAATGAGCTATGATCTCACCACTGCACTTCAGCCTGGGCAGCAGAGTGAGACACAGTCTTAAAAAAAAATCATAAGAACAGGAAAAATCAAATAGAATTAATTGTCTTAATAGGTCAAAATTAAATGATCAGAGGAATGAGTCTGTCATCTAGACCTGTTTTGACTAAAGGCTGGAATTAAACACATTGGTGTAGTCAAATCAGCTGAGCACAGTTCTCTTTCTGGCAACATCCTTTGTTTGCTTTTCATGATACAGGCATGGCCTTTAACTCAGCAATTAATACAGTGATTTATAGAAACATTTAGTTTGATTAATGTATAAATTATACTCCTGTAACTGTTCCTATACTGTAAAAGCAAAAATAGAGGATTCATTTTGGCTGAATATCTTTAATCATTGGACATATTGGCAAACTCTGACAGACTTATCGGGAATTCTACATAAATTACAAAACAATGCATTTGAGTTTGTTTATCACATTAATTCACTTTGTGGACTACTGGTGCTTCCCTCAAACAAATTAGGTAATTAGAAATAGCCAGCATTTTATTCTCTCTTTAGAATATTATGTACTGTATATTTATATCCAGACTTTTTAGGGAGGGGGAAAGCCTAATTTTCAGTGAATTAAAAATCATTAAAAGTCAACTTCAGTGCTTTCGGAATTTAATTTTCATTTTATTTCATTTTAGGAAAGGATTAGAAATAAAAGGTTAAAGACAAACTATTATAAATTTCTATCAGCTTTTGTCAAACAATAAGACAATATGATGTGAATTACCAGTGGAGGTTATGCTGATAGACTGTTAGGCTAATAATCTTAGAACTGGATTCCTTGTCTTGGCTCCTTCTATGAACTCATCTTAATTACTAAATTCCACAGATATTTATTGAGAACCTGCAAGTACTATACTAGCTGCTGGGGATCCAAAGATAAGATGTGATCCCTTATCTCAAGGAGTTTACAATCCAGTGGAGGAGACAGCCAATTAAAGTCAATAATTATTATATATTATAATATCATGATAGATATATGCACATAATACTATGAGAACACATTGAGGGACATCAAAATCAAGTGTAACAAATCAAGAAAGCTTCCCAAAGGTGCTGGGTTTTAAAGGATTTATAGTTTGTTAGACAAAGAATATGCAAAGCAATCCCTCACAATGTATTAGTTGTCTTCCTAAAATCCAAATATGATTATACTAGCCCTCCTGCTTTTTTTTTCCCCATGGCTGCCCATTTCCTTTACAAGATCAAGGCCAAACTCCTTAGCATGTTTGAATTCCTTTCCAATCCAGTCCTAACCTGTCTTCTCCTATCACTCTCCCCGCTTTCTCCTATGCTCTCTCCCCAACTCTGTATAGTTGGATCTCAACCATGCAGGCCAAGGAACACTATTTACACCTTCACATATATGCTTGCAAAGTGATGAACAGGAAAAGTATATTTTTGTTATACCTAAACATGCATAGTATCTGCCAAGTTGTTCATTAAGCCTAGTGGTCCTGCACTGCAATATAGAAGATGATTCCATTTGTTGACAGTAGAAGACAAGAGGCCTAACAAAACAGTAAGGCAGTGGGAAAGAAAGAGAAGTTACTGAAACTGTGCCTTCTTAGTATATGGGGAAACTTAGCACTATCTAGTACAATTCAATTTGAACAATGCCAAAATACAAAAGGGCAACCAAAAGAATCCTGAAATAACTGAATTGTCTTATAGATATAGTGAGATAACATAATTTAGTGTTCATAACAACCAATTATTGAATGTATATTAGGTACTGTACACTAAACTAAGCAATTGACATACATCAACTCATATACTCCTTAAAATAGCCCATTATGATTATCACCATTTGGCCAAACAAGGCCTAAAATGATTTTCCAAAGTCCCCACAACTGGTAAGTGGCAGAGCAGATTCAAAGCCTGCAATCCTAACTCCAAAGTCCATGAAATTAATCCCATAATAGATTTGTTGTATCATAATGATTGCTGACTATGGCATTGTTCAAGTATGCTGCCAAATATTCTAAAATTCAAAACTATGGTATGAATACAAATGTGAGAAGCACTATTTCCAGCTCTGGAACTATAAGCTGGTTCTCCATTCTGCAGTGCACTTTCATGTATCTGCCTGAAATGCTCTTCCCCATTTACCTTCAAGGCCTAACTCAAATGCCAGCTTCTGTGAAGCCTTCTCAGGGGTTACCCAGAGACTAGCAGAATGAATAGATCTCTTCTCTGTGCTCCCACGGCAAGCCACATATCCTTTCTCATAGTATTTGTACAGTCTCTGATGTGTATTGTAGGTAATTGTGTATGTTTCTCTCTTTCCTGCTAGATTACAGGCACCATAGTGTAGTAGATTTTGGAGACAACAAGATGGGTTTGGAAGCCTAACTCTGCCACTTACTATTTGTGTGACCTTGAGCAAGTGGTTTAACTCCTGGGATGCTCAGCTTCCTCATATATAAAAAGAGAAATGATTTTTTTTAATATCCTCCTCATAGAGTGATGTAAGGTATGTGAAGTGCCTGGCCACAGTTTACCCTCAACAAATTCACTCTATAAAGGCAGGGGTCATGTTTTATTTGCTTAACCTAGTGCCTTTTTGGTTATTAAACTCAGTAAATCTTTGTTTATTGAATAAATAAATGCATAATTAAATGAATTAAAGAGTAAATGAAGGCCCTATATATTGATATTTCAATTTTGTTTAGCTTTTCCACATAGACTCATCTGGCAAATTTTTCTAGGCTGATAATCTTTACTAGAATACTCCCAAAATCTAATCTGTTAGCACATCACCTCTCCCTAGTTCTGCTTTATCTCATGGGTTATGGATATAATGGGAGGAAACGTAACTCCCTGTAATTATTGAAACAGAATCTGGTTTTGGATACCACTTTTTTTCCTAAATCGATAATGTTGTCTCTGCATTGCTGCCACCACCATTCTAGAATTTTTAGCTTGATGTTAGAAAATAGATGAGGGGAGGGTATCTTTTTAACTAACGAAGCATTTACAATGATCTATTTAAGAGAATCTTCTACATGTTTTGAACATATACATTGATAAGTAAATTCCAGGTATAATTTTCATCTTAAATTGGAAAAAACATTACCCATAAATTCTCTTTAAGGTTTATTCTTCCACTTTCTCCTTAAAATTAATGAAAATCTAAAAATTAATTTCTCTCTGAAAGCACCTTTTTAACTCTCCTCAACGGATATTGATTTTTCAGTTGTTACAGTTTTTTGCACTTGAATATTATTCTCCATTTTGGAATATTTTCCAGGTATACATTATAACAAATGCTTTTGGTTAGTGATCAAAATGCTGTTAATCACAATTGCTATTTCTGTGATGGATATCCATGGCAGGAAATCAAAAACAATTGAGCCTGTCAAGATTAAATGGCTTGCTCTGTCCATAAAGGAAACCTCACAGCCCTACACTGGACCATCATTCCTCCTTTGAGAGTCCTAAAGTAGTCTGAAAATATTATAATAAGTGGATAGTCAGCTAATTCTTTGAAATCATAAAACTAATTTGCTTTTTAGTTTTGCCGCCTTTAAGAAAGCTCTTCAGCTGATTATCCCTTTATGAAAAGAATTATAAATAATTCATTTGCTGGGAGAAGGAAGAAGAGGTCAGAGCAGTATTTGAAGGCATATATGTAAATGACAGATTTGGAAATGATCTGTATTCAAAGTTTTAACATGAATGAATATAAATCAAAGGTTTTTACAGGGAAAATATGCAATCTGCAGAACAATATCCCAGGTATGCTCCTTATTTGGGTATGGGTTTTTAATCTGTTCTATTACACATTCTATGCAACCAGTAATGTCCATAGTATAAGTCTTCCTCAAAAGTTTGTTATATGGCACTTCCTTGAACCAGAAGCAAGTCATGCTACAATGAGAACATTACAGTAGTCCTCCTTCCATGATTTCACTTTCCTTGGTTTCAGCTACCTGCAGTCAACCATGATTCAAAAATATTAAATAAAAAATTCTTGAAATAAATAATTCACAAGTTTTAAATTGCTTGCCATTCCAAGAGTGTGATGAAATCTTGTGCCATCCCACTTGGGATATGAATCATCCCTCAGTCCAGTGGATCCATGCTGTAGACACTACATGCCTGTTAGTGACTTAGTAGCCGAGAGAGAGATCGCATTCACATAACTTTTATTACAGTATATTGTTATGTGCTCTATTTCATTATTAGTTATTGTTAATCTCTTACTGTCTCTAATTTACAAATTAAACTTTATCATAGGTAGTATATATAAGGGAAAACACAGTATATCTAGGATTCGGTAGCATCCGCAGTTGCAGGCAACCATTGAGGGTCTTGGAACCCCATCTACCAACATTGCCCTTTAAATGAAATTCATGCTGCAGCCATTTTGAACCACTTGTGGTTCCAAGAACCCAACAAGGTGTTTCATTTTTCTGTGACATTGAACCTACAGTTTCTTCTGCCTGGAAATGCCTTTCTCCCATTTCTTCCCATTTAGCTAATACCTACTTGTATTGAAATGCGGTCTGTATTCTCAGAAGAAAAAAAAACCTTAGAACTTCAAAAGGTTGTATTTTTAGACACTGAGTCATGAAAGTGGAAAACTTTTTAACATTATCAACTGTTGGATTATCACTTTCAAAGTAGTGAAAGGGATACTTTGAATCATTATAAGTCAACTTCAGAGAACCAAAGCAAAAATGTAGGGAATTTCCTCAGTGTCATTGCCAAGATGCTCAGATAAAAGAAAATCCTCTTTTGTGTCAAAATGATAGGGATTGGCTTCCGAGACAAACCTAAAATTTCCCAGTAAGTGTTACCTGGCTTTTAATTTTGCTTTCCCACCCTAATATGATATTTATGAAATTCCTTTCCTCCATAAAAGGAATACCAATAGGAAGTGGTGGATTTCCCCTTCACCAATAAAAGTTGTTTAGTCATTTAAATTCTTGTTCTTCTCTTCCTAATTTGTCAAAGCATTCAAGTGGAAGAGTCATAAAAACAGACTGTGCATTTATAGTAACAAGCAAATATTTTGATAGCAAATGATAATTAAAAGATTATATTAATATACATATGTTTTATGCTTTTATATCATCCATAAGTACCACTTTGTTTTCAAAAGTTATTCAATGTTGGGGAACATTTTCAGTTGACAGATGAGGTTCCCCTCTAAATCTTCTTTAGTAACATCTACAGTCTGTAAAATCATAATTGGGAGAGGAATGAGATTTGGGATCAAATAGCTGAATTTGGCTACTCTGGGCACACTGCCTACGGGGTAGCCCTGCTCTGCAAAGAGTAGGAAAAAAAAAATGCTGAATTCATTTGTCCCATATAGACCCAGCCTCAGAGTTCCATAGGGACATTCTCCAAATGCATCTCTTCCTCTTTTTTCCAGAGATCTGTGTATTATATCTTCTATACATTTCACCTTAAGAACAAAATGAAAACACTTTAAACGCTGAGATAATATTGGGCAAGGATCCACATTCATTATCTGCTTATAAAACATAATTAAATGAAACTATTAGATGCAAAATGAAGCAAAAAAGGATCATGTACATTTTTCCTTTTTAAAATTAATGCAGAACTATCAATTTGGTTCCAGTTACATGAATCCTTATTGTTCAAATTAGTAAACACTTTATAAGCAGCAGGGCAAATCAAATCGGGTTTATTGAAGAACTGGAATGATTCTGTGGATCAGGTAACTCAGAGAATAACCATGGCACATCTGAAATTAAAGCCATTATCCACCTTTGTACTTTGCCTCTATCTAACGCAAGATGAAAACGTTCTTAGGCAATTATATCAGAGCCAGATAATAAATGAGTGATGTATCTATATTTACTTCATTTTGTCATTTTCTGTGATAATGTATTCTAGTCACATAAAGTGTGGTCAAGAAAGCCTCAGAGCCTGACGATACAGTCATTTGTCTAGTTGACTCTTCCCAAGCCACTTGGGCAGTTCCCAAGCCACTGTATTGGCAATATAGTAGATCCTCATAATTCATGGATTCCTTATGTGCAAATTTGCCTACTAGCTATAGTTTATTTACAACCCCAAAATCAATATCCGTAGCACTTGCATGTTCATTTGCAGACATGCGGAAAGTGGTTAAAAAAAAAAAATTGAGGCTGGGCAGGCCAAGGCGGGCAGATCACCTAAGGTCGGGAATTCAAGACCAGGCTGACCAACATGGTGAAACCCCGTCTCTACTAAAAATACAAAATTAGCTGGGCGTGGTGGTGCATGCCTGTAATCCCAGCTACTCGGGAGGCTAAAATAGGAGAATCGCTTGAGCCTGGGAGGCGGAGGTTGCAGTGAGCCAACATCGCGCCATTTAGCCTGGGCAACAAGAGCGAGACTGTCTCAAAAAAAAATTGAGTTGTTCAACACACACGTTCACAGCTGAGATTGAACAAGATGATGTTTTGCCTCTGTGTTTCACTCTCATAACTCCAAACAAGAGTCTTTTTGTCATTTCATGCTAAGTGTTCACTTTTTTTTTTTTTTTTTTTTTTTGGTGACTTTGCTGTTTAAAACGGCCTTAAAGTGCTAATGTTCCTAAGTGCAAGAAGGTTGTGATGTGCCCTATGGATAAAATATATGTATTAGATAAGCTTTATTCAGGCATGAGTTAGAGTGCTATTACCATGAGTTTCATATTGATAAATCAGCAGTATATTTTAAGGTGTCTTTAAACAGAAACACACATAAAACAAGGTTATGTATTGTTCTATTGATGAAGCATTATGACCAGCGGCTGGCAGGAACCTAGGAGCAATGGTTTAGTATTCACTGATTCAGTGTTTGCGGTGACATTCTAGAACATAACTATGACAAACAATGAGAATCAACTGTACTCCTAAAACTGGTTGAATCACAGTTTAACATACCAAGACTTTCACTATCTGCCTTCTGCCATACCTCCCCAGCCTCATCTACCCACCATTACCCTTCAGTGCAATTCATATTACAGCCATTTTGAACCACTTGTAGTTCCAAGAACCCACCAAGGTGTTCTGTGACATTAAACCTACAGTTTCTTCTGCCTGAAAATGCCTTTCTCTCATTTCTTCCCATTTAGCTAATAACTACATTTAGCTGTTTACAGTCCAATAGTCATACTCAAGCCTTTTCTCACCCTCACATATCTCCTAGTCTGATATAAATGCCTCTTTCTTTAATTCTCTAGGACCCTGGGCATCCCCCTGTCATCATCCTTGAAATACAGTACTGTGGTGTCATTGCTCTGTTTCTCCTGTAGCTTCCAAGTTTCTTAAGGTGAAGGACCATGGCTTTTTTGACATTATAATCACAGAGCCTTACAAATAGGTGATCTCCTGACATACCAAATAAGTGTTATGAATGAATAAGTGGATTATCTAACTTGTCTGGACCAAATTCTGCATGATAGCCCAGTTCCTTGAGCTAGATGTCATATAAAGTATTCATTTAATAGGAAAACTTGCAAGAATAGCATTAAGACCCAGAGGCCTCAGACTCATAGGTGCTGAACAGACATGTAGTCAGTTGAGCAAGAGGATGTGGGAGCAACAGAAAAGAGTGGAAGTACATTTTGCTCTGTAGTCACAGAAGGAAGTCACAGTAGATGAGCAGAGCATTGCATGTTCTCCAAAGGAAGTGATTCCAGAAAAATTTGATAGACGTTCAAAAACATTATGCCAAGGTTTAACAGCATGTAAGAGAAACCCTGCCATGGGCATTGGAATGTAGGGTCAGGAGTGGAAAATAAAGCAGAACCCCTCTCCCAGAGAATCTGGAATGCTAGACAAGAAATTGAGACTAGGAATTGGACACAGGGGACAAGATAATATTCCGTATACTAGAACTTTGGTACCAAAGAGAGGCTTGGCCAAAAAAAGAAGGAAAGAAAGCAAAGTCCTAGAAGTATATACCCTTCCCCCAACTCCAATCACATTGCTAAATGCTTGTGTCATTCCTTACTGCCATATGTAGAAAACCCAGAAAGTTTAGAACCATCAATATAGGAGACAAATTGACCTAACTATGATTATTTTGACTTTCTTGGCCAGGTCAAAAAAATATTCAAAAATCAATTTACAAACAGTTGATTTTATTGTTGATATAAACTTTGATGAACAGCTTTTTAAAGAAAATGTGCATATTTTCTTTTTCTTTTCTTTTTTTTTAGACAAGGTCTCACTCTGTCACCCAGAATGAAGTGCAGTGGCATGATCATGGCTCACTGCAGCCTCAACTTTCTCGGATTCAGGTGATTCTCCCACCTCAGCCTCAGCCTCCAAAGTTTCTGGGACTACAGGTGCACACCATCACATCCAGCTACATTTTTTGTATTTTTTGTAGAGGCAGGGTTTTGCCATGTTGCCCAGGCTGGTCTTGAACTCTTGAGCTCAAGCGATTTGCCCACCTCGGCCTCCCAAAGTGCTGGGATTACAGGCATGAGCCACCACACAGGACAGGAAAATGTGCATATTTTCATTGTAACAGTAATTTAGCAATTTGTTTTTTTAAAAAAGAAAAACCCTATAAGTTATTTAGGATAGGGTATCTAAACTTTGAAACTTTCATTATAAAGGACACATTCTTTAGAGCACTGAATAACTAAAAATATAAAAGATTGTTCTTAACTGTGGTTATGTTTTATATACTATCTTTGCATTCTCTGGAGTTTCTGGTCATAAATGCTGCCAATAGATAAAATAGCTGGTAGTATAAGTATAGACATTAGTCTGTATGTGTGAGGTTGGATTGGACATTGTTTAGGTTTTACTCCAGACATGTGGGCGCCCTGCACTGAAATCATGGAGCCAAGCTGAACTCTACAGAATGTTGGCCAGAAGCAACTGAAAACTCTGTAGGCTTCAGAAGAAATCTAGGCAAGTTAGAGGTCAACACTGAAAAGGCAATGTCAAGTTCAGGCAAGAAGGGCCAAGCAAAGCCATAAACAGTAAGATGAATCATGGGCCCAAAAGATGGGAGAATTTTATTTGGAAGAATTGTGCAAGATTCATTCAACAAATATTTATTGAGCACTTCTATGTGCCTGGCATTGTGCTAGGAACTGGCATACAATGATGGACAATGACAACAAAACATGTTTTAACCTATTTCCCATTTAGAAAAAAGAAGTGCAGCTCACTGCCAGCACAGTGTTCTTGGGGCAAATGGGAAATGGGTCAAAGACACGAACTCTGCCCTTATATGAAATTTGGAGTCTAATCAGGGAGATAAATATTTCTGAAAGAATTACAGTGATGTTAGGATAACTTAATAGGGTGGTATTGATCCAATCAAGGGAATCAGGGAGGATTTCTACAAAGATTAACCAGACTGAGATTTGAAGGAAGAGCGGGCATTAACTAGGTCAGAAGGAGGTGGTGGAGGGAACATTGGAAGAGCATTCCAGGCAGCGAAAACAGCATGTGCAAAGACCCTCTTCTGGGAACAGGCACCGCACATGTCAAAAGCTCAATGGCCAATGTGGTAATATGGGAGGAAGGTTAGGCTCCAGTAAGAACAGTAAGAAGCTACTGAAGGGTTTAAATTGGGGAATGAGAATATCACATTTGCTTGAGAAAGATCAGCAGACTGTAATATGGAGAATGTATTGAAAGTGGCCAGAGCAGAAGTGGAAAAACCAGACTGGAGGCCATCACAAAACTTCAGTCAGGAGGTGATGCGATGTGAATTAGGATCATGCAGGTAGATGAGAAAGACCAGATAGATTGAAGGGATAGTTAGGAAGTAAAATAACTAGTATTTAGGGTTATATACTGGATATGGGAGGTGAGGTACAGCAAAGTATCAAAGATAACTCAGTTTTCTGGCCGCTTGCCTAACAGGATGGGTAGTGTCATTCTCTGAAACAGGAAACATTAGATGAAGATCAGGTTTGGGGGGTTTTGTGGGGGAGGGGCTACAAGTTTAGTTTAGACTTACCTAGTTTGAGATGCTTTTGAGAAAAGCAGGTGAACTGTCAGATAGGCCTGTGAATATATGGGCTAGAAACTCAAAGAAGAAGTATGAGCCAGAGATGAAGTTTGAGGTCATCTGTGTGGGGAATCCCTAACCTCTCCTTCTTAAGTCATTATGGGCAGAACAGGAAAGACATATCTGAAAGATGAGGTCAGTATCATTCACCCACTCATCATAGCTCATATAACCAGCAACAATGAAAATCTTCAAGACTCAGTAGTCTTTGCTAAGGAAAAGCTTTGATAATTATTGCAAACTGAATCATCAATAACATATAATTCAATCATATAGAGTTACCCTCAATATATGTATACTTTGTTGAATTTTAAAATGCAGTGCTCATTTTATGCTCATATTTTCTCAATATTAAAATACAAATCTCACTTATTACTTTTTTAAAATAAGTGCCTTTTAAAGCAATATTAAAGCAGTTTTTTAAATCACTTGTACTTCTGCTCTGCATGCATTTTGTGTGTGCATGCATGTACGTTCTTCAGGCAATTATTATTGGTAAAATATATGTAACAGATCTAAGAAAATATATGTAACAGAACCAAGAAAATACACATTTTTTTCTTCCTCACAACAGATAAATTCATACTTGATTGAAATCTGCATTTAAGAAAAATTGTATTGACTCCCTCTTATATAATGACTAATTTTTTTTCTCATTTTAGTAAGTTGTTATTTTTCAAATGAAAAGTGTATATGTCAGACCTAGGAGTTGAGCCAAGATCAAGCAATTTCCAGGAGGTATAGAAAGGTGCTTAGATCTGCATCTTTTTCCTGCAAGTCAGCATTCTTCCTTTCTCTGATTAATAATCCTGTAACATCTTCGATCCACTCCCATAGATTACTATAGTTAGGTCTATCTTTTAAAATCAGATTATACTGGGGAAAGCCTTCTCACTGATTATTCAGCCTGTCTTTTAAAGTGCATAGTAGATAATTTGAGGTCCAACAGTTCTGTATCTTATTATTAGAGTAGATATAAATTTCCTATATGGTAGTTGTAGAATCAACATAGCAGATTTCAGTTAATAGGCACAGGGAATGGTAGTAAATTCATAGAGTAAATTCATAGTTGAAGCATTCTGTTATCAAAATCAGCAAGCCAAGATGCATACTGCTTTTTGAAACCAGGCCCAAATATGAGATGTTTTAAAATGATAAATCAATAAAAACCTTAAGTCAATCATAATTCTCACCTTCCTAATGATTGCATTTGTAACATAAAAATGAAATGGAACCCACTGAGGAGTGAGATTCTTGCAGAATGTGAACTGAAATTCCCTAGTACACCTATAGACAGTTAACTCTCAATCACTGGGATAGAATTAAAAATTAAGGCTAGGTATGGTGGCTCATGCCTGCAATCCCAGCACTTCAGGAGGCTGACCAAAGTGGGAGACTGGCTTGAGCCCAGGAGTTCAAGACTAGCCTAGGCAACACAGGGAGACCTCATCTCTACCAAAAAAAAAAAAATCGTTTTTTAATTAACTAAGCGTGGTGGCATGTGCCTGTGGTCCCAACTACTTGGGAGGCTGAGGTGGGAGGATTGCTTGAGCCCAGGGGGCAGGAGGTGGAGGTGGCAGTGAGCCCTGATGGTGCCACTGCACTTCCACCTGAGTGGAGAGCAAGACCCTGTCTCAAAAAAAAGAAAATTAAATTCTGGAGGCTCAAGGAAATAAAAATCAGATAATGTTCTCAATTTCTGTTAAACCATAGAACCTTGGCTCTGCCTAGGTAATATTCTGAATTTGGAATGTAATTCCCATTTTACAATTAATTTATAATTTAAAATCCTTGCATAAATATTTCATTTACACTACGATCTTAGAAAGCTCCTCAGTTTATAAATACCACTATAATTCAACTATCTTTACCCTTTAGCCACATCTTGCAAAGAGCCACATGATACCTTCAAATAAGTAAATTAACTATGATCAAGGCTGAGCTCAAGCTGGATTAGCTCCACCTGCTGTATTCTGATAAGCATGCGTTTTCTACAAGAATAAGAATGTTTCTGTGAGAGCAGAGACTATATTTTTCTTCTTCAGCATGGTTGATGCTAACTCATTTTTAGAGTAAAGATTGAATGAAGAAACCATTCTGTCACTCTGTGTGTGTGTGTGTGCATGTGTCTGAAGTCTGTGTGTGTTTGAAGTCTGTGTGTTTGAAGTGTGGCAAAAGAAGCACAGGAAATGACATCCAACAGAACTGGAAATGAGTTTAAATCTTTGGCTCTGCCAGTTACTAGTTAGTTAAGTGACCCTGATAAAAGTTGTTCATTTTTACGTGGTTTAGTTTCTTCTACCTGTAAAGAGGTAATAATAATAATGCCCACTTCACTGTGCTATAAAGATAAAATGAGATAACCTATAAGGAACTCACACAAGGCCTGATATCTAGCAGTTACTCAGTGAAAGTTTGTTTTTATCTTCTCTGCTTCCCCCTCTTCCTTTTTTTTCCAAACCCATGATTGAAAAATAAAATTTTAGCAGGTTCAAAATAAGCATTAGCATTAAATGGAAATGCTTTGACTAAAAGGGTAACTCTCAAAGGATGATGACTAGATTACTAAAGGCATGATCACTCAAGTATCCACATCCTGATTAAAAGACAGAAGATTGGCTTGCTCATAGTGTTAAAATGAGACTCATATTATTTTCTCTTAATCTTTTTCTTTTTTTTTAAGACAGAGTCTCACTCTGTCGCCAGGCTGGAGTGCAGTGGTGCAATCTCGGCTCACTGCAACCTCCGCCTCCTGGGTTCAAGCGATTCTCCTGCCTCAGCCTCCCGAGTTGCTGGGACTGCAGGCGTGCACCACCACACCCAGCTAATTTTTGTATTTTTAGCAGAGACGGGGTTTCACCATATTGGCCAGGATGGTCTCGAACTCCTGACCTCATGATCCTCTTGCCTCAGCCTCCCAAATGCTGAGATTACAGGCATGAGCCACCGCACCCGGCCCCTCGTGTTATTTTTGATGAATGTTTCAGTCCAAAAATTTCAATCATAATCCACGAAAGAAATGCAGTTTGTATATGGGAACCAGGTCTTGAGAAGAAAGGACCTTTCTTCTAAAGTCTAGTGTTTATTAAGAGCTTTTTTTATAATTGAATATTAACTGAAAAGAAAGTTGATAACACACCAGAAAATTCGTGGTCAGAAGAATTTGCACTGCATATTTAATAACAAATCATATCTTTAACATCTCTCCTTGTTTCTCCTTTCCTCCCTCAAACTGTATTCACCAACTGACCCATAGGTCAGAGGTTGAATCGTAAGAATTCCTTCATGCCTGTAGACAAAAAGCAGACAATCTGTCCTCTTTTTTCTTACTCTTTTCAAGATTTTAAAAGCACTGAAAGAAAAATTTTCTAATAATAATAGTGTTATAATAACTACCATTTATTAAATGTTCACCATCTGTCATGCATTTCATTAAGTAATTTTTATCTCCAATTTTCACAACAACCTTCCTCACAGATTAGAAATCCACAACTGGGATTGTGGATTCTTTGGTTTACCTAAGATCACGAAGCTCTAACTTACATGTCAGTGATTACTGCATAGTTGTGGTGGGGAAAGGAGGAACCAGGCGGGAGAGTTAAGCTAGAACTTGCCATTCAACACACAGCGGAACTGGGATTCAAACCAAATGTATTTGACTCTACTAATACATATTGCCACTCAAGTCATTTGGCTCTGAAAAGCCAAAAAGAGAGAACCAGACAATTTAACTCTTGAGGTGACATTAAAATTCATTAACCATCTATAACACATTAAATGTATATGTTATATCACATCCTAATTTTCTGGAATCAGTTTTCTTTCACAATTTATTTTTTCAGGAATAGTATAAATATAAATCATAAATAAAAATATAAATATAAGTCACTAGTCAATGGTCAAAGATGTTATAAAGATAAATTCTGACCCCCTTGTATTAACAGTTAATTGAATAATTATAAAGTCTTATAAAATTCCATTAATAAGCCCAACCAAAACACTATAATTAGAAATGAAAATTTTTTGTTAATATGAAATTAAGAAGTAAGTTATGCTTCCTTACTAATAATATAAGTTATAAGGATCTTCTCTTACCAGTGAATTGTATTTAGCTTTCCTGGCAGAGATTTCCTAGAATATTCCACAATGTTTTTGTTTAGATGACACAATTGTTTACACTAGTTTTGTTATTTATTTCCAGGAAACATGTCCAGGAGGCAGAAATCAGATCATATTTGAAATATTTGTTTCTAGTGCATTATGTGATATGTGATATTTAAAGGCACCAAAGTCCTTTATAATAAAAAATAACTTGAAGTCAAGGAAAAAAATGAATGAATATATTTGTTATTCTACTATTATTTTTGAATCTTGTAACTAAATATTTGTCTTTTTATATGAGAAGCACAGGACAATATAACTGGTCCATGATTTCCCAATAGTTACACAGAAAAATTCATATAATTTTGTTCATAGGGGATTTTTAAAACTAAATTTACCCACTGTTTAATTTCATTTTCCAAAACTTTTTGTTTTTTGCTTAGGCCAATAACTGTGGATTACACAGTACAATGATTGCATTCATACATCATGACTCAATCAATTCAATTCAATTCAACAAAAATCCATTGAGTATCACATACAAAGCACTGCTAAGCTCTAAGGAAGGATAAAGAGATGAGTAAGGTTCTGAAAGAGACATGGTGGCAACTAAGAGACAAAGCAGGAACAGTAAGATCAATACCATAATAAAGGTATAAAGTGCTATGTAATCACAGTATGAGAGCAATTAATACTGATTGAATACATGTGTAATGGAAAAGTTGGAAAAGAAACTAACATTGAATACCTGCATTGAAAATATCCCAGGTCTTTAAGGACATTATTTTATTCAATCTATGCAAGTTGACAGATATTGTGAAACAGTTTTCAAATGTACTCTGAATTATTTTCTTTCAGTAACTGTGATATATGATGCCTAAAGCTCAAGTAAAACGTAGAAATCCTATCTCAAAATAAATAAAATTAAAACTTTGTAGGCTTATAAAAGGCAAGATTCATACCACTTAAACAGAACGATGCAAAGCCAAGGCACCCAGTTCACCAGCCAAGACACTGATTACAGCTGCCCAGCGTGGGCCCCTTCTCTGTGTGTCTTGATGAATCATGCCTGAGGTTTCTAGCTTCTTTAGCAGATGAGCCATCAGGACTGGGGAACCACCCTGAGAAGTACTTAGCCACCCAGCAGCTTCTGGGGCTTTGCACACGCTGTTTCCTCTGCCTTAAAAGCTTTCTTCCCCATCTTGTCTCCAACATTATCTGACAACTACCACTTTCAGGTCTAAAGCATGGACATCACCTCCCCTGGGACATCTTCTGAGTCCCCACCCCTACTCCACACACACACCTTTGTCTTAATTAAGGGTCCTTGATCTTCAGTTCGTTCATCGTACCCTATATTAACCCCACATAGCACACTTGAAACTATTGTCTTCTGCTACATAAGTCTGCAGTCACCTTACAGGCAGAAACTGTGTTATGTTCAGCCACTAACACATAATGTTACATCATAGGCGCTTATTATGGGTTGAAATACGCCCCCCCACATGCAAAAATTACATTGACGTTCTAACCAGCAGTACCTCAGAATGTGACCTTATTTGGAAACAGGGTCTTTGCAGATGAAATTAGTTAAGATGAGGCCATAGTGGAGTAGGTTGTGCACCTAATCCAGTCTGATTGGAGTCCTCCTAAGACAATTGCCACGTGAAGACAGACACACAGAGAGAATGCCATGTGACAACAAAGGCAAAGATTGGGGTTACGCAAACCAAGGAATGCCACAGCTTGTCAGCAAACCACCAGAAACTAGAAAGAAGCAAAGAAACCCTATAGGTTTCAGAGGGAGCAGGGCCCTACCAATACCTTGATTTCGGACTTCTAGTTTCCCGAACTGTGAGACAATAAATATTGTTTTAAGCCACGCAGTGTGTGGTACTTTGTTACAGCAGCCCTAGGAAGGTACTCAATAAATTTAGATAGATGACAGAATCTGCACCTGGCTATGACAAATCTGTGTCTATTCTCACTTCTTATTTCTTTCTTGCAGCTTGATCTAAAGAGAATTTATGTGATTTTATCTGGCCATTTGAAGTTACAAGTTTTATTTGTTAGATGCTAGATTATCAGGATTTCCTTTTTTTCTCAAATACACCAGATGTGATTTTCCGCCTGGCTATCTCCAAAACTTAATATAGATGAATTCTGTGAAAAAAATGGAACCTATATTTGCCTATTTTTATAGTTTATATATTGATAAATCTTCATGCCTGCACTAAGTTAGTTTTTTGCACTTAGGAAAACTTACCTGAGAATGTGCAGGTCTCAATATCTAAGCTAGAAATAGGAGAGACGAAAGAATAAGGCTTTGTTGCCCTGTGCAAGCGGCATGCTGTTTGAGCTTGCTAATCCTGCTTCTTGCCACCATTAGTGGCAATTTAGTGTGATGGTCAATAGCTTGAACTTTGTTGCTAAATGGAGCTAGGATCAAATCCGGTTCTGCCACTTAATAGCTTGGGTAAGTTATTTAACCTTACTAAGCTTCAGTTTCCTCACCTATACAGTGGAGTAATAGTAGTGTCAAACTTCTGAGTTATTATAAGAAAATAATGACATAATGTCTATAAAGCTGTTAGCATAGCTCATGTGGTAAGGTCTTAATAAATATTAGTTTTTTTTTTAAGTTAGTTTTTATTAGGTGCGGAAATAACCCCTGTATTTAGGATCAATTATGTAAAGCAGCATTTTATTATTTTACAATAAAATTTTACAGCATTTTAATATTTTACAAAAGCATTTTGTAAAGCAGCATTATCTTGAATAAAAACAGGATTTTGGCACAAACAAAAATGTATAAATATATCTTAGGAAAAAATATTTTAAAATTCTGCCAATACAAGATGAAAATGGAAGAATTCTACCTTTCGTAGGCGTAAGTCTTTATTATTGAATCGAGACACCCACTTTTTTCTTTCTTTAAACAGGCTAAAACAAGAGAAGAGATTCTCCAACTCTTAAGAAAACAAAGAGAAGAAAGGATCTCGGTGAGACCAATAGTGAGGCATTTGGATAATCTATCTGAGTGGATGAATTGTGGCAAATTTTGCAGAGGTTTTATAGATTGAACCCTTAAATCTAGCTAGCTATAGTCCAGAGCCATTGATATACCAGAGTGGGGCAAGGTATAGACATTAGATAATTTGGCAACCCTTGATCAATCAAAGCTATCTCCAGAGTTTGCAGCCCTCCTGGCATAAGAAATGAGGTATTATTGTCAGTGGAGTTTACTGTTCACATATTATAAAGCTGTAAGATATTAACATGGGCTATTTCAGTGCTAATATTTGTTTACAATGATTGAGCTTGCCTAGATCATACAAAAATAAATGTTAAATGAAGAGAAACAAACCTAATAAAAATAGTAATAGTATCATGTAAACTTGTGGATGCACAAAACAAACACTCCTGAATAAACCCCAAACTCTCTAATGTGCAACATTTCTGACCGACCCCACAGTTTCCAGATTTAAGAAGCTAGTCTTTATAAACTCTGTGATGATTTTACCTCAGCTTTTTTTCAAATGAGTAAATTCCAATCAGTGCAAGAAGTAAAATTTTACCTTTTTGATTTTTATTTTGTTTTGTTTCAGAAAGAACTGATTTCCCTTCCGTATAAACCAAAAGCCAAAGAACACAAAGCAAAGTAAGTTTACCTATGTCAAAAATATTCTCTCACCTTTCAACTTACTGTGTAGGGAAGCATTTCTTTTTTCTTACTTTGCCACTTACCCTTAAATCTTCTAGAAACCCACCCGTGTATTACAGATTTCTTGCCTTGAATAAACTTTCTTCTCCGCACAGCTATTAAAGCCTGTGTACGAACTTGTCTGTCTGTGGAATATGCAAGCATAAGTTAGTGCAAAATGGAAAGCAGCTCAGCCTTGAAGCTCTGTGCACATTCTCTGTCCCTCTCTTCTCACCCTGGGCTATATAATCACCCATCATCATGCCCTCCTGACTCCACTGTCCCCTATCCACACCTGGCCCACTTCTTTAGTGAATCAGCACGTGTTTGTGGCTCACCAGCTCTGAGTGGGCTAAGGTTGCTAAAACTAAGTTCATGTAGCAAACTCTCAATGATAAGGGAGTAGCCTTATCTCTGGAATAATGTTAGAGCAGGACTAGGAACAGTTTAACAGTCTAGAAGAGTTTAAAGGAAATAAGTAAGCAACAGTTAATCACTAACGCACCCCTAATAAGAAATCTGTCCGTTTTTGTATTATGACTAAAAACCAATGTGGCCAACTCAACATTAATATGACAAATATTTATTTTCATACCACATTCTGGGAGAAACAGAAAGTGATAGAATTTTGATTTTTCTCTCATTGGTATTGAGGCTAACTGCCTTTAATGCTGTCAAAGTAACACCCTTAAGGAAGAAAGAATATGTCTACTCTAATTTTGTAAACTTCTGGAAAAAAAAATAGAAAGATCATTTAATCACCTAGCTATATTATCTACACAATGCTCAGCAACCTAATTTCTCGCTTTTTAGCCAGACGATTTGACTTAGCTTCCACAGATGAAGCAAAACTAGCCCAATCAAGAGTGACTTAACGATACCAATAGTGGATGAAGACTGCTACTTAAATAGCATCAATAGATACGTCTGGGTGCCTTAGATTTCCGCATGTATTTTTACAGAACATTCCTGCTACTACCCATGCTGACTCACCTAATAATAAAACATTTCCCGGCTTGGACAGATAATTCTCTTAATAATTTAAATGCTTACTTAATTCCTTTTGTAAACTAACTTTGTCCTACATCCTGAAGCCTTGAATTTCATTCTATTCTGTTGTGATTATCTTCCTACTATTAACTTCTTCTAGCTACTCTTCTTTTTTTTTTTGAGACGGAGTCTCGCTCTGTCACCTAGGCTGGAGTGCAGTGGCGCGATCTCAGCTCACTGCAACCTCTGCCACCCAGGTTCAAGCAATTCTCCTGCCTCAGCCTTCCAAGTAGCTGGGATTACAGGCGCCCACCACCATGCCCAGCTAATTTTTGTAGTTTTAGTAGATACAGGGTTTCACCGTCTTGGCCAAGCTGGTCTTGAACTCCTGCTCGTGATCCACCCATCTCAGCTTCCCAAAGTGCTGGGATTACAGGCGTGAGCCACCATGCCTGGCCTCTAGTTACTCTTTGTACATTCTTTGGGCAACTAATCATGCATTACTCTGTGCCCATATTTTATAATTATTTAACTCTTATTATTGCTTTCATTATTTAACTTTTCTCATATTTTTTGTATTGTCTGTAACTATACTGTAAGCTCCATGAGGAATTGGGTCACCCAAAGTGCCAGCATACTGCTTACATGTTGGACTTCAGAAAATATTTATAACAAAAAGTTTAGTTGAAAAATATCATGTAATTCAGTGTTAGCCAATTTAGAAAGTGATGTTTGCATACTATACATTAATTTATAAACTTTAAAAACTATTCTATTAGACACAATTGTAAAATAACTCCCCTACATACACAGACTCCCCCTTACCATTCCTCCTTCAACAGGTCTTCTTAGTATAATCCAGGTCCCCTTCTGTTAGAAAGAAGGAACCGGAAAATGTGTTCATAGTAAGGTTTTAGTAGCAATATATTTATTATCCATCCCAGAATATTTGCATTTTAAAAGAAGTCTGAATAAATAAAATAATGGGTAAACCAAAGAAATCAATTACCAATGATGAAATCTCAGGAGTCTGACTCTAGAATAAACAAAACATATTTGGGGTAGGAGGGCTCCTGTACCTCCAAACCACACTTCACAATATCATAACCACTTCTCTCACATACAAGTTTATACTTGGTTGCAAAACCCAACACATAGAATCTACAACAGTGAATTTTTATTGGGAGAATTTTCAAAAGTTGTTTTCATGCTACATCATGTTCACAATGGCGGAGTTCTGTGTATTGGAACTGACTGATATTACTACCAACAGGAAAGTGGTATCAGAGTCAGATAAAGAGGACCAAGAAGAAGTCAAAACTTTGGACTAATTTGCTTGACACATGGCAGAGGATGGCTCACTTATACCTTCACTTTGGAAACAACCTTCTCTTAGATCAGGATCATTGAGATCACTGGCAACATTATAGTAGACAAAGAAATACAAGTTAAATACGCAGACTTCCAGGAATTTTACCAGTTAGTGAGTACTTGTGTTAAAATAAAGAAATAAAGGTTAAATATGCAGGCTTCTATGAATTCTACCAGCTATTGAATATTTGTGTCTATTTACTTACTGGGTACTACTGTTTGACACCACAACATACATCTCTTTCATCTTACCACATTCTCAAACTCCTATTTATCTTGTTTTCATTTGAAGGGTATTTCCAGAATTTCTATGCTAGATCTATATTATGAATATCAGGTAAGCAAGAAACAGGGGCTTTATGTGTCTTAACTTGTAGACCACCAGTAAAAACAATCAGGAAATAGGAATGAAAGGGCAGTTTTGAAAACTTCAAGTCTACTTGCTTTAATAAGAAAACCACTTAGCAAAATTTGGTTTGTTCCATTTCTGAAACATGTCTGAAGTCAGAAGTGAGTTGCTTCTACCTCTGTGAATAACTGGCTCCACGTGCCTATGTTTTACACACATACATAAACCCAGTGCCAACCCCCCTCACTTTCATTCCCTTTGCTATGTAATGGAAAAGAAAAGATTAAGGATTTGTCCCTTCTGCGCTGTCCAAATGGCAGTCCTACTCAGGGTTAGATGCTCTTCCCCATCCCTCCTTCGAGAGATCTTAGCATAATCCAGGCCCCCTTCTGTCAGAAAGAAAGAACTGGAAAGTGTGTTTATAGTAAAGCTTTAGTAGCAATATGTTTATTATCCACCCAGGAATATTTGCATTTTAAAAGAAGGCTGAATAAAGGGAACAATGGGTAATCCAAGGAAATCAGTTACCAATGATGAAATCTCAGGAGTCTGACTCTTGGGTAAGCAACATGTATTTAGGGTAAGAGGGTTACCCAGAGGTTGCAGCTCTATTTAGGACCACCATTTCCATCACTACTGGCCTCCACTTGGAACTCTTGGACATAGCTTTCATAAGACACAGCCCCCATCCACTGTGCCAACAGAAGACTGGGTGGCCCACTGGTCAGAGCGTAATCACAAGGACACATCAGGCTGCAAGGGAGGCTGGAAATTGTCTTTAGAAAATGGGGAGGGGGCTTCTGTCTAATTAAAATTCAGGGATTCTATAGCCAAAAGAAGTGGAGAATGGATATTAGGGGACAATGACAAGGTTCTGGCACAACGCTATTTGAAGAAAAATGTTCGGAACAAAAGGAAGGTAGTCAGGCCTAGGAAAGGAAAATTTTGAAAGTTATAAATTGGCAGCCCCATCCTAGCACCAGCAAGAATAAAAGGTATCCTGTCTGGTTGATGTATCTGTCTGCCTGGCAGGTAGGTCTTCGTTGTGAAGATGGACACAGCAGGCTATCAAAGCCTAAACTATTAAATCATATAACTAATTCCTTTCATTCTGATTCCATGCTGATAAATCTTTTTTGCCCAGAGGGAGAATATGTGTTCAACAGGCCAATGCAAGCATTAGTTTACCTGACAATTCTATTTCTCAATGTGTAAATATATTAGTCTCTTAGATTGGGTTTGAGCATGTTAAACTAGGAATTGGACCCTGGACCAGGGTAATTTTACCAAGAAAAATTCTACTTTGTGGACTTTCTTGGCAACCAGCCTTCCCCTAGTGATACCTCCCTACATTGCCAAGTGTAATGGTTAGCTATTGCTGCAACAATGCTGCATAACAAAGGGGTCTAAAACAACATTTATTACTGCTCACACATCTGCAGTTTTGTGTGATCTAGTTTGGCTGACCTAGGCTTAGCCAGAGAGCTCTGCTTCAAGCTACAGCACCTAGAGCAGCTCTGTCTCTTACTGCAAGTTTGTCAATTGCCTGAGGTAGCTCTGCTCCATTTGTCATCCTCTTAGGGATACACATAGACCAGTGGGATATCTAAGGTATGTTCCTCTCAGAGAGTGGCAGAGAAGAAAAAGAAATATGAGGCCTTTCTGGTCTAAGCTCAGAACTGACTCATTCTGTTAGCCAAACAAGTCAATCACATGGTCAAACACAAAGTCAAGGTGTGGGGAAATATACTCTGCCTCTTTAGAAAGAGAAACTACAAAGTCATATGGTAAAGGATATGGGTACAGGGAGGTGTGGAGAATTGGGGCCGTTATTGTAATCTACCAGGTTTGGTTGACTGTATACCCTAACAAAATCCATCTGAACCAAGGTCCAGGGTATCAAAGCGAGAAGTCGGGACACGATTTAATTATGTAACAGCTTTTTAAAGTTGTAGCAGATGTTATAATATTAGAAATAAATCCTTTTCAATTGACATTAAGTGCCTAGATATCTGAACATTTACATATATATTTGCCTTATCAAACACTCACTAAACTCTTAAGGCAACTGTTAATGTTACCAACAGTTAAGTGAAACTTAGGCAAACGGAATTGCCAAAGGCCACACAGACATTAAATGAAGAGCAGAATCTGAAACAGACCCTCAAATGCCAACTCCAGTGCTTCTTTTCACCATAACAGTTCTCTCAAGTTGTTTTGATAACCAAGAATTTCTAAGAAGAAAGTGTGTTAGATGTGACATTGACGTATTCTAACTGGGACAGAAGGAAGGTCTATAAATGATCTTGCCATAAAGGTCAGGCCTCATCCTGCCACAACCGCTGTTAGCTGTTACGTGCCGCAGCAGAGCTCCCCCATAGTCTCAGCTGATACTGAAATTCATCCCACTCCCCTCTCACCCCCAGCCTGTATTCAGGCTGTTTGTTTAGAATTGCAGTGGCTAGAGGCCTTAGAAGCATCACTGCTTTCTTGGCTGTTTTGAAAAGCAGAAAGAGTACGTAAGAAGCAGCAAGCTGGAACCAAAATCCAGAGGTCGTGGCCCAGATGGGGCTTCTGCTATGCTTCACAGCAGCATGGTGTGGCAGAAAAGGCAGAAAGTCAGATTCACCTTCTGCTACTTAGTGCCTTAATCTTTGGACAGATGGCTCACTCTATTGCTTGACTATATTTAAAAGCATTTTGTTTACGAAACCAAAGTGAAACACACCTACTTTGGGAGTTTACAAGAGGAAGCACACATTGAGGGCTAGGTTAGGAAAGCTTTTCCTGAGATAATAGTTTCATTCTTTCCTGCGGGGCGAGGGGCCAAAGCTGAACTCCCTAACTATGACCCCCACCTCCCAACCTGTTCCCTGCAAAAAACAGAATCATTTCCTTCCAGGGATCTGGGACATCTTTTGGCTTCTGGTAGAAGCCGCTTTCCTTTCAGTCGGGAGGGCTCCAACTCAGCCAAGTTCTTTGGATGCCATCCGCGCGGTGTCCCATAACTTTCCTGGCCGGTGGGCACACTGCCTGCGTGAGTGTTTGTTCTCTGCATCGACCATTCCCTGCTCAGGCGTCGCCCTTCGTGCTGGGACTGCGGCCTGCTGAGCCCCAGGTAGGAGTCCACGCATCGCCTCTCTCTCCAGGTGCACCCGCACAGCTGGCGAACTTGGCTAAGGTCAGCGGGAGAGGAGGGGTGAGATGTGGTGCTAGTTTTAGGCACACTGTGCTCGTTATCAGATTGCCTAGGGGCCCGACTGAAGTATTCCTCCGCCCAGCGCCTCGGGCAAACGCGGGATCTCCCAGGGAAGCTCGGAGGGGGACAGGGAGCTGGTTCCCCTCTGCGACTCGCCCCTCTCTGGCTGGCCGAGTGTCTGGCGCCAACCTCGCTGGAGGAGGCTGTCGGGGGCGGGCCAGCCAGCGGGGCTGCCCTCCTCGCAGTGACGTCCCAGGGGGCGGAGGGGCGACCGACTGACTCCGCGCCCTCCCCCCCGCCTCCCGTGCGGTCCGTCGGTGGCCTAGAGATGCTGCTGCCGCGGTTGCAGTTGTCGCGCACGCCTCTGCCCGCCAGCCCGCTCCACCGCCGTAGCGCCCGAGTGTCGGGGGGCGCACCCGAGTCGGGCCATGAGGCCGGGAACCGCGCTACAGGCCGTGCTGCTGGCCGTGCTGCTGGTGGGGCTGCGGGCCGCGACGGGTCGCCTGCTGAGTGGTGAGTGCGCGCGCTGGGGCGGGGGCTGGTGCCGGGGTGGGCTCACTGCACCCCAGCTGCTGCTGACCCTCTTCTGGGTCGCCACGTATGGGACTAGAAGGCCGTCCCATGCCCCACTCCCAGACGCAGCCCTTCGGAGTCTCTTGCGTTCTGGGGGCAGTCGCACGGCGTCTGAGACCCACGCCAGTTCCCGGAGCTGCGCAGTTCCCTGCGCGTCCTGGAACGCTCGAAGCCCGTTCCCAGTCCAGAGTTATGGGGGTGGGTTGGAGAATGTAGGAGAGGTGGGGCAGTGGGCAAACCTGCCCCAGTGGGTGCCCCTTCGGCCCGCTCCTTTACACGCATCGAATCAGTCCTTGGGACCACCCCCGCGGGGCAGGCTTGCCAGCTGGCCCCCGCCTACCGCCCGCTCCGGGAGGCGGCCGCAGAGACAGCGGGGTAGGGATGCTGGATCCCCGGTGCCGTGGGAACCCTGCCTGTTACTCCTCGTCTCTTCTGCGGGGTTGGATGGCTGGGTCGAGCGCCCGGTATGAGAGCGCTTAGAGATCGGGAAAGAACTCCAGTTAGTGTGGGACGAGCCCCACCTGACTCCGGGGAATGACTCTCTGCTTCCTTCCTCCTGTTGTGTCACTGCAGCCTCGGATTTGGACCTCAGAGGAGGTAAAGTGCTCTGGCTTCTGGCTTCTTTCAGTTGTTCTGCATGTCGGGGGGAGAACATCCGTGCCCTTTTCTCAGATCCTTTTTGCGGGTGCCAACAGCTTGACCAAACGGGACAGAGGAGACTGGGAACCTCCTCTACTCTGGCATCCTGGCTTGCGAAACTAATTTAAAGAATGTAAAGTTGGTTTCAGGATGGGGGCGGGGCGGCAAAAGAGGTGGGAAGCTGAATTGAGCTGCTTGGGTTAGGGCTGCGTGGGCTCTGTCCTTGGTCGCGGGGAACAGAAGGCCCTCCCACCCTTCGCCTTCCTGCAAATGAGAAGAGAAGGACACTTCCTGAAGGCAGGAGAACCAGATAGGCCCGCGGGCCTCCTTCCAGCTCTGACGGTCTCTGGCACTCACCCGCAGACTTCGGATGTGTGGCCAGGCTGGACCATACAGGAAACTCGCTTAAGGTGTTATGTTTCCCTTGACAATCCAACATGGAAAGTGGGGGTTGTCAGGAAATTCAACTCCAGCTTATGTTATGCCGGTGGCCAGGTTGGATAAGTTCCTGGGGGCTCATTTGCCCCTCCTCTGCTGCCCAATTTGGAGCCAGCTTTGAGGAATCGCAAAAGCGTGGCTGGCCCAGCCCCCTTCCCGGGGGTATCCCTGCCTCAGCCTCTCTGAATACCTTCTTGCAAGCAGGTCTGGCTTTTGAACCCTCCTAATGTGCTGCTGGACCAGTCTAATTAGAGTTTCTCTATTATCAGCAATAGCCAAATAATGACAGGAAAAGGGAGAAGATGTGGAACTCTTATAACTTGTTGCTCATTGAGAATTCCTTTATGAAAGTGATGAGAGAAGAAATAGAAAATGAAGACTCACTGGAGCTTTCTGGATAATCTGTATGTGCTCTTTCTCATTTAGCACTAATCATATAGTTCTATCTGTCTGTGGCCCCTTGCCCTATATGCTGGCCAGTGTTGGGAATTAATGAATGCTATCTGGCTCCCTGCGCAGCTGTAAAACAAGTTGGGAAAACAAGAACATTCCAGAAGTTCTGGGAGGAGGTTCCCAAACCAAAATATTTTACCCCCGGCACTGTGGCAGCAGTTCGCACCCACAGCCCACAATTTGGCTTTCTCTTTGCAGGGGGACTACTCCCCGTGTTGATACGTGGTTTTCACTTTGAACATTTGAATCCGGAAACATATGCTGTGTGCTCCTGTGGGTTAGGAAGTAGCTTTTGTTCCTGTATTCCCAGCACCTCGCACAGTGCCAGGCACAAAGTGTACACTCAATAAATGTTGATTGAATGAAAGGAGTGATGAGGCTAGTGTCTCCATTGCAGCAAGGCTTCAGTCACACAGACGCAAGCTAGAGCAGTGTGTACTGTGAGCGATTTGTTATTGGCTCCTCAGTAAAATCCCATCTGTTTGTCTGAGATGATCTTCAGCCCTTCAGGGGACAGACTGATAAGACACATTACATAGGCTCCCAGTAAAACATGAGCCTGGGGTGCAGCGGGGAGCTAGCAATTTAGTTCACTGGTACCAGCATGATTTTGTAATTAGATCTGGGCTCTAACTCCGGTGATGCTGATGATCACTGTGTGATCTTGGCCAAATTACTTAACTTCCCTGAGCTCCAGTTTTCTCATTTGTAAAATAAGCCATAAACAGTATCTGCATCAGGGGACTATTATGAGGGTTACATGAGATAAAGTATGTAAGTAAATGTTAAGCCCTTACCATAGTTTATGGCACATAGTAGGAGTTCAGTAAACCTTAACTGTTGTCTTTAGGTCAGAGGGCTGACTGTCAGTAGCAGAAAACCCCGTGGATCTGATGCTTTTAGCTTCTGCTTACACCAGAGACTGGGCAAATTCTCAGTCCTGCTGCACAGGCAGAGGGTTCCAGAATAGAGGAGCCCATGCCTGACTTCAGGAAGCCTCTCTTACCTTAAAGAACCACCAGAGACACCCCCTTTAAGCCACATTATCCCCTGAGACTCCCTAATGAAAGTGTTATTTGTGTGCCTTTCAGTGAAACCATAAATCTTCATCTACTTCTCTTCTAAAGGACAGTCAAAATAAAACATTTGCTTTTTAAGATTCTGTAATGGAACAAACAAAACATGATGTCCCTACACAATATAGGCATCAGAGTTTAAATCACTACATCTCCATGCTGGAAGGAGTATTAATTTGCTCTGAGAACCCCAACTGACATGATAACAGTCTACTGATGTGTAACCAAAATTCCTACCCAGGGATACCTTCCTTTGGATGCCTCCACGTATCCCTGCCCCGGTATACTTTTTGAGACACTGAAATAGATTGGCTTCTTTTTTCTCTAGGGCAGCCAGTCTGCCGGGGAGGGACACAGAGGCCTTGTTATAAAGTCATTTACTTCCATGATACTTCTCGAAGACTGAACTTTGAGGAAGCCAAAGAAGCCTGCAGGAGGGATGGAGGCCAGCTAGTCAGCATCGAGTCTGAAGATGAACAGAAACTGATAGAAAAGTTCATTGAAAACCTCTTGCCATCTGATGGTGACTTCTGGATTGGGCTCAGGAGGCGTGAGGAGAAACAAAGCAATAGCACAGCCTGCCAGGACCTTTATGCTTGGACTGATGGCAGCATATCACAATTTAGGTAAGTGTGTGGAACCCACAGCTGCTGACTCACTTGACATAACTCAAAAAAGAGGCAGGCTGGATCCACAGTGCCAGATCAGTGGGGAAGAGAAGACCAACCAGGCAGATCTCTGAAGGGAAAGTAGCACCAGAATAGCTGCTGACCTAAGCAGTGCAGGTGGTGAACTTAGCCTTGATTTGGGCCCAACTGATGTCCAAGGAACTCTGTTCAGGTGAGTGCAGCCCAGCAGCCTTGTTTCAACAGCATATAATGCTTGAAGCCAGTTGTTCTGGCTCTCTGGCCTTTTGGACCAGAACCTCATGGAGAGACTGAAGATCCAAAGGGCTATGACTCAGGGTAGGACTCCAGTCCACAGGGAATTGTAATAATGGGCAAGAAATCAGAGCCAAGATCTAACTCTGTGGATTGGCCAAAAGTGGGGACCTCAGGAAGCCTGCAGTGTATAGGGCCCTGCTAAACCCACAGCATCAAGACTCACTCATCCCCTACCCTGGAAACATGACATTGCCATCATCCCTCCCTAAGAAATGCAATGACATAGACAAACATTTAAAAAATATCAAAATTAAAAGACAGACATGAGACTAGGAGAATGCGTGTAACAGATCCAACAAAGAGTTAATATCTTTTTATGATAAAGAGTTTATATGTCAATAAAATACTAAGACCCCAAAATATAAAGAGACAAAAGACCTGAGCAGACCGTTTATAAAATAAAAAATCTAATGGTAAACAATCATATGGGGAAAGGTCTAAACTCATCAAAAGAATGAAGATTTTAAAATATATTCTTTAACATATACCTACTATGTACCCCCCCAAAATTTAACAAATATATATATATATATATATTTTTTACCTATTACATTTAAGGCAGCACATCAGCATCTATCTTAGTCCACCCATTACACTGATCAGGTGCACATCTTCATATAAGTTCTGGGAGTAGCTCCTCCAGGATTCTCATGAGCCTGTCTTCCTGGGAGAAACTTTAGAAAGGAGGGTTAGTAGGATGAACTACACTTCCTATCAGTGCAGCTGGTCCCAAGGCCACAGATGGTACTTATTGACTTCCCTACTCTATTAGCCAGTCCAGATTCCCTTACCGTCTGCTGGTCTCAACGGTTGACCTTGTGGCATGATCCACATCCTCATATCTGAAGAATCTGGGGTCCTAGTTGCCTTGCCCTTATCATGCTAGAGTTAGTGCACTTTTCTATTGACCATCAAAATTGGGCAAGCAAATTCCAAGAGGTACCCAAATAGATAACTCCTTGCCCATAATACATAACAGCAGGCCTATCTCCTCCCGATGGTTAGGGCCACTTTCCTCCTGCCAAAACAATGTCTTCTCTTTTTCTCTGCTGGTCCCTGGACACAAAGATTCCAGAGTGTCCAAATGACAGTGATAACTCATCGTTTAGTAAGATTCTTGTATCTTCTGACAGTCCCCTGTGGGAACCAGGACCTCTAAACTTCCAGATCCCAGTGTTGCAGAGACAAGAAGCACAAATTCCTACGTGGGTCACTGCCAGCGATTCTAAAATGAGGCTACTCCTGCTTCCACCCCTCAGCTCCCAAACCCATGTATTCTTATTCTTGGAAACACAGGACTGTATAAAGGGCACGTGAGTTATTGCCTTTTTCAGAAGTCCCATGTAATCAACTTGCCACCAAGTGCTATGTTGGTGTCCTCAAGTGTTGGTGCTGTGTCAAAGACTTAGCATTGGTTTCTGTTGCTGGAAGTTGAACATTCGGCAGTAGCAATAGCTAGATTAGCCCTAGTGAATGAGAGCCAATCTGTTGAGGCCATCCATAGCCTTCATCTCTGCCACTACCTATTAGTATCTATTGTACTAGCACTGGGGTGGCTAATAACAGGCTGGCTGGCATTACCTAGCTGAGTTATTTTGTCTCCCTGCTTGTTCAGTGCCTCTTCTAAGTAGATGTTTCCTGGTGGTCTTTAATATCTGATGAAAAGAGTTGCATATTTTATGTTCACTCTTCTATGTATAGTCACATCCCTCTATCCAAAACCTCCTAGTCCACAATCTTCCAGTCTATTTCCATTTAGACTCTTGATCAGCTGGGCATGCTATTTACCTTACCCCTAGTTCTTATATAATCTAATCTCCAATAATTTCCCTTTCCTTACAAAGTGGTTAACTAGATGTACCAACTAAAGCTCTGGCCATTGGGAAGATGTTCCCTTACTGGTCTCTTTCAAGGCCACCTCAGTGAAACTGCAGTGCAGCTGCTGTCCATTTCACTGTGTACTCCCATACTTAGCTGACCTACCCTTGAACCAGGCTCAGGCTGCCTGTATCAGCTAGTCACAAGGGATTCCTCCATGCAGTCACAGATGTGAGCTAAGGAAGAGGCTCTGGTCCAGCAGTGGCAGATGTCATGGAAGTCTGCTTTACCTGCTTATGCAGTGCTCTTTGGTCCTGGATGTACCTCTTCCATCTTACAACGGATCTATTCCAAGCTTGCCTAATCTCCGATTAGGTGTGTCTGACAGTTCCTTGCTCATGATGGGCAGGTTGTGCTTCATGGTCTCTGGTGCTCCTTGCCTAGTAGCCAGCCAGGAATTGTTTCTCAAAAGGTGACTAATTTTCAGCTACAGATGGTATGGCCTTGCTTCAAAATCCTATGGGTCTGCATGTGATTCTGTCATTGAGGCTTGTCACAAACTCTGTATGGCATAATTTTTCCCACCACTGACATCTCTAATAATAGGAGCTGCTGCATCATATGGCCCAAGTGGCAAATCTGCTTGCACACAGCCTAGATCCACTTCAGAGTTCTTTTCTGCTGTGACTCCTACTCAAAATGGCTGTATTCCATGTCACCTGGTTTATGGGCCAGAGCAATATTCCCAGGTGTGAAATATGCTGCCTCTAGAGCCCAAAGAGACCTACCATGTGCTATGCTTCATTCTTCAAATTACTGCAAGATGCAATAGTTTGTTCTTCAATTTGAAAGGGATGTTCTGGTATTCCCTAGATCACTAGACACCCACACATTTTATTGAAGTGGTAGGCTCCTGAATCTTCATAAGATTTATCTCCAACCCTCTGGAGTACATAAGTCTTACCAAGGCATCCAGTGTACTAACCACTTCTTGCTCATCTGTTCCAATTAGCATGATGTCAGCCATATAGTAGGTCAGTGTGATTTTCTGCAAGATGTCTAGGAAATCCAGATCTCTTTACACCATATTATGACAGAGGACGGTAAAAATTAATATAGCCTTGAGTCAAGACCATAAGTATATACTGTTGTCCATCCCAACAAACTGTTTCAGATTATCTTTCTGATACAGAAGGAAAAGAATGTGTTCACCGGATCTGCATACTAGGTACCCAAGGGCATGTTAACCTGCTTTAGCAAAGACACCACATATGGCACAGGCAGCCACAATCAGGCTTCCACTTGGTTGAGTTTGTGCTACTCTATTATCACCTTCAGGATCTGCCTGGTGTTTTCAGGAGTCAAGACTAGTGAATTAACTAGAGATGCAATGGGGAACACCACTCTTGGATTCTTTGGGTCTTTAAGGGTGACACTACTTCCTGCCATCTTTCCCTGGATAAGATATTGTTGTTGATTTATTATCATGGCAGGGGTGGGGAGGAGTGCAGTTTCAAAGGCTTCCCCACTTGACATTCTCCACCGTGATAGCTCTTGCCCCACAGGTAAGTAGACCAAGAGACGACGCAGCTCAACCTGCCCATCATAGGCCAAGGAACCAATGTGGAACTGTACCAACTAAAAATATGTCTGTTCAATTCATATATTTGGGGACTGGGGAATGATGACTGGCTGGGTGCCACTATGAGCTGATCCTGGGCCAGACCTCTACTTAATACCTGTCCCCAGTATGCTCCCATTCTAATGGGTAGCTTTGATGACACTTTAAGTCTGAGTATTAATGTCAACTTGCACCCTGTGTCCAACAGCCCTTGTAATATTTGGATATTCCCTCTTCCCCGCTGTATGGTTACTGGAGGAAATAGCCATGGATCCCTTTAGGGAAAAACGGGAAGTTATTACCATGTGCACCTGCCGTGGTGTTGCAAGGTCCTTCTTACTGGAAACCTGGCCTCTCTATCAGTGAGTTCTGGGTCTGAAAATTGGCTCAAGTACAGAAATTATACACCAGACATAATATTCAACCTATAAGACAAAATAATGTAAAGCCATAAGGCCAGTGGGGAGGGGAACAAGGCAAGTCAGGGTAGGAGGCCCAACAGGGCTGGAATCTGGACTGGAGATAACTAATGAGGTGCCCCCAGCTGTCCAGTCATAGTATCCAAGGAGTGTTTATTGTAAGCTAAGCTATTTTCCAGGAAATTCAATCCAGTGAGTGCAGCAAAGGATGTTCCTTTTAGTAGACAACAATACAGGACTTAAGCAGAGCCTTACTGTGGCGCTACAGGGAGAGCTGTCTCTTGCTGTCTCTTTCCTGAAGAGGGCTCTGACAAGAGCTAAGCAGAGCAGCATTGCCTGCTCTGAGCATCAGAGCAAGATCTGAGCCCTAGAAGGAAACAGCTCAGGCAACTAACCAGGGAGGTTACAAAGCCCAGCCCTGAGTCAGCACATGGGGTGGGTACTCACAGATGTAAACGCTCCATAAGATCCAAGGCTTTAACCTGGCACCCACATATCCAACTGGGTGGCAGCACCATTTAGTTTCAAGTGCCACTGGATAGTAGTGTAAGGTTGCTAATGCACCCCTCTAGGGGGCTAGGGAGACAAAGACAAGACATCTGGAGGTAGAGGCTGAGGGGCTCATCAGCCTTATCAAGTGGAAACAACTTAAAAACTGAAAAAGACCAAATGGTCCTCCTGCTTTTGTCCCCACCCTTTCACCTGTTTTGACAGCCTCTATGTTTGGAATGTCTTGCTCATGTGCTTGAATTTCTTATCTACTTCCCAGGGCTGAAAAGGCAGTTGGTGGCTGTTGAAAATCATGGAGAGATGAGAGCAGGGCAAGCTCTGGATGAGATAAGCCATGTCTCTTCTCAGTGCATCTGAGATCTAAAAAAAGACAAACAAACCCAATTAGCAAAAAGCAAGAAAGAAATAAGATCGTCCAGACTAGCCCTGCTGGCTGCTTTTTCTCATAATTACTTTACAGACATCATATGGTGGCATGTTCCTCCCTGCAAAGAGATTGTGGCAAATGTCAGATGATTGATTGTGATGTCCATATGAGAATGCGTGTGGTTCTGCTTACTGGCAGTACTTCAATTCCTACCTCTCTCTGTATCATGTTCTGAGGCAGAATCTTATGTTTATGGCTCAGTGAGACTTGACGGGAAAACAAAGGCTTTGAAGTCTCAGGGGATCCTTCTCCAGTTGCCTCTACTGCTGATCCCTTCCCTACAGGAACTGGTATGTGGATGAGCCATCCTGCGGCAGCGAGGTCTGCGTGGTCATGTACCATCAGCCATCGGCACCCGCTGGCATCGGAGGCCCCTACATGTTCCAGTGGAATGATGACCGGTGCAACATGAAGAACAATTTCATTTGCAAATATTCTGATGGTAATGAATCCTCTCCCAAGCTATGCGGCTGAATTCTCAACTTCTCTCATTTCATGAGCTGCTGCTAGTACCAAGAATTTGTCATGTGGTCTCTGAGAAAGCTTGTTGCAAATGCCAGCAACATAAAACCTTAAGAATTCTTGTAAAGGGCAATGTAATGACAATTCCTCACCGAGGAGTAATCCTAGCAAAGGAAAGGTTATCAGATGTTAAGAGAAGGGATGAGAAAAAGAAAAGGTCTAATTTATGTGTGATAAAGCAAGTCTTACAAGAACGTCAGGAAATAAGCCCTTTAAGTGGACAGCCACAAATTATTACTCTTTCCACATGTGAGGTTGGCTGTAGGGGCTTAGAATAAGCTGGCCATTGCTCCTACAAGTCTTCTAACAGCCCAGTGAGATTATTTTCTGGGGTTTTAAGGAAGCACGATACATATGTAAATGATAAAGTACACCAACTGCACTTTCACTGGGCAGAGATAGCAGGTAATTTGATGAGCAGATTTAAACTCTCAGACCACCCTGTATTTAATGCCTTGCAAATTCAACTTACGTTTGCTTCCAGATCTGTTAGGGTTTTGAACTGGCTACAAGCTTGTAGTTTTGCTATACTTGGGTTTCCCAGACTTCTCCATTATAACTGACAGATTTGAATTTGAACTGATTCTTAATCTGCCCTTGAAGTTTCTCACTTCCCTAAAGCCAACTGCTTAGCCCCAATTCTGCATTCTTTCTTGATAGGAGTAGAGTGACTTGTTAGTTATATCTAGTTTGGGACTAAGTAATCCTGTCATTTTAAAATTGTTTGAACTGGACTATGGTTTGGTGGCAATTTTTGCTGCTAAAAGATGTTTTTCTCTCTCTTTGTCCTCTCGGATGAATTCTTCTCTCCAGTGACCTGGCCCTCCCCACCATACAGCGTTGTCTCAGGCGGGGAGATTGCAAAGACCTAGACTGACTTAGCAAGTCACCTTTATGAAGCAGTGAAAGCAAGGCACTTGTTACATACTGGCTTTCCATCACTTTTGTTAATTATATTCTATTATTAATAGCTCCATGGTTTAAATTTTTGCACTTCCTTTAACAGTTTTTGAAATGTGAGGTTTTGAAATTTGCTTTAATATCCTTTTATTTTGGACTTGGCACCTTCTTAGAAAAAATCATATTCTTCATTACTTTTGTTATTGCCTATATTAGTCACACTAAGTCCTGGCAAGAAAAAGATGGCACACACAAAGGGTTTAATGAGGAAAGTGTAATAAAAGGGACATTTGCTGAGGTGTAGGCCAAGAGCAAGAGATGGTAAAATATCCAGGGACTAGCTACAATGGGGAACTGTTATGTCCAGGCCTGAAGGAATAAAAGGAGGGAATGGTTTTAGCAGAACCCGGGAAAAGCTTGGGGTCATGAAAGAGGACCCGCCCAACAGGAGCTATTACCACAAAATGCAGCTACTATCAAACCATGCTGACGTGGGATGGGGGCATGGGGAATAAATACTGAGACTTCTCTTTCCTTCTATCCTCTGACCTTCTGCCTTTGCCTCTCATTGGCTAAGTCCAATCAGAGACCAAAGAACAAGGGAACAAGGAAGCCCCATTGAAACAGTTTATAGACCTCAACCTCCCAAGGCACAGAGGACAGAGAATGGATCCAACAGAGGGAGGTGGGCACATGGAGAAAAACTAACACACTGCCTGTTTTTGGCCACCCATGCCCAGAATAGTTTACACACCTTAGCATGCCAGAAGAGGATCGGCACAACCAGACCCTTGCCGACCTGTCCAGCTCAATTCTCACCACTTTAACTCCTCTCCTCATCCTATTCCAACACCTTTGTACCAAATGGAATTTCCCAAGAGCTCTTAATTTCTGTTTCCTGTGCTTGAAACACCCCTTTCCCAGCCAACTCATTCTCACCCTTTGGCTTCAGATTAGACAACACCTTCTCTCCTAACAGCTAAGTGCAACCAGTGATCCTGGGTTGGATCCTGAACATGATGTGATGATTTCCTATAAATGGCATTATTAGGAAAATCGGTAGAATCTGAATAAGATCAGTAGATTAGAAAATAGTATTGCATCAATGTTAATTTCTTGCTTTTGATCATTGTACTGTGGTTATACATGAAAAGGCCCCTTTCCCTTTGTAAATATGGACAAAAATCTTTAGGAGTAAAGGGGCACCATGCTGGCAACTTGTTTGCAGGAAAAATGTTATGTATGTGTATGTGTGTGTGTATATATATATATATATATGCATGTATGCACACACACATAAACGTGTGTATGTGATACAAAGATAGAGGAGAGATAAGAAAGAGGGAGAATAATTAAGTAAATGAAATGTGATGAAATGATAAGGTGAAGGATATGGGATAATTCTTTGTACCATTCTTGCAAATTTTCATAAATCTGAAATATTTCAAAATAAGAAGTTAAAAAAATAACTTCCTTTGGAAAGCCTTCCAGAGCCCCTCAAAGCTAGGTTTGGTGTCTCTCCTATAAGGATCGTAGCACCTCACCCACACAGTACTTTAACTACCTATTTATAAGGCTGTCCCCTTCACTACATGATTGGCATGAAGTCTGGAAACTTACCTGTTTAACCACTTGATGGGCTGGGGAAGCTCACTCCTGTGGTTCCAGCAGGAGGGCGCATCATCCCATTATGTCAGAGTGGCAAGGAACTGGGTGAATGATAATATGTAAAACTAGATTTGAGAAAATAATCATGTAGAGTAGGCAGCATGCTAGCCATAGCTGAACACTTGCTTACTTCTGGGGTGTGCTAAAGGCACAGGCATATTCAGTGAATATCAGAAACAAATCATGAGGCAACACAGATGCACGTGCAGGGATTGATGGAAATGCTGCAATGATGTGCCGTTTTTAACTTTGCACCGTGGATTGAAGTATGGAGGGACAACAGTATGAATAGATCATGTGTTGAACAGATCATGTTATTACGTATTCCAGTGTAATATCACAAAATCAATGTTCATTAATATTTTCCTGTATTTCCAGATTTTATGGCTATCCTGTAGAATATAAGCTTCTTAGAGGGCTGAGATTCTTTCTTGTTTGCTGTTTTATCTCCGCTACCTAGCACAGTTATGTCTCCTTACTATTTTAATTTTCGTTAGAATGTGTTTGGTTGAAATTCCTTTACAGCTACTTATCAGCTGTGAGATTTGGGCAAGTTACTTAATCTCCCCGAATCTTGGTTTCCTCATGTACAAAACCAGAATAATAATAAGGCCACCTCCCATCCTGGCTAACACTGTGAAACCCCGTCTCTACTAAAAAATACAAAAAATTAACCGGGCATGGTGGTGGGCACCTGTAATCCCAGCTACTCAGGAGGCTGAGGCAGGAGAATGGCAGGAACCCAGGAGGCAGAGCTTGCAGTGAGCCGAGATCGCGCCACTGGACTCTAGCCTGGGCGACAGACTGAGACTCCATCTCAAAAATAAATAAATAAATAAATAAACAACAATAATAATAAGGCTGTTATCAGGATTAATTGAGTTTGATTTTATAAAACACTTAGAACAGCCCAGGCACAGTGGCTCACGCCTGTAATCCCAGCATTTTGGGAAGCTGAAGCTGGTGGATCACTTGAGGTCAGGAGTTTGAGACCAGCCTGACCAACGTGGTGAAACCCCATCTCTACTAAAAATAAAAGTACAAAATTAGCCAGGCATGGTGGCGCATGCCTATAATCCCAGCTACTTCGGAGGCTGAGGCAGGAGAATCGCTTGAACCCGGGAGGCGGAGGTTGCAGTGAGCCAAGATTGTGCCTCTGAACTCCAGCCTGGGTGACAGAGCAAGACTCTCTCACATAAAAAAAAAAAAAAACAACACTTAGAACAGTTTCTCTCATATAGTAGACATTGTATAACTGGGTTTTTTTAAATAAATGGATTTACATCACCTATACACACACACACACACACACACACACACACACACACACTTATGGGAAGATGACTAAAAGTTTTTGTCCTTTCTGAGTGAAACTTCAGAATGGGCTTGACATCCTGGCCTTAAGACTGTGATTTTTAAGGTCTTTCCCTTAAAGACCCTGTCCCTACGAACACCAGAGCATCTGATTGGCATAAGAGACTCATTGCCAATACAACAGGTGGACACACTCCCAGTCAAAAGCAAAAACATTTGATGTCAATTATCTGTACAACCTGATATTCTCAAGACACTTTGAAATATGTACAAAAGCTCAGAGCTCTAGATCACCAGCCTCTGCCTTGGTGCTGGCCAGTGGTCTACTGAGCCCCTAAACCACTTTCACTACTTGGAGATCAGTGTTTGTTGCCCTCTAAAACATCCCCATTATGAACTGAAAAAATGTCTTAGACTGCTTTAAAATAATCCAGGCCAGGAGTGCAGGGGAGAGGAGTAGGGATTATTGTTGAAACTAGATGAGCTGTACATTGATAGGAGTTGAAGCTGCATGACGATACACAGGGTACATTATACCAGTTTTTCTACTTTTTTGTATATTTGGAAATTATCATATTTAAACGTTTTTAAATACTTTTTTAAAAACAAAAAAGCACCAAAATAAAGCTGGGGAAGGTTAGTCTTTGTGCAAAAGCAATTATTTTGATTTACTAGCCCAGTTCCTGATATCTGATAACAACAAATAAAGTTTATCGGAGGAATGAATCAGCAAATAAATGGATGCCATGAGGCTGTGGTTGATTTCATTCAGATGCCATAAAAACTTACTACTTATTTTTGTTTTTGTTTCTTTCTACTACAGAGAAACCAGCAGTTCCTTCTAGAGAAGCTGAAGGTAAGCCTGTTACTTGAGATTTGGGTTAACTGGGGCTGTTTCATAGCCCCTCTTCACAGGTTTAAAGCCCTATGTCCTTTGGACTGGATTATTCAACAGAAAAACTAGTGGTATTAACTCAGGCATTTGGGACAGGTATACACCACACCCAGCCATGACAGCTAGTTTAGTCATCTCATTTTCTAGTGTTCTCACAGCTGAAAAGCAACAGTTACAAATTTTGTTTGGGGTGTTACTTGTCATCATTGACAATATCAAAGGAATAATTTAATCTAATGAGACCAAAAAAAATGAGCCAAACTGTTAATTTATGGTCCTAGAAGTGAGTCCTTGGCCCTTCCCCTTGACACCTTGGTATTTTATGTACCTTGATGTCAGCTGCTTCTTGATTGTTTTAGTACTGGATTCTTGACAGCAAGGGTCTCACCAAAAAGACAAAGATAATTTAAACCTCTAGTGCAGCAAATTCAACCCTTTACTTTTCTACGTTTATAGATGGTGCTGGCAAAATTTCTACAGCTTTTTTGCATCCCAATTTGAACATGGTAGGACCTCAAAGAATACCTGAATTATGCCTTTCTTCAAGTTCACAAGTCCATGTGTCTCTCTCCAGGTGAGGAAACAGAGCTGACAACACCTGTACTTCCAGAAGAAACACAGGAAGAAGATGCCAAAAAAACATTTAAAGAAAGTAGAGGTATCTACAAAACTCTCCTGGGAAAGATGAATAATCAGGCTCCCTTGATTACAAATTACCCATGGTTGAATTCCCTACTTTGTTCTTTCCCACAGCTACCTAAAAATAGAACTAGACAGGGCATGTGTGGCTTTGCAAAAGCTGTACTAAATGCTAGGTTTCATCAATGAAATATGCAGATGGAACTATCCTAAGATGACTGGGGAAATCAGACAGCAGGTGAAAAATTTGCATGAAGACAGAGCCTTGGGAGCCACTCAGAGGTCATGTGGGGTAAGGTGGAGTGAGGACTGAGAGAGAAAATGTAGAGAAATAAGAGCAGAAAGACCCAAGCTGTGATGCATAACATCTATGATTAATATTCATCTGCAAAACAAAGAGAAGAAATAGACAAAAACATTTAAAATGTTAAATCATAAAAGGTAAAAGAAAATAGGATGACACATTGGAGTGCTAATGGATTTCAAACTCACTCTTGCCCTGAAGTTCAATAAGGACATCTGAGTTTTTGTCACTGGGCAACTTTTAAAAACCACTTTACTTCTCTGTGCTTCAGTTTAATTGTTTGCATAATGGAAGTAATAATATTTTTCTTGCCTACCTGAGAGCACAACTGTGTCCATAAAATGAAATAGGATATTGCAATAGTGCAGTTCAGTTCTGACACTAAATTCCAGAGTTGGCACACACTCCAGCTCATGAGCACAACTCATACCAAGACTGCCCTCACTTCAGACATTGACTGCAAGTTTAGGGGTCCCCAGGCCACCTGCATTTCTGACCAATTGGCTACAAATCCAGGAGTGCCCATGATCCCCACCTCTTAGGTTTGATAATTCACTAGAACAACCTACAGAACTCAGGAAAATAGTATATTTATGACTAGATTGATTGTATGGGATACAAATCAGGATCAGCCAAATGAAAAGACACACAGCAGGACGTCTGGGAGGAGTTTCCTTGTCATCCCCCACCCCATGGAATCAGGATGCATTAGCATCCTGGCACATCAGTGTGTTCACCAACCAGGAAGCTCCACAGAGCTTTCGTGTCCAGAGGTTTTATTGGGGGTATCAATGCATAGCAGTCTCCAAAAGAGGTCAGGCTGCTATCACTAGGCTCAAAGCCCCAACCCTATCATCACATGGTTGGTCTTTCTGGCATGGCCAGCCCCCGTCTGAATCATCTCCTTATAAACCCTCTTATGGTCTGAGGGGCTCATGAATAACAAATTCACTCCTATTACTGGGGAGAGTCCAAGGATTTAGAGCCTCTCTCCCAGGAACCAGGGACAAAGGCCCATCAGATTCTTTATTATATAACATATATGTGAAAAAAGTACAAAGTGCTCTGCAAAGGTGGGTGGCATTTCTATTGCTCATTGTTATTATGGTGGTATTTAAAGTGGGTTTTGAGGGTTTAGGGGTTTTAGTGGTGGTCAGGTTTGCAATCTCACAGAAGAAAAGCCAACAGCCTCTGGATAGTCAGGAAGCTTGGGTCAGTGGGAGTAGGAAGAGGGTTAGCCTCCAATCCTTGATTCCTCCCAAAGCCACTTGAGGGGAACATCTTTGGTTCTAAGTCTTAAAGGACTAGAAAGTTCAGAAAAGTAAGCCTCTAAGTGCTCTTCACAGTCATGGCTCATGGACCCAACTGAATCTAATTGGTCTTAGAAATGTCAGAAAGGTTTTACACTGTAATTTACTTGCTTCCTGTGACCTCTTTCCTGGTAATGACACTGAAACTTCTGGCTTGCTTCTTTTTCCCTCTCTTTCCCCCATCCCATCGTGGGAACTCCGTGACTGTCCTTGGAGGCAAAAGCATCAACACTGCCCCAGCGGCCCCTGCTTTACTAAGGGAGGACAAGAAAAGAGAGACTCTCTTTTCTCTGAAAAAAAAAACAAAAAGCTTAATTAACAAAAGTGCCCTTCTGATATTTGGAAGACCTAAAAATTTAAACTGATTTTCATTATCACTTAGGGTAATAGGACAGGTAGAAAATGCTCATCCATCGAAACCAGAAGACTCTTTGCTAACTGGCTAGATGTGTCTTGATCACTCAGGAATGAGCTCTTTGGAATACTCTGTGTTGATTAGCCTTTTCCTTTGTTTTGTTTTTTAATTTTTTAATTTTAATAGATTTGGGGGTACAAGTGGTTTTTGACGATTATGCTTTTTTTAAGCCTGGTTTGAAGCACAGAAAAACAAAACAAAAAACAGCCAATGCTGATCATGTGCTTTCTTTCTTTTCAGAAGCTGCCTTGAATCTGGCCTACATCCTAATCCCCAGCATTCCCCTTCTCCTCCTCCTTGTGGTCACCACAGTTGTATGTTGGGTTTGGATCTGTAGAAAAAGGCAAGTAAAACCTTCATTGTGTAAACCTTTGCATCTTCTGCTCTCTTTGAGATTTGGATATTGCCTTGTTTACTTCATTAAAACCCACGGCAGCACCAAGAGTATCACCATTGCAGATTGGAGAGTGGGTTCTCTGACAGGTCAGGGCATTCAGAAGTACTAGGCATTTGTGCTTAGTTGTGATTAAGAGAGTGATCTTACTTGCTTTACTGTCTGTACGTGGAAGATTTTAAAACAACTTGAAGGGTGAAATTGCATTATTCACCTCCCGTGCACTCACACGTCACCCAGCAAAAATGCTCTCATGAATGTATGCCCTCACTCTGAAAATGTTTGTGGACTGAGTGAAGGAATGAATAGTGAGCCATATGAAAAATGACTGCTGCAAAGTATTCTGGTAAACATCTGAAACTAAACCACTTAATTCAAACTGAAAGAGCCAAATTCCTTTTAACTGACTTTTCTTTTAATTCAGTACACAAGTATAGAGTGCTATAAAATAGCTACACTAGGTGGCATCAACAATTTCTGTATATGGTCAGGATCGTGTGCCACTATTTTATTTTATTTTATTTTATTTTTAGTACTGAAAGCTCTTCTCAGTTACCTTTTTATTCTCCATCATCATGGTATATGGAGAAGATGTCTAGTATTCCCATTTACAACAGGAAAACTAAGGCCCAATTTAAGATTTGACTCCCTTTAAAGACCAATTTGAGATGAATTAGTAAGATTCCAATGTAAAATCTATTTCAGTTAATTGTAACTTCCTTGTAGGATTATTATAAGGATTAAGGCAGTTAATACTTGCAGAATAAGTATATACTAAGCACTTGAATGTTACCTATTATTGGGATTATTTTATTAGTTATTTCCTTTGAATCTTAAAGTAGAATTTAGTTCAAAAAATTACAGGCATATTTTCCAGCTGCCTACTCTGCCTACTCAGTTGGTTCTTGATTTCCTTTCCTGACTCTCTGTTTTGTACTTTAACAGGATTTGGGAATTGTGACTCTAAAGCTGGGGTGTCTGTCTATCCCAAGGGTTTTTAATCTTTTTTGTGCCCTGCAGCAGTCTGGTGAGGCCTATGGACTCCTTCCAGAACAATATTTTATTTTATTTATTATTTTATTTAAAAAAATATATATATATATATATATTTGAGACAGAGTCTTTCTCTGTCGCCCAGGCTGGAGTGCAATGGCGCAATCTCGGCTCACTGCAACCTCCGCCTCCCGGGTTCAAGTGATTCTCGTGCCTCAGCCTCCCAAGTAGCCGGGATTACAGGCACATACCACCATGCCTGGCTAATTTTGTATTTTTAGTAGAGATGGGTTTCACCATGTTGGCCAGGCTGGTCTCGAACTCCTGACCTCAGGTGATCCGCCCACCTCAGCTGCCCTAAGTGCTAGGATTACAGGCATGAGCCACCACACCCGGCCCAGTACAATATTTTAAATGCATAAAATAAAATACATTGGGTTGCAAAGGAAGCAATCATACTGTTATATAGTTTAGCAAAATATTTCCAAAAATGAATATGTGATTAGTAATACATGTACTCCTTTATTAATGCTTCTTTATTTAGTGCTGGGTATAATTATTATAATTTTGAAGTAGAGATGAGGTTAAAATATTTCAAGGCATCTATAACTGTGATATGAAAACATCTATAATTTCTAGTAGTGATCAAGTCAAAGATATTAATCCTGCTGTTTTATCTCTTACATTCATAATGGAAGGACATGCTAAATTTCACTTATGGATGAGTCGTGTTTTTTGTTGTTTTGGTTTTATTTTATTTTATTTTATTATTTTATTTTATTTTATTTTATTTTTGAGACAGGGTCTCACTCTGTCGCCCAAGCTGGAGTGCAGCGGTACCATCACAGCTCACTGCGGCCTTGACCTCCCAGGTTATCCTCCCACCTCAGCCTCCCAACTAGCTGGGACTGCAGGTGTGCACCACCATGCCTGGTTAATTTTTGTATCTTTTATAGGGACGGGGTTTTAACATGTTGCCCAGGCTGGTCTCAAACTCCTGGGCTCAAGTGATCCACCTGCCTCAGCCTCCCAAAGTGTTAGGATTACAGGCGTGGGCCACTGTGCACAGCTGAGGTGTTTTTTTGTTTTTTTGGGTTTTTTTTGTAATGTGGTATTTTTTCTCTATTCAGTTCTATCCCTGGACACTCCAGGGACTCTAGGGAACCCCAGGATAATAACCCTGCCCACACTTGGGCAGCAGTGAATGACAGATACACAATCACTTTGAACATAACATCTCCCTGTTTGGTTCCCTCCCACTCCGAAGCCCTGGCCTGTAAGTTACATAGACGAGACATGCAGCTGGGTGACTGCCCAGGGCTGCTTCCTCTCGTCTCAACAGGAAGCACAAGGGTATTCTCAATCACCTGGTCTAAAACACTCAGCCCTGGTTTTCTTTCTTCCTAGAAAACGGGAGCAGCCAGACCCTAGCACAAAGAAGCAACACACCATCTGGCCCTCTCCTCACCAGGGAAACAGCCCGGACCTAGAGGTCTACAATGTCATAAGAAAACAAAGCGAAGCTGACTTAGCTGAGACCCGGCCAGACCTGAAGAATATTTCATTCCGAGTGTGTTCGGGAGAAGCCACTCCCGATGACATGTCTTGTGACTATGACAACATGGCTGTGAACCCATCAGAAAGTGGGTTTGTGACTCTGGTGAGCGTGGAGAGTGGATTTGTGACCAATGACATTTATGAGTTCTCCCCAGACCAAATGGGGAGGAGTAAGGAGTCTGGATGGGTGGAAAATGAAATATATGGTTATTAGGACATATAAAAAACTGAAACTGACAACAATGGAAAAGAAATGATAAGCAAAATCCTCTTATTTTCTATAAGGAAAATACACAGAAGGTCTATGAACAAGCTTAGATCAGGTCCTGTGGATGAGCATGTGGTCCCCACGACCTCCTGTTGGACCCCCACGTTTTGGCTGTATCCTTTATCCCAGCCAGTCATCCAGCTCGACCTTATGAGAAGGTACCTTGCCCAGGTCTGGCACATAGTAGAGTCTCAATAAATGTCACTTGGTTGGTTGTATCTAACTTTTAAGGGACAGAGCTTTACCTGGCAGTGATAAAGATGGGCTGTGGAGCTTGGAAAACCACCTCTGTTTTCCTTGCTCTATACAGCAGCACATATTATCATACAGACAGAAAATCCAGAATCTTTTCAAAGCCCACATATGGTAGCACAGGCTGGCCTGTGCATCGGCAATTCTCATATCTGTTTTTTTCAAAGAATAATAAAATCAAATAAAGAGCAGGAAACAGAGTGTTAGTCTGTGTCTACAGCCCTTCCTCTGCATGTGGCCACAGGGGACCTTTTTTTGTTTCTCCTGACATCCAGACTTGGAAATATCTAACTACTTGCAAAACTAAAAATGAGGCCAGGCGCAGTGGCTGACGCCTGTAATCCCAGAACCTTGGGAGACCAAGATTGGAGGATAGCTTGAGTTCAGGAGTTCCAGACCTTCCTGGGCAAAATAGTGAGACTCTGACTCTACAAAAAATTTAAAAATTAGCAGGGCATGGTGGCATGCGCCTGCAGTCCCAGCTACTCAGGAGGCCGAGGTGGGGGAATTGCTTGAGCCCAGGAGGTTGAGGCTGCAGTGAGCTAGGATCACGCCACTGCTCTCCTGCGTGGGCAACAGAATGAGACCCTGTCTCTAAACAAAAATATTTTTTAAAGAAACTAAAAATGAAATTTGAGTCTCAGCTTCTAGGCTTATGTACTCCCATCCCTGATACTACACGTTGTTCTGTTTGCATGTTTGTTACTGCAGCATCAACATAACATGACTAATAATGATGACAGTTCTACCTTTTGTTGACAGACCTCATTGTTTCAATTGTGTTTGGCCTCAAATTCAGAGAAAAGTTTCTCAGCCCAGCATCAATCATATACACATTGGAGGTCTGAAAGCCATTATTTAAATCACCAGCAATTTCCCTCAATCAGCTTCATAATCTCATATTTTAACCTTTCCTCATATGTCTTATTTTTTAATAGCTCAGCAACTTTGCTTCACATATGGAGCCCCAACCTCTAGAGTTAACTAGTCTGGGTCAAAGCAGTATCGAATGTAGTGGATTGGAATCCCTGCCAAATTATCTGCCCTACTGCAGAACTGAATATACTAGGAAACAAAACTCCCTGTTTTGGGAAGTGTGTTTTGTGGTTACATTTCAAGCAAAAACTGAGCACATGGTCCTGAAGGACTGATTCACTGCTCTAAAATGCCCAAGGTTCCATTCTTGCTTCAGACAGCCTCGCTCTATCATCTGCCCTGTATCCTGCACTGTGCCCCACAACTCTGGCCCTTATTACACTGCAAGCTTCGCTAGTAGGAATCCTATCTGCCGGTCAGCATCATGGGTCCTGCAACCCATGGCAGCACCTTGCAGGGTAGGCAATCAATGTCTATTGAATGGATGAACAATGCATCTTTTCAGACTGATGTCAAATAGTTTGAATATTTCAGCTTAAAAGTTTGTTTTTCACAGTCCCCCTAGGTGGAGGAGGTAACTGAGTCATTGTAATTGGAATGCCTCCCAAGAAGGAAGCATAGTAACAAGTAAACAGATGCTGGTGAATTGTGCTAACAACTTACTTTATGTCACTCATGCTTGAACTGAGGACCCACTGTTAATCTATAAAGGGAGTAAGGTTGTAATCAGAACAGACCCTCAGCATCTTCCCTTCCCTTTTTTCATTAATGTGTTGTCTCTTCTGGGACCTAGAGATCTCTTCTGTGTTTGTACACAGCCAGTCTTACCCTGCATTTTAATTATTCACTTTCTTTTTCCTCCTCAGGTTTACTAGCCTGAGTTTACCCAACTCCATTTCTATCTCTAATAATTGCACTTCACTTATGTAACAAATATTTGCTAAATGTTAAGGGTTTGCTATGTTCCCGTTGAGCTTGAGCTTATTCATTAAGCTAGTATCATATGGAAATTTAGTAAGTTTGTTTCATAATTGCTATGATTTGAATGTTTGCCCCCTTCAAAACTCAGGTTGGCCAGGCATGTTGGCTCATGCCTGTAATCCCAGCACTTTGGGAGGCTGAGGCAGGAGGATTGCTTGAGCCCGGGAGTTCAAGACCAGGCTGGGCAACATAACGAGACCCCGTCTCTACAAAAAATAAGAAAATTAGCTGGGTGTGGTAGTGCATGCCTATAGTCCCAGCTATGCAGGAGCTGAGGTGAAAGGATTACTTGAGCCCAGAGGTCAAGGTTGCAGTGAGCTCTGATCATGCCACTGCACTCCAGCCGGAGTGACAAGTGACATCCTGTTTCAAAAACAAACCAACCAAGAAAAAAAGACAAAAAAAACCTCATGTAGAAACTTATTCCCCAATGTGGCAGTATTGACAGGTGGGGTCTTTAAGAGATGATTGGGTCATGAGGGCTTTGCCCTCATGGATTAATGGGTTTTCACAGGAGTAGGACTTGTGGCTTTATAAGAAGAGGAACAGAGACCTGAGCTAGCACCCTCAGGCCCCTCACCGTGTTACGCCCTGCGCTGCCTCAGGACTCTATAGAGAGTCTCCACCAGCAAAAAGACGCTCCCACATGCAGCCCCTCAACCTTGGACTTCTCGGCCTCCAGAACTATAAGAAATACATTTTGTTTCTTTATAAATTACCCAGTTTTAGGTATTCTGTTACAAGCAATAGGAAATGGACGAAGACAACCATTTAAAACCGTATTTCCCAACCTTTTTTTCCACTGTGACACACATGACAGATAAAATGTATGTATCAGACAACCACTTTGGTCTCTTTACTCGACAAGCATTCCTGTTTGTTTGTTTGTTTGTTTGTTTTTTGAGACGGAGTCTCGCTCTGTTCCCTAGGCTGGAGTGCAGGGTCATGCGATCTTGGCTCACTGCAGCCTCCACCTCCTGTATTTGCAACTTTTCTTAGTTTGAAATTCTTTAAGGAACAGCATCTGCAAACACAGGTACTGGAATGGTTGGTAACATATTACTTGCAGCACACCTTCCATCTAAGCTCAGCACACAGGGGTTTGCCATGATGTTGGAGTTGAGAGCATCTAAAAGCCTCTGATCCAAGATAAAAATAAATCATTAGTAAAGCTGTCAATCAGTACCCAAGCCCCAGGCTCAGGCCCAGGACCCCAAACCCCACCTTTGTCATTTCCTTGCAGGCTACAGGGAGCCATGTGAGCCACCCCACAGAAGTGAATCCGGAGATTCCTTTCCTCCACAGTTTCCCATCCCTCCCCTGTGAGAACGCAAATAGGTTGTGTGATCTAAGGTGACTTCCAGTTCTAAAATTATTCAATATGATTCTTTTTCTAATTTGTTAAGCATGTTATGCCCACATTACTTCTGAGCTTGTAGTAAGACACACCTAATGGTGGATAGCAAACTGAAGACAGAAGTGTCAAATAAGGTCTAGGAAACTGCAAGCCCAGAGATGGAGAAGCAACAAAGCCAATTATTCTGTACAGCCCCTTCCTTCTTTCTTCCAAAGAACAGTAAATGGTAACTAATGGCTAAAGAATCTTAAGTTATTCTTGAATCTTGAATTTGAACAGCAGAAAGAAATAGTGACTAGAATGAGTCTTTAGAGCCGGGGCACCAGGAGAAACTGGTTTTTAAAACAGAATAATACCATGTATAGGCTGGAGGCAGTGGCTGTAATCCCAGCACTTTGGGAGGCCAAGGCAGACAGATCACGAGGTCAGGAGATCGAGACCATCCTGGCCAACGTGGTGAAACTCCATCTCTACTAAAGATACAAAAATTAGCTGGGCATGGTGGCACGCACCTGTAGTCCCAGCTACTGGGGAGGCTGAGGCAGGAGAATCGCTTGAACCTGGGAGGCAGAGGTTGCAGTGAGCCGAGATCACACCACTGTACTCCAGCCTGGTGACAGAGCATGACTCCGTCTCAAAACACACACACACACACACACACACACACACACACACACACACACACACACACACACACAAAATAATACCATGTATGACAAGGGTCCCCAGCCACCAGGCCAATGACTGGGACCCATCCCTGGCCTGTTAGGAACCGGGCTGCATAGCAGGCAGTGAGCAAGCAATACTGCCTGAGCTCCGCCTCCTGTGAGATCAGTGGCAACATTAGATTCTCATAGGAGTGCGAACCCTATTGTGAACTGCGCATGCGAGGGATCTAGGTTGTGTGCTCCTTATGAGAATTGCTGGCTCACGCCTGTAATTCCAGCACTTTGGGATTCCAAGGTGGGCAGATCACCTGAGGTTAGGAGTTCGAGACCAGCCTGTCCAACATGGTGAAACCCCATCTCTACCAAAAATACAAAAATCAGCCGGGCATAGTGGCTCATGCCTGTAGTCTCAGCTACTTGGGAGGCTGAGGCAGGAGAATTGCTTGAACCAGGGAGCCGGAGGTTGCAGTGAGCCAAGATCGTGCCACTACACTCCAGCCTGGGGGACACAGCGAGACTCCATCTTAAAAAAAAATTGAAAAAAATAAATAAAATATATATATGTAGGATCAAGCAGAATTCACCATTGCTTGACAGCATTGGTGTATTAGGGAAAAGGCCTGTCAGCATTTTTGCCTGATGCAACTTTGCCAGGAAGTTCGAGGCTGCTTTGTTTTCACCACCAGGTGGCAGTATTAGGCTGGCATAGAAATTTTACCTAATTATAATGACCAATTTCTGGCAAGCAACTGCAAAGAGAAAGGGAGGTAAAGATATATGGAGAAATAAGAAAATACAATGCAGGTGAAAATCCTGGGTTCTGGAATCAGGTTGTTGAGTTTCTAAGTCCTATTACTGCTACTTACTGGCTGTGCAATCTTGAACAAACTACATTATTTAACCTCGGTTTCCTCATCTCTAAAATGAAGATAACATTACCTACCTGGAAATGCTGCTATAATAAAAATCACAAAATATGCATAAGGTGCTTGATGCATTTTGTGGGTTGAATTTCATCCATCACCACCACCCCCCTCAGAAAAAGTATTGAACTCCTAACCCCAAATCCCTCAAAAATGTGACCTTTTTTGGAAATAGGGTCATTTCGGATATACTTAGTTAAGATGAAGTCATTAGCATGGAACCCTGTTCCAATGACTGGTGTCCTCAAAAAAAAAAGGCAATTTGGACACAGAAATGCATACAGGGAGAGCGCCATGTGAAGACGAAGGCAAAGATCATGGTGATGCTTCTACAAGCCAAAGAATGCCAAAGATTGTTGGCAAACCACCAGAAACTAGGCAAGAGGTGCGAAACAGATTTCTCTTACCGTCCTCAGAAGGAACCAACCCTGCTGACATCTTGATCTTGGACTCGTACCCTCTAGAATGATGAGAAACCATTTCTGTTGTTTAAGCCACCCAGTTTGTGGTACTTTGTTATGGCAGCCCAAGCAAACTAATAGAACAGATAAGCCCTCATTAAATACTAGCTAGTATTAGTCCTGTACTCTTTTAATCTAATTGTACTGAGACAACAATACTGTTTTTACTGTAAATTATAGCTCACTTTCCAGCTATCATGGGTTTATATATCCTGCCCTCCCCCACAAAATCATGGCATTCTGTGGAGTGACAGAGGGCAAAACCAGGGCAGACATGAGAGTCACAGGGAGGGGGATTTCCATGACACGCAGGAGGATGCCTGCTTACAACAAACACTGTAAGACCTTCACCCCTCCAGGGGCTCACGGAGAGACCATGTGAGCCCTTGGGAGAAGGAAGGATTCCAAGCCCCCAGGTGCGAGTTTTCGCTGATCAATGTGCTACACGGAAGTGATATAGGTGCCGGCTCTTATTGCCAGAGGGCTCTTATTCCACCTGCTGGTGGAAAACAGGTTGGATGTCATAACCTTTAAAACCCCTTCATCTCATCTCAGTGCATACATTTCAGCCACTTTCTTTTGAACGTATAGAAGCTTGGAATAGAAAGTGGGCAGAGCAGGTTGGTGGTAGTTTGTTTCTTTTTCTTTGGTGGGATCTGGAATCCCTAACAGCTAGTTTTACTAAAGACTGAGATTGGCTAGGTAGGATTAAGGCTGAGGAACTGCCCCTAACCCCCTACCGCATGCCACACACCTCCTCACTATTTCATCACCACACCCCCAGCCTCCAAGGCAATGAATAAGAGTGTCGAATAAATTAGCTGGAATAGGCAGCTCTGAAAGTTACCACATTTGGCAGACAATTCATCCCAAATCTTCCCTTCCTCAGGCTCAAAAAGAGACTCAACCTTGCTGGGTAGGCTGGGTGCTGTCCACAGTTAGGGGGATTTGGAGCTGGTTCTATTGCACGTATGATAGAGAAAACAGGAGGGAATACAGTTGCCCTTCTCATTCTCAGGTTCTGCATCCAAGGATTCAACCAACCATGGATGGAAAATATTCAGAAAATACAAAGCAAAATGAATGCTAAGAAAAAGAAAAAAATTTTTAAAAAAGAGAGGAAATATTTGGAAAAAAAACCCAGAAAATGTTATGTTGTTACTGGAGTTCGGCCTAGATGGTTACATTTGTACTGAGCATATGTACAGTACAGGCTTTTTTTTTCTTGTCATTATTCCCTAAGCAATACAGTATAACAATTGTTTATGCAGCATTTACATCGTATTAGGTATTTTAAGTAATCTAGAGACGATTTAAAGTATACTGCATGTAGTGGCTCAGCCTGTAATCCTAGCACTTTGGGAGGCCAAAGCAGGAGGATTGCTTGGGCCCAGGAGTTCCAGACCAGCCTGGGCAACACAGAGAGACACCATCTCTACAAGAAAAAAAAAAAATAGCCAGGAGTTGTGGTGCACACCTGTGGTCCCAGCTACTAGAGAGGCTGAGGTGGGAGGATCAGTTGAGCCCGGGAGGTCGAGACTGCAGAGAGCTACGATTGCACCACCGCACTCCAGACTGGGTGACAGAGCAACACCTTATCTCGAAAAATAAATAAATAAAATAAAATATACAGCAAGATGTGGTTGTATGCAAATATTACACCATTTTATAACAAGGACGTGAGCATCTGTGGATTTTGGTATCCACTGGCCCTGGAACCAATATCCTGCAGATACTCACGGACAATTGTATTGCCTGCCAGGGTTGCCCCAAAAGTCCCACACCCAAGTTGATGCCACAAATTGCCTCTAGGGCAGACCCCCACTCTCAGGATGGATTGGAATTTTAACTAAAAGGAATTTTGGATATGATGGTCTTATTTGGATCCCGATTTGAACAAGCTAATCAGAAAAAGACATCTTGCGATAATTGGAAAAAATCTGAACATAAACTGAGTATTAGAGAAAATTAAAGATTTATTTTTGTTTTCATTAGGAGTGATAATGACATAGTGGTTTTATAAAAGATAAAAGGCCTTATCGGTTAAAGATGACAGTAAAATGACCCAATTTTGGCCAGGCGTGGTGGCTTATGCTTGTAATCCTAGCACTTTGGGAGGCCGAGGCAGGCAGATCATGAGGTCAGTAGTTCAAGACGAGCCTGGCCAACATGGTGAAACCTCGTCTGTACTAAAAATACAAAAATTAGCTGGGTGTGGTGGTGTGCACCTGTAATCCCAGCTACTCAGGAGGCTGAGGCAGGAGAATTGCTTGAACCTGGGAGGTGGAGGTTGCAGTTAGCAGAGATTGCGCCACTTCACTCCAGCCTGGGCAACAGGGCAAGACTCCATCTTGGGGGAAAAAAAATGACCCACTTTCTTGGGCCTGTTTTAAAATATGCTATTAGGTTGGTGCAAAAGTAATTGTGGTCTCTGCCATTACTTTCTCTTTTTTTGAAATGGAGTCTCACCCTGTTGCCCAGGCTGCAGTGCAGTGGTGCAATCTGGGCTCACTGCAACCTCCACCTCCCGGGTTCAAGCGATTCTCCTGCCTCAGCCTCCCAAGTAGCTGGGATTACAGGCGCATGGCACCATGCCTGGCTAATTTTTTTTGTATGTTTATTAGAGACAGAGTTTCACCATGTTGGCCAGGCTGGTCTTGAACTCCTAACCTCAGGTGATCTGCCCGCCTTGGCCTCCCAAAGTGCTGGGTTTTCAGGCATGGGCCACCGGGCCCAGCCTGCCATTACTTTCAATGGCAAAAAAGTGCAATTACTTATAGCAAGAAAAAAGGTAGAGAGAAATGAATGAAACAAGATCAGCAAACTGATCTTGTTTTTTAAATAAGTGAGAGGCACATGGTGGTTCATTATATTATTTTCTCTCAACATACATTTTTATGTATGTGTGAAAGTTTCCATTAGAAATTTTTTAAAATAAAAAGAATGGGAAGGGGGAAAGAATCGCAGATCTTTCTCCTGCTGAGGGAAGTTCTTCTGTTGGGGTGTGAAGGAGAAAGGCTTAGAAATTCCACTGAGTTTCGGGCTGGGCGTGGTGGCTCACGCCTGTAATCCCAGCACTTTGGGAGGCCAAGGCGGGCAGATCACGAGGTCAGGAGATCGAGACCATCCTGGCTAACATGGTGAAGCCCCGTCTCTACTAAAAATATAAAAATTAGCCCGGTGTGGTGGCACACACCTGTAGTCCCAGCTACTCAGGAGGCTGAGGCAGGGGAATCGCTTGAACCTGGGAAGTGGAGGTTGCAATGAGCCAAGATGACACCATTGCACTCCAGCCTGGGTGACAGAGCAAGACTCGGTCTCAAAAAAAAAAAAAGAAAGAAAGAAATTCCACTGAGTTTCTCCTCACAGAAAACAATAAAGTGGCTTGGAGAGAATACTACTGGAACTAGTTTATCATACATGTATCCAACTTCTACTGTCTCCCAGGGCCTGGGATATGATAAACAAGAAGAAATATTAGTTCACTGAACACCCACTCTGTGCCAAGTACTTTCAAACGTCATCTTTGTTAATCCTCATAACAATATTGCTCAGGTAGATGTGATTTGTATGAGTGAGATAGAAAGACCACCCAACCAGTAAGGGGCAGGGCAAAGAGACCTTTTGGTTTTGTTGCACATTCCACAAATCATTCCACAAATAGCCAAGCTGTGTATCCCACGGTGGAGGCAAACGGGGATGTAATTTTTTTTAATTTGTATTATTTTTTCTATTTATAAAAGCACATGTGGAAATTACTTGCGTTTTTTTCACATAAGCCCTCCCATTTTTTCACTGACATACATGTCTTAAGTACCTTCTGTGTTTCCAACACTGTGGACACAAAGATATATAAGGCCCTCCCCTCAAGCTATTTACAATTCAACTGGGGAAGCAGAGCTGGAAATAAATGTCACTGTGCGTTACTTGCTCTCACAAGGGGACATGACAGAGGCAACTAGCACGCACAAGGAGGAACCTGATGTCCTACCTCCTCCACTTTGCCCGGCCAAGAGCTTTTTGAAAGTCCCAGCAGCCCATGGAAGGTTCCCCAAGCCCCTGGACAAAACTTGCCCACTCTTGTTTTCTCCCACAGCCTGCAGCATACACTTTACCATGGGATCCTTCACAGTCGAACGCACCTTAGAATTCACTTCTTTCCTCTGGGCCACCCAAATGCAGGAACCACCTCCTATTCATTGTTGTGACCCCCAGCTCTTAGGGCAGTGGCTTGCACTTAACTGGCAATCAATAATTGCATTAAATTGAGACAAAAACCTTTCCTGGCAAGTGCCACCAGCATTAATTTTCCACCCTCCTAACTGCCTTTCGATTTCTTTTCCTTATTTTACTACTAGAAATACTCAGTCTAGAATCTCTTCACAGAAATCAGTGCTTCTTAAAAGTGTCTACAAAATAATCAGACATAAAGGAAAATGCAAAGATTGAGTCACTTTCTATCAAATATTGTTTATTTCATGAAGTCCCATACAGAGAGATCCAACATAAATATTTACATTCTATGAAGTTGCTCTGCTCTAGAAAACAACTAGCCAGCCCATGTTTTTGAAAGACTGTTCTGTTCTGTTTTGTTTTCCAGAAAGAAACTGGCCTCCCTTTTGGAAGAGATTACGTTTTCCCACCTCTTTATTTCTAGAAAGGAGCTTGCTCCAAATGGCTTTTTCAGGGTCAGTGAGCCATTGAACAACCAATAAGTTCTCAGCATCTTGGGATCAGCTCTTTTTTTCTACCAATCTGTCCTTTCTCTGTGTCCCGCCCCCGTCCCCCCGCACCCCCCAAGCCAAGCTAACTTCATAATTTCCTGCTTTTCTACTAAACGTAATGGTGAATGTTTCCTATGTTGATAGATGCCCACGAAAACAACAAATCCTTATCACCTCATAAATTTTAAGAATCTGCTCCTGGATACAAAGATGTGTCATCCATTATGTGCTGCCAAGGGAATGAGCAGAGAAACCAGGCGAAGGAGAGAGCATGAGACATGAAGCCAGCCCCATCTGCCCCTTGGATTTATAGGCAATCACTTTAGTAATAGGTACAAGGTGGCCATTTATAAGGTTATAATGCATCTCCTAAATGGACAGATGTCCCAGCATCTTCCTGCTGATCTAAAACCATCAGTGACTCCTTGCTGTCTACAGAATTCAGTTCAAACTCCTTAATCCAGCATCCAGTGGCCTCGATGATCTGGTCCAACTACCTAACCTTACTACCACTCCTGTAATGCCAGTCAAGACTCGCTCTCCCAGAAACTCAGCATGCATTTTCCCATTGCTGTCTCCGCTTGTCCTCTTTCTTCAGCCTGGAGTGTCCTTTCCTCACTTCTTTATGTGACACATCCTACCCATCTGTGAAGACTCAATTAAGTGCCACATCCTCCTTAAAGCCTCTTTCCTCTTCCAAAGTCCTTTAGATCTTGGCCTGTTCCTGCCTTTCTCGTGGTTCTCAGTATGTTTTGTTTATAGGAAGGGTATGAAACAACAGCAGAAAATACCCTAGGACCTAGAAATAAAGGGGCCATATGAGAATTTAACCATGGAAATCCATTTGTACATGGACAATGACTTGCAACTGAAAAAGTGTCTCCAAGACATCTGAGCATGACCCGCAGGTGAAGCCTGGCTTAGGTCTGTAGTTGCTGCAGAGTAAATGGTATTCATGTGTCTATTCAGTGAATCAACAAATACGTACTGAGCACCTGCTAAATGACAGTTACTGTGCTTGACAGTGGGTATGTGCAATGGTGAATAAGATACAGCTTCTACCCTCATGGCAGTTATATAGTAAAAACCCAGATTAACATCAATGACTTACATGATGATAGGGCTGTGATAGGGATATGGGCGAGCCCAGGATGCAGATACTTCCTGGAGGAGGGGATGCCCAAAGTGAGAATGTGGCACCTAAGCAGAATTTCAAACAGTTCAGCATGATTGAGCTGGGAGTGTTGGGTGGGTGAGTGGCAAAGGGTGAGGGGGAACAAGACGGAAGGGGCTACAAGGAGCTTGATAGTAAATGATTCATAAGCCTTGCTGAGGAATTTGGACTTCAGCCCAGGCTGATTATTCGTTATTTACCGTCTCTCACCAAATCCCTGCCCACATCCATTTTCTATCCTACTCTGACCTGCTCTGTGCCCTAGCAGGATGACCCCTGCAGACTGCACCACCCAGCTCCCTTGCCAGATGGTTTCCTGTACGATTTGGGCAAGAGAGGCTCCAGCAGGTCCGCTGTGGGCAGGAGGAGTGAAAGAAAGGTTATGGTATTGCTTCTGCTTTCCTTTCATATCAATAGCAGTAGTTGCACCCTCTGCAGTTCAGTCTCCACCAGTTGGCCCTTTCTCTAGCTCTCACTATAATCCAGTAACTCTACTTTTTCTTCTTGTCCCCTTCTAGGGTGGTAACAGCTTCCTACTGCTGCTAACAAACTCATCCATAGTTTGCTTCCTTAACCCTATCCATATATCTGCAAGTGGTACTTTCATTAAAGTCTCTTCTCTTCCTCTGAACCATCCGAAATGAATTCCGTTTTCTGACAAGACCCTAACTGATACAATCCTGAAAGTTATAAGGAGACATTCAAGTGTAGGGAGTCACAAAAAAACAAAAAATATGGCAATCAATGTGTACCTCCAACACTACTTAAGGGACAAGGCCCTCAAATTTTAGCCAATCTATTCCCAATGGTAGCGCCCTGTGTATTGCAGAGATGCATGCATCAGCAATCACAGACCAGGAACCTCTGAATCATGCAACTAGCCCCCAATTCTGATGCAAGATTGCAAAGGCAATGTTATAAACATAAATAAGCTTCTTGCATAGATCTAACAATACAAAAGGAAATAGGACATAGGTGCTTTGGTCTGCATGATACTTATTTCATTATAGACACCACTATGAGCCCAGGCGCAGTGACTCACGTCTGTAATCCCAGCACTTTTGGAGGCCAAGGCGGGTGGATCACCTGAGGTCAGGAGTTAGAGACCAGCCTGGCCAACATGGTGAAACCTGTCTCTACTAAAATACAAAAATTAGCTGGGCTTGGTGGTGGGTGCCTCCAATCCCAGCTACTTGGGAGGCTGAGGCAGAAGAATCACTTGAACCAGGGAGGCGGAGGTTGTAGTGAGCTGAGATTGCACTGCTACACTCCAGCCTGGGCCACAAGAGCAAAACTCCCATCTCAAAAACAAAACCAAACAAAAAAAAAACCCCACTATTATGAGTTTGGTTCCTATAACTCTATCTCCAAAGTCCAGTCCATTCTAAGACTCTGCAAAGAAACTGGATCTTCAAATAAACTGGATACAGGCTATTTTCCATCCCAGGACCCCTATGTGTATCTGCTGCTCCCTTTCTTACAGTATACCTTCTGCCCCATTCTGCTTTGTCTGAACTCTAATTTGTCTTTTACAGCTTGGCTTCAGGGTTATTTTCTCCATTAGCCCTTCTCTAACCCCTGTATTTATCTGTCTTAATTTCAAGGAGCAACATGAAGTCAGGAACTTTGTTCACCTCTGCACCCCCAGCACCTAATTCAATGCCTGGCCCACAATTTGTCTTCCTTATTGGGTTGAAAGTAAATTGAAATCACCATATTTGCCTGATTCATTTTTGTATCTTTCCAGAATGCCTAGAATAGTGCCTTGCACACAACAGGAGATCAATAAATATTTGTTAAATATATAAATGACAAAAATGTAACAAGTGTGTTCTTTCTTCCTATACTTCAAGGGAACATACAGTAAAGAATCATGATACCAGAGTTAAACAAATCCACGGGAACCTCCCAGGAAACCAAAACGTGCAAATGTGCCAGGAGGTTTTACAGATTAAGTCCATATGGGATTTTAAAAAAAAACAGAAGTGCTGTAGGACTTTATTGTGAATTGGATCTGCCAATATCAGTGCTGAAGAAGCCAACCCTGAAGCCAAATACCAGCATTTGTTTCCCAAACACTGATTAAAACAAATATTTTTCAGTTGCCATAGCTTTTGGATCTATTTTTGACATGCACGCTGAATGCAGCAAATAACATGGAAACTCTGGCTCCCTTCATTGCTGCTTAACATTGAGGACTCTAACCTCACTAGTGAGGTCAGAAAACACCAGCTACACAACCACACAAGATACCTTTCCTTGCTCCTAGGCTGCCAACTGCAGTACTATCTTTGGGATGGTTCGTCATGTCTACTAGCTGCACGTGCTTTAAAACTGAATACAGCCTCAATACAGCCTTTAAGTTTGGAAACTAGTTAAAATTAGACTAAGTCTTGTGTCTTTATAGGAAAGCACTGACAATATCTCTTTGATACATAGCATAGCCCTGATATACAATTTTAATTTTTTATTGTGGAAATTTAAGAACATATACAAAATTATAGAGAAGATTAAAAGGATCTGAAGTACCGTTCACCCAGCTTTGACAACTATCAATTGTGAAAGGAGAACTCAGACACAAAACTATTAAGAAAATAATTTTTACTTTCACTATTCTGTAAGGCAGATCATACTTCAGAACAACTGGGCTATCTAAACAAAGAACACAGCAGGCTTTTAGAGAAAAACACAAGAGGTTACCAAGTGTACAGTTAGTCTGTTCCTCACATGACTACACTATCTGCAAAGGTTATCACCTATATGTTGATATTAATATTGCAAAATCAGGAATTAATTTTTTTTTTATTTTTTTTTTGAGACAGAGTCGCTCTGTCGCCCAGGCTGGAGTGCAGTGGTGCAGTCTCGGCTCACTGCAACCTCTGCTTCCTGGGTTCACGCCATTCAATCAGGAATTAAATTGTTTGCATTAGGGTAGCAGATTACAAAAAGGGCATGGTCTTCATTTAGAGAAAAGTGTTAGGGTGTTTCTGCCTGTTTTAGTATTTTTAAGAAAGTCAAGTGTTTGGGGTTTTGCGGGGGCAGGGATGGGTTTTTTGTTTTGTGTGTGACTGCTATATAATGTGCTAAGTGAAGACAGCAGCAAGGCAAGATATCATTCATGCTTCCTTAGCCCCTCCTTCTGGCCAGGGGCTGCCAGAAGTGTAGATAATTTGACTACACGGGTTTGTTCAGAAATGTTCTGATCCATATTATTAACTTGATGGGTTTTTCTCTTTGACCAATTAAATTTATATAGTTGCTACAAAAGGTGTGGATTAACACTAGGAGATTTCTTTGCTGTATGGTTTTAAAAATTAAAGCCTTAAAATACGAAGGATTGGAGAATTAAATTCTGTCTAGAGGCTTCACAAAGCCCCTAGTCAGATTTTGATCACATCAGTTTCGCAGATGATTTTGAATTGCTGTTCTCAATCAGCTTGTCCTTTCTAGGTCTAGGAGAAAAAAGGCATCCAGTTTGCCCGGACCACGCTTTTCCTCAAGAACTACATAACTAGGACGTCCTTCCTTCTCTGAGGTCCCCAAGTCTGTCAATGTTCCTGCTATGTCAGCAAGTGGCATTCGTTACTAACTGTAAGGCTGAGATTTCACTAGCCAGAGAGCAGGTACAAGGTAAGTTTCCTGGGAGGATGTTGTGGGCATCATTTCCACATATCAAGTACAGTCCCTGTGTCTTATTTTTGGGGGGGGGGGGGGTGAGGGGGGATGGAGTTTTGCTCTTGAGGCTGGAGTGCAATGGTGCAATTTTGGCTCACTGCAACCTCTACCTCCTGGGTTCAAGCCATTCTCCTGCCTCAGCCTCTCAAAGTGCTGAGATTACATGCGTGAGCCACCGCGCCCGGCCCAGTCCCTGTTTCTTAAAGTCAGCTTGTCGTGCCTCATTAAGTCAGACTTGTTTTAAAATGTGACATTTCTTGCATGGTAACGTGACAAATTTTCTTTATCTAACCATATCCCAAGACAGAGGTGTACTGACCCTATGTAAATAATGACATGGTCATAAAAAATAAAGTGAAGCAACAAATGGCACTTCAATAATAACCACTGTTACATGCAGTTTTACAGACAAGCCAATCAATGTGTGTCACTCTTTCTCAGAATCAGTTTTCTTAGATTTTTCTCTTATTTATTCACTTATAATCTATACCCTAAGATATTTTATAGATTTTTTTTCTGAATTCTGAGACATCAGTTGTAATGAGATACCATTTAAAGAATGTTTTGTTCCACTTCGTACAGGGTTTGTTTATTAAATCGAGAATTAGTGATAGATCAAGAAGAAAGAAAAGGGGTGTTGTTCTCATTTGCCAAACAGAATATAGATTAGCCCCAAGTGAATTTTCATCTTAATTTCTTTCCATCCTGCATCATTAATTCTTGTTTTCTGAACTTGGTTTAAGTAACCCTACTATCACAAAGTCATCTGCTTTTAGACTAAATAAAAGGTCCTAGAAATGCTCAGTCACACAGTCCAACCATGGGCTTCAGGTGACAGTGTCAGCTTATACTGGAAAGCCTGTGTCCATGAATCTGTTCCATTTAGTGTCAATAGTTAAAAGAACCTATTTGAGGCCATTGCTGAGGTTATGATCCCCTTGATGTTTCTTCCAGAGACTCCATTATTAATTTATTGATTAATATCAAGGGTGTTTAGATAATTGCAAAGGAAAAGAAGAAACTACCTGTTGACGACAAGACTGAATGGCTTGGGTTAATTTACTATAATAATTAATAGTATCTACAATAAGAAAAATGAGACATAATGTACAAGTATTTTTAAAGGATTTAATCAACAATTGCTCCGAAAGTAGTAACATCCTATAGACAACAAAGGCATTGACAGATCTCCAGGACTTTTTAATTTATCCCAATGTGTATTTTTTGGTAACCAATTGACACAAGTATTTTAAAACAGAAACGTTGACTAAGTCTTGCCGACAGTTATTGTGCCAGTCTTCACACATTACCTTGAGTATGCTCTATCTGTCCTGAAAGACTACAATTGCTGAAACATGTTCATTTTAATATTAATAACATGCTTTGTATATAATTGACCAAATATTAATAACATGCTTTGTATATTTTTGTATATAATTGACCTAGGGAAGTTGGTTTGCCAACCGTTCCTATACTATGGGCTTGGCAAATGCCGTCACAAATACAGAGAATTCCAAGTATATTCAATGACTTCCGGCAACCCTCCTTTTACAAAATGAGAAAATAAACTTTGATGTTGTCTAAGAAAGAAACCTCAAAGACAGTTTGGTTGTAAAAGATATATTAACAGTTTTACTATTCAGAATATGAGAAAAGCCAGTCTAAAAAGTTGTCGGCCAGGCGCGGTGGCTCACGCCTGTAATCCCAACACTTTGGGAGGCTGAGGCGGGCAGATCACGAGGTCAGGAGTTTGAGACGAGCCTGGCCAACATGGCGAAACCCCGTCTCTACTAAAAATACAAAAATTAGCTGGGTGTGGTGGCAGGCGCCTGTAATCCCAGCTACTCAGGAGGCTGAGGCAGGAGAATCTCTTGAACCTGGGAGGCAGAGGTTGCAGTGAGCTGAGATCACGCCATTGCACTTCAGCCTGGGCAACAGAGTGAGACTCAATCTCGAGGAAAAAAAAAATTGTCAAAGGAGACAAGATGGGAGTATAAATCATAAGTGCCTAAACATGCGAAATGGTTACAATCTTTGTTATGGTGAAAATACACAGTAGTGTGTAACAATATTAGGAATTGTAGTCTTTTCAGAAGTAGAGTTTGTTTAAAAATTATTTCAGTGAATGATTTAAAAATCAGACAAAATGTTATCAGGCTTCAAATAAGTATATTTTAGTGATACCTGGAATCTCTGCTAGTTGCACACAGAAAAACTTTTTGTTATTTCTTGTGATATGGTTTGGCTCTATGTCCCCACCCAAATCTCATCTCAAATTGTAATCCTCTTGTGTTGAGGGAAGGACCTGCTGGGAGGTGATTGGATCACGGGGGTGGTTCCCCCATGCTGTTCTCGTGATAGTGAGAGAGTTCTCACCAGAGCTGATGGTTTTATAGGTGTTTGGAAGTTCCCCCTTTGCAGCACTTCTCTCCCTCCTACCACCTTGTAAAGAAGGTGCCTGCTTCCCCTTCTGCCCTGATTGTGAGTTTCCTGAGGCCTCCACGACCACATGGAACTGTTAGTCGATTAAACCTCCTTCCTTTATAAATTACCCAGTCTCAGGCATTTCCATTTCTTTTTCTTTCTTTTGTTTTTGTTTTTTGTTTTGTTTTGTTTTCCAAGACAGGGTCTCGCTCTGTCACCCAGGCTGGAGTACAGTGGCGCAATCTCAGCTCACCGCAATGTCCACCTCCCGGGTTCAAGTGATTCTCCTGGTCAGCCTCCTGAGTAGCTGGGACTACAGGCGCATGCTACCATGCCGGACTAATTTATGTATTTTTTGTAGAGATGGGGTTTCGCCATGTTGCCCAGGCTGGTCTTGAACTCCTGAGCTCAGGTGATCCACCTGCCTTGGCCTCCCAAAGTGCTGGGATTACAAGTGTGAGCCACCATGCCCAGCCTCACAGGCATTTCTTTATAACAGTGTGAAAATGGACTAATACACTTGTTAGTATTAACAAGTTGAGATCGTATACTCAAAGCTCAATGTTCTTCTGAAATACTTGGCTTTCTCCTCCTTATCACTTAAAGTTCCCTTTTCTCAATAAATTTAATATTCCACTATTTAGACATACAAAATGCAGTTAAACATACAAAAATAAATATACATCCTTAAATGGCAAACATGAGGCTTTAAATTTTAACTTCAAAATATATTGATCTTACCAGAATATTACAAGGTAATGTTTATCCACATTAAATTTACCATCTTAGTAGAAATATAATGCTGCTCTTGAAATATAAATGGGGCCAGGTGCAATGGCTCACACCAGTGATCTCAGCACTTTGGGTAGGCCAAGATGAGCAGATGGACTGAGTCCATGAGTTCGAGACCAGCCTGGGCAACATAGGCCCCATCTCTATAAAAAAAAATTTAAGAAAAATCAATAGACAAAACATATCCATTATCTTGTGTATGCATCTGTATCTCTTTGCAACAACTGTATGGCCTCAACCACCATGAATACTAGTTCCAGCTTTCAACCAAAATAATCAACATCTGCTCCCTCAAAGGCCCAGAGAAAATGGAGAGGTGAGCAACTAAGAACAGTCTATTGCACACAAGTACCTTAGCAGAAAAGCAAGGCTCAGTGAAGGCCTCCTGAGTCCCACAGGCTCTAGCACATATATATTTCACATTTTTCAAAATGGAAAGCATGAACATGTGAACTAACATACAACCCAATTTTTTTGTTTTCTTACAGCACATGGCCAGTCTCATTCCATCCAAAACCCCACCCACTACCAACTCATCCCCAGGTTATTTTGAAGCAAATCCCAAACATTATCTCATTTCATCTGTAAATATTTCAATAAGAATCTCTAAAAGATAAAGATTCTTTTTTGATCTTTAAACATGATCATAACAATTATCTAATGCAAAAATTAATTCCTTAACATCATAAAATATTCAACCAGAGTTCACATTACCCTAATTCTGAGCATTTTCAACTTCATTATTTAAATCAGGATCCAAATAAGGTTCAATACATTGCAACTGAGCAATATGTATTTTAATTCTACTTTAATTTATAGGTTTCTCTTCCATCCCCTTTTTCCTCTTGCAACTTTTTGTTGAAGATACCAGGTCAATTGGCCTGAATTTGCTATGGTGTAACTTAAAATGTTCTTTATCCCTGTTTCCTGTAAATTGTTAGTTGAATCTAAAGGCTTAATTAGATTCAGGCTCAATCTTTTTTGTTTGTTTGTTTTGCAGATGTGTAGAAAAGACTCTAATCTTGTCCAAAAAGGGGTCTGGCCTTTGCCCTGTATTTGGGGAGGTAATTTCTAAACCCTTGGAATTTCATGATAGGAGTGGTTTTGTTCGTGTGCAGGCCTTGGTTAAACTGGATAGTGTAATGGTGTGATACAGAGCGGGAGGTTTGGGTCACACATACTCGGCAATCAGCTCTGGAGGGGCTGGAGATGGAGAAGTCATGTGGGTAGCCAACCAGATAAATCTCTGGACAGGAAGGCTCAGGTGAATTTCCCTGCTTGGCAATAATTTGTGCATATTGTCATACATTGATAATGGGAAAGTAATGGTGTATACAACTCCACAGGGAGAAGATAACTGGAACATCCATATTTGGAACTTTTCTAGACTTTGCCTTATGTGATTCTTTTCCCGGACTACTTTTAATCTGTATCCTTTAGCTGTGATAAACCATACCCATTAGTATAACAACTTTTAGTGACTTCAAGTCCTTCTAGCAAATTATCAAAACTAAGTGTGGTTTTGAGAATCCCCAAACTTGCAGTTGATGCCAGAAGCAAGGGCAGCCTTGTGAACTGCTCCCAACACTCCCCACAAGACCACTGCACTGTGGTGGTGTCTAGCAGGAGGTCCATGATATCCAGTTGTTTCTTTTTCTGCTGTTCTTAGCCACTGATGATCATTGCTTCTTTGAAAGAGGTCATTACCTCTTTGAAGACTGCAAAATGGTGATATTCTACTTCTATCCTTTCTTTTTTATTAACTTGAGCCTTCCCCTTCATCAGTTGTTTGGTTATCTGATATAGGCAATATAGGAAAGACAGGAAAAAATGCTTATTTTATTTACCAGTTTTTAAAATTAAGAGGTAGTTCCTTGCATTCTTCAAAGTGACCAATGACTTTTTAAAAATCTTTATGTCATGAATTTAAGCATCAATCATTACAGATGTTCATCTTTGAACACCTGTGGCCAAGAAAAGAGTATGTAAATTAACTCCTGTCCTTTTGACATGATCCTAGTAATCTTTCATAGCTTGCTTCCTTGCTTTCTGGTATCACAAGATGTTCCAAGTTTATCTGGCATATCCTCTGCTTCAAACCTGGAATCAGCCATTTCTCTAAGAAGACCTGTCTCAAGTTGGGTTCTTCCAGGAAATTGACTCTGAGTTGAATATTTACATGCATTTAAGGGACTGCCCTTAGAATTAACACCTATGGGGGAGGGGCAAAAGTAGGACTGGGCAGAGAAAGCAGTGGAACCACAGTACAGTCACAGCCAATTCCACACAGAACACTGGAGATGGTCTAGCCCTGTAAGATGTCCTGCTTTGAGGCAAGAGAGCCTGACCTTTATAATCCACATTAACCAGTCATTAGATATGGGCTGCCTCTGGGGAGAATGGTATAACCCTGGGTGAGGTGACTCTCTTCATGTTAGGGCAGTGGTTCTCAATCAAGGCACTTTGTCCCCCAGAGACATTTGGCAATGCCTGGAGACATTTTTGGTTGTCACAGCCATGGGTAGGGTGCTACTGGTGTCTAGTGGGTAGAAGCCAGGGATTCTACTAAACATCTTCTAATGCACAGAACAGTCCCCAACAACAAAGAATTATCCAGTCCAAAATGTCAATAGTGCTGAGACTAAGAAACCTTGGTTTAAGACAATGCCCAGAGAGTGATTCAGGGACAGCCAACAGCCACCACTGTTCCCAGCATCCCAGGCCTCAGTTCTGAATGGAGAATCTGGGTGGCAAACCACAGCATCCGCTACATGTCTTGATTACTTTTAGAGAAAACTAGTAAATAGAGATCTCTGTCTGGGAGCTAGGAGTGCTTGTTGCCTGCAGTTTGATCTCTATTTCTAGGCCTATTCAGGGGAGAGAACTAGGAAATTATCTTTTTAATACACATCATTCATTATATCAATATTTCTAATTCAAAATCAGGACTCTGACATAATCCTTCTATTTAGAAGGTATAATCCTTCTATTTTGAGAAGCTTGGAACTTGTTGACCCTAAGAAGTTTCCTGAGAGCCACCTCAGTAAACCATTTTTGAATGTCATTAAGTTTGCATATTAGGGGGTTACAAAAGTAAAGGAAAACTTTGCAGGAAAATGTTCAAAATAATCCAGAATATTGGAATTAGAAGGAACCTAAGAGATCATCTAAACCAAAACTCTGATTTTACAAATGAGGAAAAGGAGGCCTAGAAAAGTTCAGCAGACTTAATCTAAGGTCCATAGCTACTTAGTGCCCTAACCAGGACCAGCATCAGGACACTAACCCCTCATATTTGTTTCTTTTTTCCTGCCTCAGCACTCTGACTCTTCTCTCTAGTATTAACTCTCCCATGCTGCAGAAGAAAATAGAGCAAAGAGGGACAGAAAAGGAGATGAAACTCACTCCTTTTTCACAGTATACCTTGGTGGAACTGAGAACTCAGATCTGTATGCAGAGAACTGAGCACAGATCTGTAGGAAGGAAGTGCTTCTTATCCACTGTTAGTGGAAACATCTGTTTGGTTGTTTTTCCAAAGCACTGTTAGATTGTGCTGTGCCTTCCACATTCTCTCCTGCACTCTTGCTAATGACCAAGCAGTTACACACCAGCAAGGCTGGCCAAGGTTGGGACATCTTAGCAAAGAAAAAGAGCTCAATTAACCAGTCCATGCAGGGATAGAATGATTGATTTGGTCTCATTAGTAGCATACACAAAAACAATCAATTAAGCTGGCAACATGGTGTAATGCCTTTTCAAATGAAGGTAACCCTCTTTTTTTTTTTTTTAGTCAGGGTCTTGCTCTGTTGCTCAGGCTGGAGTGCAGTGACTGGTGTGATCACACCTCACTGCAGCCTCAACCTCAACCTCCTGGGCTCAAAAGATCCTCCTCCCTCAGTCTCCCAAGTAGCTGGGACTACAGGCATGCATCACCACGTCCTGCTAATTTATGCATTTTTTTGTAGAGATGGGGTTTTGCCATGTTGCACAGGCTGGTTTCAAACTCTTGGGATCAAGCCCACCTCAACCTCCCAAAGTGCTGGGATTACAAATAGGTATGAGCCACTGCGCCTGGCCATTAGGAACTGTCTTCTTTCAATTCTTTCCTAGGCATACTAATCTGAACTCTTGTCCTAGTAAGTTGTTTATTATTTCTTCCAGTGCTTCCTAAACTTTTCCACTGAAGTACTGACAGAGAAGAATGAAAGCTACACAACACACACACACACACACACACATGCACACACACACGCACACACACACACACACACACCCCGGTGTGTACTCAAAGCCCTGGGAAAGTGACCCAAAGCAAAATTATTGGGAAATGCAAAATTTTTCCAAAGTCCTGTGTTTATCTTAAATATTCGTTCAAGTCCCACAACCTACTCTGTTTTTCTTAAAGAAACAGAAGTTTAAAAGGGCAATTGATATTCCAGAACATGCAGTATGTTTAACAAGGGCTTTGAGAAATCCCTTCCCCTCCCAAATCATGATATACCTCTTATAACCCCATTTAAGAAACCCAGATTGAGAAATCACTTATATAATAGATTTCTATTGCTCTGAGGTAGAATTCATACTCTTAAAAGTAGTTTGCCTTTTTAAAAGAAATCTGCATTCTATCTACTTATGAAGCATCTATTTTTTTTTTTGTTCTCATTTTAGCAAAATCACTAGTTGTTTCGGTTTTTTTTTTTAAGAGATAGTGTCTTACTTTGTCACCCATGCTGGAGTGCAGTGGTGCAATCACAGCTCACTGTAGCCTTGAACTCCTGGGCTCGAGCAATCCTCTCACCTCAGCCTCCTGAGTAGCTAGGACCACAGGTTTGTGCCACTACACCCAGCTATTTTTAAATTTTTTTGTAGAAATCGGGTCTTGCTATGTTACCCAGGCTGGTCTTGAATTCCTGGCCTCAAGCAATCCTCCCAACTCAGCCTCCCAAAGTGCTGGGATTACAGATGTGAGCCACCATGCCTGGCCCAGTTAAGTTGTAATAATCAAGATTTTCAAATAATTTGTGTTTTATCAACAGTAGTGATAAAAAAGATTAAAATTAAAATATACATCTATTCAAGCTGTATAAATTTTTATATTTTTATCAAAAGTATAATATAAATACAAAAAATTTTAATATGAAATTGTTTTTCATATATTGTTAAAAAGTTATCTTTTCTAAAATATTCAAAACCATCTATTAAAATTAAAAGGCAAAATATACATTAAAATTTGTAATTTTAAAATGGGGATACCACAGACTGCAAGCTTTTATTTTTATTTATTTATTATTATTTATTAATAATAAATGTTTATTAATATTTATTTATTTAAAAGGCTGGAGTGCAGTGGCACAATCTCGGCTCACTGCAGCCTCCGCCTCCTGGGTTCAAGCAATTCTCCTGCCTCAGCCTCCCGAGTGGCTAGGATTACAGGCACATGCTGCCATGCCCAGCTAATTTTTCCATTTTTAGTAGAGACAGGGTTTCACCATGTTGGCCAGGCTCGTCTTGAACTCCTGACCTCAGGTGATCTGACTGCCTCAGCCTCCCAAAGTGCTGGGATTGCAGGCATGAGCCACCGCACCAGGCCCAACATGCAAGTCTTTATGGCATTCAGATGCAGCCACCTGCTGTTTTGAGGACATAAGGCAAGAGATATGGAGAATGGTTTCCTGGGGCCTAACCAGTGTTAGTGGTAAGAGTGGACATTTAGGCTTATGGCCATGCTGTGTCAGTGCTGAATGCCAAACTGAGAGAGGGGTCATGTGCTCTTTAATAATGTGTGTGTGGGTGGGGGTGTTGTGGGTGGTTTGTGATATGCAGGGCCTTCTAAACCCGGGCAGTTTTCACTTGTCCCAGTCTGAGGACAGTCTGAAGTCTTCAGAATATGAATGCATCATGGAAAAGGGAAAGTGGTTTGACACCCCAGCCCCACCCCTTACCGCTCCAGAGAGCATACAGAGTTTACAAGATATTACCTGCCTACCCAGTGAAGTTAGTATATAAAGCAGATATGATTATTACTACTTTACAAATAAGGAAACTGTATTAGTCCATTTCATACTGCTATTAGAACTGCCCGAGACTAATTTACAGCAAGCGAAGGGGGAAGTGCCCTTTATAAAACCATCAGATCTCAGTCAGGTGCGGTGGCTCACACCTCTAATCCCTGCACTTTGGGAGGCTGAGGTGGGCAGATCACCTGAGGTCAGGAGTTCGAGACCAGCATGGCCAACATGGTGAAATGTAGTCCCAGCTACTCGGGAGGCTGAGGCAGGAGAATCACTTGAACCTGGGAGGTGGAGGTTGCAGTGAGCTGAGATTGCACCACTGTGCTTCAGCCCAGGGTGACAGAGCGAGACTCTATCTCATAAAACAAAACAAAACAAAACAACAACAACAACAACAACAACAAAAAACCCATCAGATCTCCTGAGAACTCACTCACTATCACAAGAACAGCATGGGGGATACCGCCCCCATCATCCAATTATCTCCACTTGGTCTCTCCCTTGACACATGGGGATGATGGAGATTATAATTTCCAAAGATAAGATTTGGGGGGGAACACAAAGCATGACCATATCAGAAACTGAGACACAAACTAAAATGAAGTGACTCTCCGCTGGTTAGCTAGCTACAACATGGTGGATCCAAGAGCAGAACTCAGGGCTCCTGGCTCCTTGCCCATAGAAGCTGGCTGCCTCGTGTCTCACTTCCTGATGCTCAAAGTTGCTACTATATTACTATAAGGATTTTGTGGTCAAGTAGTATGTGAGTTGAAAAGAATAAAAGAACCATATTGTTTAGCCCTCTTCAGTGTTTAGGGATCTGGAGGTTCAGAGGTGGAGGAAAAGGGAAGTCATTTTAATAGATGTTTTCTGAACCTGATCATTGAACTCCAACATCTGAGAATCAACATATCCTGAAATGTTTCTGGTCAAATAGTGATTATGGGCACAACAATAAAATTACTGTATTTAGTCTTCTGGTGCATGGTCAGCATCTTCTTTTATCCTTTTGATTTGGATTTCCTTGGGCTACTGAATGGGGATGTTTTCTGTTCTTACGTGGCAATTTGAGAGGGGTAGCTAAGTAGCATAATTGTTATTTACCATGTGGTATGCACTATTTGGGAGTTGGGGGCTGAACCTGACAGAAAATTAAATGTGATTTCTGCCCTCAAAAGTCCTCATTTTACTCTGATGAATAGATCTGACATGTAAACACAGGAAGGAGAGGAGAGCACTACTTTTAGGGGAAGTGGATAGAGAGATACACAATAAGACAGACCTCTGTGAGAGTACCTAATAAGTTTAATTGGATGATGAATTGAAGAAAATTAACAGATTATTTTTAATTTTTACTTTTGGGTATAAAGCAAAGGCTACAGATGCTGCCTCTAAAACTGATCTCCACACCTCCAATCTTATTCCTCCAAAGTTATGGTATAAGTTCAGTTATATGGCACCTGCCCACAAGCCAGATTTTTGGTGACATTTTATCTTCTTCACACAAAAAAAATATATATATACTCCTCTCTCTTTCCCACTGCCAACTCTCCTCTCCAGAAAGACTCAGGACACTAGAAATAAGTATCTTTGTTCACAGGGATGGATGGATGGATGGATGCCTATTTAGAAAAACATTTATGACAAAATGAGGCTGACCAGTAGAGGGGGCATGGGACTTACATTTGATGTTCTTTAAAGAACTAAGAAACAAAGGTGCTTTAGTGAGGTCACAAAGCAGAATTCATTAGGTGTGTAGCAAATTTACAACTGCTAGAAAAGTTTGTGAACGTTCTCTTTATATCTTTACATTCCTGTGTGGGCATATGGAAGAGGAACATTGTGCAGACTCCAGGAGTGAATCACTCTTGATCCAACAGTGCATGACATTTCTTACTTGAGCTCTCTTGCATTCAGATTCTTATTACTCAATGGTATATGTGTGACTTCATTTTAACACAGTTTTTTCCATTATGACACACATGTAAATTCCTCAAGTTGCTAAGGCACACTTTGTGTGGCAAAACATTCAAATGTTAGGTCAACTTTTACCTTCACATATCTAGAGATTGTTATCCTCAGCAATAATTGCTCTTAGTGGGTACCTTTGTGAGTAAAATGGTCTTAAGTGCCTGGGGGCCTAAACCTAATTGTTGAGACCCAGGACCTAGAGTCAAACAGATGAGACTTCAAATTCTTGATTCTGTCATATACTAGCTTCATGGACTTGAGCAAGTTACATTAACTCACTAAGCTTTGATCCATCTGTAAAAAGGGGATTATAGTAGTAATCAAAAATAGGATTGTTGTGTAGATTAATGATAACTAATAGTAAAAACAAAATATGGTTGGGATAGTTGATGTTTTTCTGCTCAAGTGCACAGATTATCTTTGATTCATGAAACACTGTTTTTCACTGGTACAAGCTTAGCACCCTTTTTGTTTGTTTGTTTGTTTGTTTTGAGATGTAGTCTCACTCTGTCGCCCAGGCTGGAGTGCAGTGGCGCAATCTTGGCTCACTGCAAGCTCCGCCTCCAACTTATAATTGTTGTTAGCTTATAAGCATTATAAGCTTATAAGCATGCCCGGCTAATTTTTTTGTATTTTTAGTAGAGACGGGGTTTCACCATGTTAGCCAGGATGGTCTCGATCTCCTGACCTCGTGATCCACCCGCCTCGGCCTCCCAAAGTGCTGGGATTACAGGCATGAGCCACCGTGCCTGGCCACTCTTTTGTTTTTATTTATATATACTTATGTACTTATTTATATATTTGCTTATTATGAATAAAAATATGAATACTTGTAAGCCAACCACCCAATATAAGAATTAGAATATTAACAATCATACAACCACCTATGAGCTTCCCCTCAATTCATTTCTCCACCTTCCCTTCCTTGAATCTCACATTTATGGATCTCATATTTGATTTTCAGAAGTTATTAATTTTAATATAATCAGATTCATTAATATTTTCTTTTATGGTTGGAGGCTTTTTTGTGTCCTTAATACTTCCCTAGCTCAAAGTCAGAAAGACATATATTTGCTAATAAAATTTATAAAATTTTACTTTTAACATTTAAGTATTTAATTTATGTGTTTATTTTTATATATGGTATGAGGTAGGGATCAATGTCATTTTTTCCATATAGATTTTTTTTTTGAGACTGGATCTTGCTTTGTTGCTCAGGCTGGAGAGCAGTGGTGCAATCGCAGCTCACTGCAGCCTTGACCTCCCAGGCTCAAGCAATCCTCCCACCTTAGCCTTCCAAGTAGCTGGGACCACAGGCACATGCCACCATCCCCAGCTAATTTTTTTGTAGAGATGGGGTTTCACTATGTTGCCCAGGCTAGTCTGGAATTCCTGGGCTCAAGTGATCCACCCATCTCATCCTCCCAAAGGGCTGGGATTGCAGGTGTGAGGCACTGCACCTGGCCTAGATAACCATTTTTTACAAGTCCATTTATTGAATAGTCCCTCCTTTCCCCATTGATCTGCCATACCACTTCTATCATATATCAAAATTCCATATATGGTCAGGCGCAGTGGCTCATGTCTATAATCCCAGCACTTTGGGAGGCCAAGGCTGGTAGATCACCTGAGCTCAGGAGTTTGAGACCAGCCTGGCCAACATGGCAAAACTCCATCTCTACTAAAAATACAAAAATTAGCTGGGCATGGTGGCACACACCTGTAGTCCTAGCTACTCAGGAAGCTGAGGCAGAAGAATCACTTGAACCTGGGAGGCGGAGGTTGCAGTAAGCCGAGATTGTGCAGCAGCACTCCAGCCTGGGTAATAGAGTGAGACTCCATCTCAAAAAAAAAAAAAAAAAAAAAAGAAAAAGAAAAAAAAACATATATACATGGGTCTGGTTTCTGAATTTAAAGTTTCATATATTTATTTCTGAACAAATCCCACACTATTTTTATATCCTATAGCACTATTTCCAAATATGATTTTCAAAGTAAATCCTGTTATTAGTAAAAAAAAACTAGATCAATAAACATTGTTTATTATGCTTGTTTTATATTTGTTAATTTTGTTAACCATCTGATCTAACATATTTGCTTCTGGTGGCATCTATAATCCAAGTTGTTGCTTTATTTTGAAGTAACTGTACTCCTGAGATGTCTCATTACTTTGGCCTGTGAGTATATATTTCTCTGATGGTATCAGCTATTCTGTTTGAGCATTCAAAATGGAAAAAAACAGTCTGTGTCAACATCCAGTGAGCTCAAGGAGAGAGGAAGAGACAAGCACTACGGTGGAGAGATCCAGGCACCAAGCACCAGACTATCATAATTAATTGCTTAGGCTGGGTATCACGCCACCAAGCAACTCTTCAGGTCAGGGCCCTATCTTTAGACTCACACTATCCTCTATCCCTCAAGGAGAAGCAGCCTGAAGAGACGGCATTTCTGGATTGTAATTCACCAGCCCTAGGGGATGGAGGGTGTGGTGCAGTGGGAGAATAAATGCTCAAGGTCATCCAATCCCCACCAGTTTTCTATTTCTAAACTCTGGCTTCTGTTCTGTCCTGATCATTATCCTTGTGGACACTTATATCAGCAGTCTGAGCCTCTGCTTTTAATTTCCACATAAGTCTCCTGCCCCAGGCAACAGATATACATCCAGATATACACACACATCCCCACATATACACAGTACACACATGGAAATACACAATACCAATTCAAAACAGTTCCTCCAAGATTGATCTTGGGGTATGCAGCTAATTCTTTATCTTGGCAAAAAAAAATTGGGGGTTTAGGGTTTACATACTGGACAAAATTGTGAAACGAGTATCCCCTGGGACCTTAGCTGTACTAAGACAACCCAAGATTTAAAATCTCCTTCACAATGCTTACCTATCTGAGCCTCCCATCCCTATCATGCCCCAAAGGTTACTGCTCTGTTCTTTGCTTTCTTCACGTTCCACTCATTGAAGCTTATCTCTCCCCTATGCAAATACCTAATTAACCCAATTGTTATGGTCTGAATGTATGTGTCCTCTCAAAATTCATGTGTTGAAACCTAACTCCCAAGGTGATGATATTAAGAGATGGGGCCTTTGGGAGGTGATGAGGTGGTAAGGGCGGAGCCCTCATGAATGAGGTTAGTGCCTTTATTAAAGAGGCTGTAGAGAGACCCCTCTCCTTCTTCCACCCCATGAGGATGCAGCAAGAGGCACGTCTAAGAGGCAGAGAGCAAGCCCTCACCAGACACTGAATCTGCCGACTCCTGGACCTTGGACTTAGCCTCCACAGCTGTGAGAAATAAATTTCTATTACTTATAAATTACTCAGTCTAAGGTACTGTGTTATGGCAGCCAGAACAAACTAAGACACCAACCATGAAGCTAATGGAAAAAAATCAGAATAGCAGAGACGAAGGAGAGGCTTTTTCTCCGGGTAAACTAAGTACAATTTAGTAGTGGCTTCTGGAAGACTGCCACATTTGCTTTGTTTAATCCAAAGGAATAAGGCTATGTAGAAGGGAAGTAGCAGTGTGCTGGAGGAGATATTTTAGCAAATATAATCTTTCAGCTTTCAAATCTCACTGTGTAGAATCACATCTCCATAATATTAATTCCTAGTAATGCTTATAAGCTAACAACAATTATGTCAATTTTTCCCATTTCAAGTCTCATGGGTCACAACATGCATCATGAATGAGCACATACTGGACCTCACATAATATGGTCCCCCTCCCCTTCAGCCCCATCCCTCTCCTCCCCCATCACTACCCAGCTGGAACACTTGCAGCTTTTTCTGACCTCAAGATACTCAGAAATTTTGTCCCTGGTAAGGCTCCCTCCATATCTCATCTCCTCACTGTCTCCTGCTGATTCTTCCCATCTCCCCTTAAATTTTGTTTCCTGAGGAAAACTTATTGACCCCCAACCCCAGACTAGATCAGGACTCCGAAGAAGTTCTTTTCTTTTAGAGCATTTACTACAATTATGAATATGTAAAAGAGTGAAATTGGAGTAATACACTGGAAAGTAGAAAATAATGAATTTTTGTTTTTGAACAAATACATATTGAGGACTTACTATGTACCAGGTATTGTATTAGATACTAGGAATATTGTGGAGAAAGAGGCAGACCCCTTCATCTCACTTTAATCACCCTTTCTTGAGGATATCTCCTGAGTCTTATCACCATCTAGAACAATATCTAATACAAATATGCCAGCATAGAACATCCCTTCTCAAGATCTTTCATGCCCCCTCACTCTCATCTAATTTAAGCTCCAGACTCTTTTTTTTTTTTCTTTTAGAGACAGGGTCTCACTCTGTTACCCAGGCTGTAGTATAGTGGCATAATCCTAGCTTACTATAGCCTCGAACTCCTGGGCTCAAGTGATCCTCCTGCCTCAGCTTCTTGAGCAGCTAGGACTACAGGCATGCACCAACATGCTTGGCTCACTCCAGACCTTTGAGCCTACCATCCCTCCACCCTCATCGAAAGCCTCCTATTCCTCCATCCTCACACTCCCTGCAGATATCTGCTTCCTACCTCACAGAGGAAATAGATGCCAAGGTTAAACTTCCGGCACTGTGCACTACCCACTTAACCAGCAAGCAAAGCTACCCTTGCTTCCTTCTCCCACCCATATCAGAGTAAAGGAGGGGTCTACCCCTGACTAAAGAGTCTCTTCTGTTGTAGATTCCCTTGTCCTCTGTAGGTTATCTCTAATCACCTTTATTTCAAACTTTCTGTCTTCTGGCTCTTTCCAGAAATGCTTAACTCTACCAGTTAAAACACACACACACACACACACACACACACTCACACATACACACTCACCACCAAACTTCTCTTGACTCTACATCCTCTTCTATCTTCATTCCTTCACAGACACATTTTTTGAAAGAACGATCTACACTCATTTTTCTTCATCACTTCCCACTCTAGCTTGGCTTCCGCCCCCAGTACTCTGAAACCCTCTGCAAAGATCATCAATTATCTCTTTGTCAGTAAATCCAGTGAATTCCTTTCAATCTTCATCTTGCTTGACATCTTTTCAGAGACTGAAAGTACTCCTTCCACCTTGAAATTCTCATTTAAGGTCTCTTTTCCCTAGATTTTAAGGTATTTTTCCCTCTTTATCCATTCTCCTTGTTTATCTGGTCTCTACTCTTTGGTGGGGAGGGAATGCTTCTCTTTATTTGCCCACTCCTGTGGTGCTGAATAAATACTGTAGGATTTTGCCTTCTCCTTTTTTTTAAATTTTCTTTAAGAGATGAGGTCTCGCTACGTCACCCAGACTGGAGTGCAGTAGCATGATCATAGACCATTGCTGCCTTGAACTCCTCGTCTCAAGTGACCCTCCCACCTCAGCCTCCCGAGTAGCTGGAACTACAGATATGCGCCACCAAGCCCAGACTCCTTCACTCTTTATACTCCCATTGAATGACACCACTCACATCCTTGACTTCAACTATCAGTACTACCAATCTCTCTATTTTCACCCTAGATTTCTCCTCTGAGCCCCAGAATTATGTATCCAGAGCCCATAAATGGCAATGCAAACATTTGACTCCTACCACAATTCATTTGGCTCCAGCATACAGACATAATATGTATTGATTTCTGCAAGTTATTTAACAGTCTTTTATTACATCCTTATATATATTAGGCTGTAATAATTAGAGGAATAAGGGCTAAATATCTAAATGAAATGGATTATATGCTCCCTGAGGGCTGGGACCATATTTTATCTACCTTTGTATGTTCAGTGCCCAGCACAGTGAATGGCATGTGGTAAACTCTCAGTAACTGATTGCATCTGTTCACTCCAGTCAACAACCTGGGAGCAATCTTCAACATCTCCCTCCCTTCCATTCCTCACATCTTATCACTGGCACAGTTGGAATTTATCACTTCAGCAGTTTCCTACCCAGCTGCAACTTCAGAATTTCTCTACAGAGGGGTTTAGGAGCAGCCATCTGGCTGAAGGGACAGAGAAGGCCTCCCATGACCTGGTCTCAGGTGTCTTCCTGTTTTATCTATGGACACTGTCATTACTGAGTTTAGATGTTCACAACTGATGATAGTTACCTGACATACCATGTCTCTTCCTACTTTTGGGACCATTGCTCGTTCTGTTTCTTTCTCCTCAAATGCTCATCCAATTTTTTTTCATCTGGCTCTTACTAGACCTTTATAATTCTTTTCAGCTTTCATCTTTTGGAAGCCTCCCCTGAAGACCCTTAAACTGAGCTGAGTGTGTCTCCTTTGAGCTCTCTGTCCAAATCTCTCATCTTAGCTCTCACCACATTACATTAAAATTGTTTGTGTGTCTACCTTCTTCACAACAATCCTCTGAGGTAGGCACTATTATTTAGCACTATTTAACAGCAATTCAAGCAAACAGAGGTTAAGTAATTTCCCCAAGGTCACCAGCTAGTAAGTAGCAGAGCCAAAGTTCACACTTAAGCAGTTGGATTTTACAACTCCCTCTCTAAACCAAAAAATTCTCAAGGGCAAGGACTGTGTCTGACTTATGTTTGTATGTGTCTACCACGATGGCTAGCACATGAATGCAATAAATGTCAAACTAAACAGCACTTGCTGAATTCTGCTAAAAAGTTTTGGAATTTCAAAAATTACTAAGATATGATCCTTACCCTAAAAGAAATTCATGATCTAATAGAGGTGGGAAGATTAGTAAAATACTCCAATAATAGGAATGAACTAAGGGGAAAGTAAGTGAGAGTTAAGTAGCTTACACATTGAATTATTGGTATTAGAAGGTCAAGATGCCTCTTTAAAATCTTTTTTTTTTTTTTTTTGAGACAGGGTCTTGCTAGGTCGCCCAGACTGGATTGCAGTGGTGCGATTTCAGCTTACTCCAACCTCTGCCTCCCAGGCTCAGGTGATCCTCCTGCCTCAGCCTCCAGAGTAGCTGGGGCGACAGGTGCACACCACCACACCTGGCTAATTTTTGTATTTTTAGTAGAGACACCATGTTGGCCAGGCTGCTCTCAAACTCCTGACCTCAAGTGAACCACCTGCCTCAGCCTCCCAAGGTGCTGGGATTACAGGCGTGAGCCACCACACCTGACCCCTCTTTAAAATCTTTTTCCAGAAGCATGAATATAGAATCTTCCTGTAACTCAGAGTTATATGAAAAACCAAATCAGACACAGTGGCTCATGCCTGTAGTCCCAACTACTCAGGAGGCTGAGCCAGGTGAACTACTTGAGCCTAAGAGTTTGAGACCAGCCTGGACAACATAGCAAGACCTCGTCTCAAAAAATAAAAGTAAAAACAACAACAACAACAAAAAAAAAAATCAAATGAAGGTGGACCAATAAATTATGGAAGTTAAACTGGAAGATGTTTAGTGGCCAGGTCTAGGACTGCGGCCCAGACTTTGCCCTATTTACCAGTTTACCAATCCACAGTCATGAACCTACTATGAGCCATACATTTGTACTAGGAGTGACTCCAAGTACAATGACTCCAATAAAAATATAGAAAACATGTTGGTGGAATCTGTGGACAGCTTAGAAAACTAACAATTAGGTAATATGATAGGTGGCGAGCAAAGAATCAAAATGATTATTTTATCTGGAACAAGGAGCAAAATCAACAAGATGACATTTTAACTATCAGAATTTCCATTTATATTTTTAAAAAATCAATTGCCTAAGAAAACTATAAGGGTGACTTAATACAATAATAATTGTTATTTTTAAAGACCCAAGGGTTTTAGTTCGCCTTGGTCTTAACTGTGGGATGTGGCTACTAAAACGACAACTAGCCCAATTTTTGGTTGAATTAATATGAACATGGAGTCCAGATCAAAGGAGCGACTGGTCAGTGGCCAGTATTCTGTACTGCTTAGACTACACCTGGGCTACTATGTTCAGTTTTTTGAACAGTATTTTAAGAGAGACATTGACAAACTAGTGTCTAGAGAAGCACAAAAATAAGGGTAAAAATAGTCAGCTAGACAGTGAAGTTGGGAATCTTTTGCCTGGAAAACTGAAGAAAGAATATGAGAGAATGTGTGTGAGTGTGTGTGTGTGTGTGTGTGTGTGTGTGTGTGTGTATGTAATGTCTTGCTCTAGAGAAAAGAACTAAAATCTATAGGCAGAAGTTAGAAGCAGATATGAAACCAATAATAAGGAAGTGCTTTCCATTGATGCCAACTGTCTCACAATAGATTGGGTTCCTGCATGAAGCAGTAAAGCAAGGCTTAATGTCACCCATCAAATATTTAGAAATTTATGTTTCAGATAGGAAGATGGACTCATATGATACTCTCTAAGATCCCTTTCAAACTTAAGGTCCTAAGAAAAGTTGTCATCTGGGAGAAGATACAAAAATTTTGAAATTATTTTTAAAAAATTAGAGAGTCACACATTTTTCATTTAGAGAAGATCCATCACAGATAAAACCAAACTAGGGCATGGTTAGCTAAAGACCTCCCTCTTAGTACTGGTTTTGCTGCATCCCATAAGTTCCGGCATGTTGTATTTTCATTTTCATTTGTCTCAGGATATTTTTTATTCCCCTCCCCACCTGCCTTTTTTGAGATGAGGTCTCACTATGTTGCCCAGACTGACCTTGAATTCCTGAGCTCAAGCAATCCTTCCACCTTGGCCTCCCAAGTAGCAAGGATTACAGGCACATACCACACCTGGCTCTGGTTTCCCTTTTGATTTCTTCTTTGACCCATTGATTGTTCAGAAGTGTGTTATTTAATTTCCGTGTATTTGTGAATTTTTAAATTTTCCTTCTGCTGATTTCTAGTTTCATTCCTTTGTGGTCAGAAAAAATACTTGGCATGATTTCAGTCATCCTAAAATTTTTAAGACTCGTTTTGTTACCTAACATGTGATCTATCCTAGAGAATCCTCCATGTGTGCTTGAAAAAAAATGCATATTTATATGTAACCATAAAAGACTCTGAATAGCCAAACCAATCTTGAGCAAGAAGAAAAAAGCTGGGAGCCTCACACTTCCTAATTTCAAAATATATTACAAAGCTACAGTAATTAAAACAGTATAGTACTGGCATAAAGACAGAAATACGGACCAATGAAAAGAAATAGAAAGCCCAGAAATAAACTTCCACATATATGGTCAACTGATCTTCAACAAGAGTGCCAACCATACAAAATGAAGAAGGGATAGTCTCTTGAACAAATAGTGCTGTGAAAACTGGATATTCACATGCAAAAGAATGAAACTAGACCCTTACACTATATAGAAAATCAATTCAAAATGGATTAAAGACTTAAATGGATGAAAGGCTTTAAATTATAAAACACCTAGAAAAAAATGTAGGGGAAAATCTTCTTGATATTGGTCTTGGCAATGATTTCTTGGATATGGAATCAAAAGTACAGGCAATGAAAGCCAAAATAGACAAGTGGGACCACATTAAACTAAAAAGCTTCTGCACAGCAAACAATCAACAGAGTGAAAAAGCAACTATGGAATTAGAGAAAAAGAAGTGCAAGCCATATATGTGATAAGAGCCTAATATCCAAAATATATAAAGAACTCCTACAACTCAATTGAAAAAAAAACAACAAATAACCTGATTTTAAAATGAGCAAAGGACTTGAATAGATATTTCTTCAAAGAAGATACACAATTGGCCACTAGGTATATGAAAAAGTGCTCAACATCACTAATCACCAGGGAAATGCAAATCAAAACCCAAATGAGATAGCATCTCACACCTGTTAGTGCGGCTATTATAAAAAAAAAAAGATAATGAGTGTTGGCAAGGATATAGAGAAATCAGAACTCTTGTATACTGTTAGTAGGAATGTAAATCAGTACAGCATTATGGAAATCAGTATGGAGGTTCCTCAAAAAATTAAAAATAGAACTACCATATGATCCATCAATCCCACTTCTGGGTATTTATCCAAAGGAGTTGAAATCAGGATCTTGGAGAGATATCTGCACTCCTATGTTCATTACAGCATTATTCACAATAACCAAGATATAGAAACAACCTAAATGTCTATCAATAGATGAATGGAAAGAAATATACATACACACACACACACACACACACACACACACACACACACACCAGAATATTATTCAGCCTTAAAAAAGAAGGGAATCCTGCCATATGAAACAACGTGGATGGACCTGAAAGACATTATGCTAAATAAAATAAGCCAGTCACAGAAGGACAAATACTGCATGATCCCACTCACATGAGCTACCTAAAATAGTCAAACTAATAGAAACAGAATAGAATGATGTTGCCTGGGGCTGGGGGGAAGGGAGAAATAGCAAGTTGTTTAATGGGTATAAAGCTTCAGTAATTCAAGATGAATAAGTTCTAGAGATCTGAACAACAAAGTGCCTATAGTTAATAATATTGTATCGTACACTAAAAAATTTAAGAGAGTAGATCTCAAGTGTTCTTACCAACCCCCACCCAGCCCCCCGCTCCTGGCACACAAACATGGGAGCAGTGGGGAGCTTTTGGAGGTAACGGATATATTTATTACTTTGATTGTAGTGATGGTTTGACAGGTGTATGCATATGTTCAAACTCATCAAATGGTATATATTAAATGTGTGCATCTCATTATATATTAAGTACACCTCAATAAAGCTATTTTAAAAATAAAAGTACTAAAGAAAGTTTTCTTTAAATAACTTCAATCCTCTAGTTTATTTCCATAATGGTACCTTACATGTAGTGGCATCCACATGTTGATTAACCTGACTGATTGATGTTTGTTTCATGAATAGCTGTACTTTATACTAATAAGAAGCCCTTGGAATGAGCACAGGTCAGTGATTTGGATTTTCTTGTGTACTTCTGTCTTTGTTAATATAAGAGGCAAAGTATTCATTCTAGCTTTGTAATCTACTTTTTCTAAGCAAAGTTGTCTAATAAAGATTTCATCAGTTTTTTATTTGAACTAAATCTAAATCCAGGCCTAAGCCTAGTTTTTTGTTTTGTTTTGTTTTGTTTTGTTTCGTTTTTGAGATAGAGTCTCACTCTGTAGCCCAGGCTGGAGTGCAGTGGCGCGATCTCGGCTCACTGCAAGCTCCGCCCCCTGGGTTCACACCATTCTCCCACCTCAGCCTCCCCAGTAGCTGGGAGACAAATGGTACATATCTTTTTTTCAGGTTCACAGGCTGTCTGCTTCAGCAAAATAATATACAGAATTGTGAGCCATGAAGTCTTCTTTCCTCACATTTCAGATCACTTTTTCATTACCTCTTTGCTAACTCGTCTCCTCATTCCACATATTTATTTATAATCCACTTTATTCTAAGTAGGTTATAGAATTAATTCTTAAGTCTCTCACTATCTTACTTAATTCTTTCTCTGTGTACACCTTTTTACCTTTTAAAGTGTTCTGTTAACATTTTTTAACCAACTCAATGCTAAATATCATAGACCCACAGCATCAGCTGGGAATGCTGCATCTGAAAGCTCAAGCAAAAAGGAATTTGGTGACTAGAGTGCTTTCCCTCACTGATACTAAAACCAGAGACGGAAAAGAAAGATGGGGATTGTATGAAGCTCTCTTTCTTCTCCTTTTCCCTCTTATCTTTATTCTTTTTTCCTGAGGATGGTGTGTGTGTGTGTGTGTGTGTGTGTAGGGAAAGAGAAAGAAGAGGAGAAAGAGGGAGAGAGGAAGAGAAAAGGAAAGCAGGAGTTGGATAATATTAATAATTGCTAAAATGTATACAGCTATCATTTAATTGGAAACAAAAATACATAAGAGACAGGCAGGGTTGAAATAGGACAGGGATGAGTAGGTCTTTTGGATTAAGGAAAGAGTTGAATCACAGAATCCAAGATTGCAGTATTCTAAATTAGTCCACATATATGTATTTCTTCAGGGTTTCATTTACAGCCTACCAGTAACGCTGAGTAGCACGCCCACTGCATTTCCACATGAGTAAGGCTGATTTTTGGCACAGCCCCTTCTGTCTCTTCCCTCTTTCTGGCCTCCTGTTCTCTAACTTGTAGACACCCAGCATGCTCACACTAACTCCAGCTTTCCAAAACCTTTTGGTACTCTCTGTCCTCCCTTTTTCTTCTTTCCAGCCCCAAATCAATTCTTATTCCCAGACTGTGCAAGTAGGTGTTTGGCCTGGTTATCTAATTTAAATACTCAAATGAATCCATTTCCATTCAACAGGTATACTTTAAAGGATGAGGTTGTTCACTGTAGTGGGTCTCCCTGCGTATTTTCTGGTTCTTGGTTAAGTGGCTTTTCATCAGATTCCCAAAGGAACCCACCCCCAGAACAATTAAAATACAATCATCTGGCTGGGCGCGGTGGCTCACGCCTGTAATCTCACCACTTTGGGAGGCCAAGGCGGGCAGATCACAAGGTCAGGAGATCGAAACCATCTTGGCCAACATGGTGAAACCCCGTCTGTAGTAAAATACAAAAAATTAGCCAGGCATGGTGCTACGTGCCTGTAATCCCAGCTACTTGGGAGGCTGAGGCAGGGGAATCGCTTGAACCCAGGAGGCAGAGGTTGCAGTGAGCTGAGATCATGCCACTGCACTCCAGCCTGGCGACAGAGCAAGACTCCACCTCAAAAAAAAAAAAAAATACAATCATCTAAGTGGCAAAATGCACATGGGAACTATTTTTGAACTGGTATACATATGTAGGTTCCTAGCCTAATTAGAATACCTCTCACTAGTTAGAGGACCACTCATACACCACTCCCATCAATTCAGAAATCTGATCAGCCTTACAGCTTTCCCCCATTTCTCCCCTCACTTTTGCAAACAACATACCTCATGGTAGAATAAGGTATTGCTTGGGGAGAGTGAAAAGCAGAAGCACAGGGAGCAGTGGAGGGCCCAAAAGCCATCTTGCACTAAAAAATATATATATATAAATTTTAAAATAAAATAATACACAATATATTAATTTTCATTAAAAAATTAAAACTACAGAAAAGTTGCAAGAACAGTACAACGATCTACCACATACCCTTTTACCTACCTTTTACCTATTTTATCAATTTAAAACTTTGCCACATTTGCCTTATCTATCTGTGCTAAACTACTTGACAGTAAGTTGCATATATCAAAAGGTTTTTTTTTGTTGTTTTTTGTTAGAGTCTCACTCTGTCACCCAGGCTAGAGTGCAGTGGTATGATCTTGGCTCACTGCAACCTCCGCCTCCCAGGTTCAAGCGATTCTCCCACCTCAGCCTCCAGAGTAGCTAGGATTACAGGCGCACCACCACCCAGGCTGGTCTTGAACTCCTGACCTCAAGTGATATGCCCACCTCGGCCTGCCAAAGTGTTGGGATTACAGGTGTGAGCCACCACGCCCGGCCAAAAATTTTATACCTAATTGTTTAGTGTGTATCTCCTAATAACGGATACTCTCTCTTATAATCACAGTACAATTATAAAATTCAAGAAGTTTAACACTGAAACAGTATCTTATCTAATATGTAATCCATATTCAAATTTCAGTAGTTGTTCTGAAATATTCCTTTATAGCATGTTTTTTCAAGACCACATGTTGCCTTTAGTGCCATGCCTTTTTAAATCCCTTAAATCTAGAATGGTTCCTCAGCCTTTCTTTGACTTTCATGACACTGATGTTTTTTAAGGATACAGGTCAGTTGTTGAGTAGAATGTTTCTTAGTTTGCATCTTTCTGATGTTTCTAGATCATAATATGCATTTTTGACAGGAATACTACTTAAGAGATATTGTAACCTCAGTGCCTCACATCTGGAGGCACATCATGTCATTTTATCACATAATTGGTGACATTAACTTTGATCATTTGGTTAGGGTAGTGTCGGTCAGATTTCTCCACTGTAGAGGTACCCTTGTTAACCCTTTATCATGAATAAGAAATCCAAAGACTGTGCAAATATCTTGTTCCCCAGCCAAATTTTATTCAATGATTTTAACATCTATTGATAATTGTCTGAATCCATTATTACTGTAATGGCTGCCAAATGATTTGCTAATTGTCATTTCTTCTAACATATATTAGTTGGCATTCCACCGTCATTTCACTTCTCCCCTCTTTATTTTTCTGTTTAAAAGTAAGTATGCTCTACGATTCTTTTAAAAAATTCAATGTGTTAGAATCAATTTCTATATTTATTTATTTATTTATTTATTTACTGAGACAGAGTCTCGCTCTGTCGCCCAGGCTGGAGTGCAGTGGCACGATCTCGGCTCACTGCAACCTCTGCTTCCCTGGTTCAAGCAATTCTCCCTGCCTCAGCCTCCCGAGTAGCTGGGATTATAGGCGCCCACTACCACGCCCGGCTAATTTTTGCATTTTTAGTAGAGATGGGGTTTCACACAGGCTAGTCTTGAACTCCTGACCTCAGGTGATCCACCCGCCTCAGCCTCCCAAAGTGCTGGGATTACAGGCGTAAGCCACTAAGCCCGGCCCATTATTTATTCCTGATACTCAAACTGTCTCAGATTTGGTAAGGGGGGAGCACCTTCGAGCCATCTGCTTTCTTTTGACATATCTTCCTTGACATAGCCAAGAAATCTCCTTGCTTTAAGGAGCAGGATCTTTCAAGGGCATTTTATACTTTCCCTGTCTCTGCCCTCGAATGAGCCATCTCGCCACGGAGTCTGGCTCCTTTAGGTGGAGAATGGTATTTAGAAACCAAGATATAAAGGCATATGATACATCTCAAAATAGTGAGGTGTCACTGTCCCTGTTTCCTTGAGTCACATTTGGAAGCGTGGTGTGATTTATAATCCTACCTCGACTATTGCCTGTGTGACCTAGGCAATTCCCTTTATTCCTTGAGGTCTTCTTCGTCCTTTGGGGAAAAAAATTGGATTAGAGAAATATTTCTAAACTTTTTCAGAGTCACCAACGCGTTTGGGAATCTGACAGAAGCTACGGGTCCATCTCCCCAGAGACATGCTCACATAAGCAAAAACTGGCCTGTGTTTTAGGGGGTTCCAAACTCTGAAGCTCACATGAGGCTCCAAATCTCTGGATTAAGTGATCTCCAAGATCTCTTCAGCGCTGACATTGACATTCTGTGAGTCTATAAGCGACTGCACTGCTGTCAGAATGACTCCTCGGAGACATCAAAACGTGGAGGGTTTTATTATATATAGCAACGAGAAGAGAAAAGGACACAAAGAAAGGAGCCTGTGAGCAACGCATTGCTCAGCCACAGTTCTTTGCCGGTGCCAAATTTAGGACGCGCTGTACTTGTAGGTGAGAGGTTTTGGCGGGAAGGACCCCGGGTGGGCGGAGAACGCCGGGGCGGGGAAGGAGATCGCAGGCCGCATCCAGGTCTCTGCACCCCTCCGCACGGTCCGCCAGGGCTCGCTCTTGCCCTTCGCCTGGAAGGCCGAGGAACGGAGCGGGCCGAGCAGCGACCCCGCCCCTGGCAGCGGTGAGGCGGAGGGGCGAGGGGAGGGCGTCTGAGCCCGGAAGGAGCGCGCCGGCCAGGCTCGCGCCCCTCCCCGTGCGCCGTCCCCCACTCTCCAGCAGCCGACGTCGGCGGTGCTTCGGTCGCCATGGTGACCAATCCAGGCTCGGGCCCGCCCCCGCCCCCCTGCCCCGGCCCCCTGACGTCGGCGCACGTCAGCGGCGGCGCGCGCCTGGCTGGGCCCTGGGGAGCGGGAGGGAAGGAGCGAAGGAGCGAAGGAGCAAGCGGAGCGGCCGTCGCCCAAGCCAAGCCGCGCTGCCAACCCTCCCGCCCGCCCGCGCTCCTGTCCGCCGTGTCTAGCAGCGGGGCCCAGCATGGTCATGGCGGATGGCCCGAGGCACTTGCAGCGCGGGCCGGTCCGGGTGGGGTTCTACGACATCGAGGGCACGCTGGGCAAGGGCAACTTCGCTGTGGTGAAGCTGGGGCGGCACCGGATCACCAAGACGGAGGTGCGGCCCGGGGCTCGGCGGGAGCGTCCGAGGCGAGGGTTCGGGAGAGGAGCTGCTTACCGAGAGGGGCGGCCGCAGTGGTGGGACCGGGGAGACCCGAGAGGCCGCCTCACTGGCGGAGGCGAGCGGGCCTGGGACTGTGAGGACCCAGGAGGTGCAGGGGGTCGGTGAGCAGCGAAGGGATCGGGCCCGGGCACCCGGACCCGAGTGTCGTCCGACTGGAAACGCAACCAGCCGGGGCTTTGCTTTCCCCTACGCCACCCCCGGTGGCCACCCGGAATTTCGCCCAGAGCCCCCCACCCGGGCCGTGACCTGGTCTGTGGCCTCCGCTCCGGAGCCCAAGTTCCGCGTCTTCCCTGCTTTCGGCTGGGGGTGGGGTGGGAGGGGAAGTCTCGGTGTTCCCAGGCTGCGCCGTGAGAGACGTCGCCGGCCCGAGGAGGGGACCGCCTGCGCTTGGGCTCCGCGGATGGGGGATCGTGCGGCCCCCGTGACCCCGGCGCCCCTCCCCTGCCCGACGAGGAAGGGCCCCATGGCTGGGAATACCCCCACGGCCACTGTCCATCTCCTCTCCTTCCTTTTGGCCCAGGGTGTCTCTGATTTGGTGTCTGGCTAGCTTGATCTCTTGCCTGGGGCATTTCCATTTAATGCCCCAGACAATAGAACTGGTTAAAATGGTCATCTCTGCATTTGCACGGTGGGTGGATTGGTCTTCTACTTGTCTAGGGTTGTCACTGTACCAGGTGTGCATTCTGGCTGTAATACGCATTCTTTAAACCATATCAGATTCTGCCTCTACTCATAAAGCCCTCAACTGCTTCCTGACGGTGAATCCTGCACCCTCTTCATTGCACATTCTAATGCACCGCACATACTCTCTCACAAGTCTCTGTTCTTACCTAACCCGCCCCCCTTCCTTCCACTGCCTCAAGCTGCTCTCCTCAGGGTCTCTATTTTAAGACGTGCAAATTAAATACCTTAGAAGAACGGTAGAAACAAAACCATTCTTTAGAATAAAACCTAGTGGTTTTGACGTACTCTACTCTGCCTTATTGTAGTTCCTCCTGGAGTTTCATCCTTTTCCTGTTTGTTTGCCCTCCAGTTTTGGTCCTATTCTGCTTTTTCCCTTGTTAGTACGAATGTACTGGAGTTTGAGTGTAGAATAAAGTAGGACTTCTTTTCAGAATGACTTATGTAAGGCGAAGGGCACTTGCAAACGTGAGTGATTTTTGGAGTTGCAGTTGTACTTAGAAGTTTTGCTTAATCCCGTTTCCAAAAGGAAGGGGTATATGTCATTCTGTCTTCTTTACTTTTTGCCTTCCCCTGCTGGTCCTGAACCAGTCCAAATCTGACTTATCTTTTAGAATCAGGACCAAGGTCAGATATTTTCTTCTCACAGATTTACCAGTTAGCAATTTAGATTGTTTGTAATGATAATGATAACTTGACTATAGTGATATTGTTAAATCTTAATCTGATCCCAGCATTTTTTAAAATGAAGAAATTGGTTCCATTCCTCTGAAGAGCCATGGCCTATGCCATGCCATTTCCCTTTAAGTTACATAAAAGAAGGCATTTTAAATGCATGTTTTATGAGTCCTTGCTTAATGACTTTCTAAAAACAAACAAATTGTGAGTTATAGAGAGGTTCTACAAAACTTTTGAACTGTAGTATATCGTGTGGTTGAATTCCAAATCCATCAGTTCTTAATATTTTTTTCTCATCAGCTCTTACTGGGATTAATAGCAAGATTTAATTAAGTCATCTATTATTTATCAGGTCAAATTTAGTTAATACAGTAAGAGCTGCTTAAGTGGAGTGATTGACACTTTGAGGTTGACAATTCAAATGGTGTCCGTTTTAAACTAATATATCTTAAAGAGCTAGGGGGCACTATGGAGTAATACCGTGGTTTGGCTATCAGAGTGAGATCAATGCATTCATTTGTAATTGGAACAAGCACCGGTCAGATCGTGAAAGAGGACTTAGATCCTAAATCGTGTGTGTAGTATATATGTGTAAAATGATTTACGTTAAAAGCTAAATGTTTAGTCCGCAGAACCCATTTCCCTGTGCTTTTCTAAAGAAGCTGTTATTAACATATAAAAAGAAATAGTGTGAATTTGAGATGGGTGAGGGTATCTGTGGTAATTTGGTGGGTGTGATTGGAGATATTAAGGTAGAGAGGGATAAGTGAAATGTCAAAGCAATCTTTGAACAGAAAAGTTCTCTGGATCTCTAGGTTGTAAAGTTGCTCTGAATTTTTTTTTTTTTTTTTTGAGACGGAGCCTCGCTCTTGTTGCCCAGGCTGGCTGGAGTGCAGTGGTGCGATCTCGGCTCACTGCAACCTCTGCCTCCTGGGTTCGAGCGATTCTCCTGCCTCACCCTCCCAAGTAGCTGGGATTACAGGCGCTCACCACCATGCCCGGCTAATTTGTGTGTTTTTAGTAGAGACGGGGTTTCACAGTGTTGGCCAGGCTGGTTTCGAACTCCTGACCTCAAGTGATCCACACGCCTTGGCCCCACAAAGTGCTGGGATTACAGGCGTGAGCCACCGCGCCTGGCCCAATTGTTTCTTAAAGTATTCCATGGGAGTAACAATTCCATTGTTAATGATGTTTTTTACAGCAGTTATTTATCCTTATTCGTTCATTCACTGGATAAATGTTTGTGTGTTTTTGATAAATACAACTACCTTAAAAACTATAAGATGTTTAATTAAAACTTTTGTTTTAAATTCAGTTTTCATGGCAGAACATACTACAGTAGTTATAGTGGAACAATGAATATGGTATAAAAATAATATCAGCAAAATATCACAATTATACTTATTGACGATAAAAGTTTCTTTATATACTATGCTTTAACATCGATACAAGTTTGTGTGTTTTAAAACTTAGAGGTCTTTTTTCCCAAGTTTGACTCTGAGGCAAATTTTAGGGCTTAATCATCTATGTAATGAGCAATTAGGACCCTTTTATTTTTAACTGGTTCTTCTCTGTCTCTTGTTCTATATCACTCACAAATGATGTATTTCTACAGAACTTGGGAGATTCAAGTCTGTTTCCCTTTTAGGAAAAAAATAGTGGACAAAAGAGATCTTCGTTTTGGTCGAATCTATCAAACAGTTTAACATTGTTTATGAAATATAATTACATCATCATCTGAAGTGGTATTGTGTTAGATCTCGATGTGAATTTTGCATCCAAAGGGGAAGACAGGTGGTGGTAGAATCCAGCTTCCTAATACGCTTTGCAAAGGCTTTGTAGTATTAGTTTGTGGTTTATGAATTAGAGATGCTAATTTTATAAAATTAGCATAATGGGAAAAGAATAATAGCATGTCAGCTGTTAAACTTTGAGGCAATAGTGGTTGCTTGTTTGCTATTCAGTGAGTGTCCTTGAGTAGTTTATTTTATCAATACTATACAGTATTAGGAAATAACTTTTTCCTTCTAGTTAGTGGTATAGCTAGTTTTTTGTCTCTTAAGTAAAATTCTAGAAAAGCCAATTGTATCCTTAAATGTTTTTGTATTCTATTTAAGAAACAGTTTCTTTCTTGTTGCTTTCAGGACAAAAGAAAGAAAAATAAATAAAGAAGTAGTCTCTTATTATAATATAAAAAATAAGAGTATAGTGAACAAAAAAGTATACATATAATTCCTCCACTAATGGGAATAACCCATTCTTAACATTATGGCACTAGTCTTTTTATTTAAATGCATTTTTTCCATAGATGAAAGCACATGGTACATATATATAAATTATGTTCTTTTTTCTACTTAATATTATAACCTAGGCGTTTTGTTTATTATATATAACTTTATAAAAACATTTTTGTTAGCTGCATGGTGTTCTACCTTGTGGATGAATATCGTTTTACCTAACAATTCCCTTATTAATGAATATTATGCAATTTTCAGTTTTTGTTTATAGTAAATAATACGCAGTGAATATTTTTGTGCCTATAACTGAGTGTGCATTTTACATTTTTTTTAGGGAGGAGAAATTGCTGGTAAAGTCCTAAAAGGAAATTTCCTAAGTAACAAGGTATTATTTTTACATTAAAGAGTAGTGTATTTTTATTACCAAATCTGTCGTGTTTATTATTGAGAAATTTAAAAGTATAAATAGGAGGCCAGGCTAGATGGCTGACACCTGTAATCCCAGCACAGTGGGAGGCCAATGCAGATGGGTTGCTTGAGGCCAGGAGTTGGAGACCAGCCTGGTCAATATAGCAAGACCCAGTCTCATTAAAAAGAAAAAAAAAAAAACTTATAAATAAATGAAAAGAATTCCCCATAAAATCACAACCCCAAAGATAACCATAACTAGTTATTTTCAGACCTTTTCTATAATAGATAACTTGAGTTTTCCTCAACACCATATACCTCTCATATTGCTTAGCTAAAGAGCATGTAAATGTATAGTCTGTGGAATCATAAAGATATTTCATAGAGGTTCTAAAAATGACCTTATTAAAATGGCATGTGGGTGTCAGGCTGCTTACTTACCCTTAAGAGAACTTGGAATGCAAAACTGATAACAAGGACATTTTGAAAACTGTATTTGTTTGCTAAAAAGCTTTCCATGTGCATTTTGGGGATTTTATAGTTAGGCCTAATTCTTTACCACCTTAAAATGTAAGATTTTTAAAAGGTTTTCAGAATTGTTAAGGTATTAAAATTGCATTTTTATAGCAAAGTCAGAAACAAGAGAAAGGCATATTACACCCTGATTATGATGTTTCTTGAAGAGAACTCATTTTAAAAATACATTTGAATTTTCTATTTTGCTTTAAAATTTTAAGACTCCTTTCAGTAGTCTTGGTATTAATCTTGTACTGTGAAATATTCCAGATTTCAAGAAGCAACTGTACTATGTGCAACAGAAGGACTTGTTACCAAATAACTCAATCGCTAATATTTGTATCTAGTCTTATGTATGATCTTTAATTTTGTATTGAAATAAAATTGTATTTGTCATGGAATATATATACTTTCATAGAATTTTTCTGTAGTTTTTGGCACCCCAGACAAATAGTATTTGTCAAAGTATTCTGCTAACTATTGTTCAAAATGATCTGCTCTTTTTTGGGAGTGGGAACAAACATGCAAAATAAGAGTTGTGTAAATGTTTATATTCTGTAGAAATTTTAACTTTAACAGAGTTTAATGTGTTCTGATTTTAAACCCTCTGGGAAATACTATCTCAGTACCAGTCAATTAAGAAAACAATTATTTGGAAATAACTGAAACTGGCCTATCTTCTTGGATTCACATGATGACATTTGATTTATGACCCACTGCTGATGGCAGATTCATTTCCTTGGAGGCAAATGGGTTCCAGAATTCATTAGGATATCGTTCTTTCCGCTTTAATGTACCTAGTACCTCTTCTACCTTCCACCTCCATCTTTTCGAAATAAATTATATAAAACTTTCTTTATTCAGAACATTGGTGTAGAATACTTTCCCATCCTTCACAGAGAAATAGCCTATATATCCATTTTGAGATATTAGAAGATCGAAAGATAAACTTGGAAATTCCATCAGAAACTTCATTTTAAAAAAATTTTTAAATACTTTAAACAGATTAAGAGATGAATATTGGATGAATTAAACTGAGAAACAATACTAAAATTTATTTTAAGTTCTTCTTGAAAGTAAACATAGTATTGATATGGTTTCCCCCAGTTATAGAAGTCAATGCATCTTCATTGTAAACATTGTTGAAAAGCCCAAAGAAGAAGATTAACATCCTTACTTCCACTCTCCAGACCCAGAGATAATGCCTGTTAATATTTGGTTCATCTTCTTCTAGTTATTCACATATATTTTATATGTATGTAATAAAATTGATGTCATGTATGCATATAATCTGTGTTTTTTACTTAACATGTTGTTAACATTTCCGTAAGTTTGAAAACTATGTAAAGCATAGTTAAATAGTATTTGTGCATTTGACTATCCATATTTTATTTAATCAATTTCCTATTACTGAACATTTAGTCTATTTCCATCTTCCTGTCTCTCTTTCTAAAATAATGTTTCAGAGGGCATCCCTCTACATACATCTTTGTGCATGTATCTAATTATTTCCTCAGTGTAATTGCCTAGCAATGGAATTCTTGGGTCAAGGAGTATGTACATTACCTATCTTACGGTGTAGGATGCCAAATTACCCTCCAGAAAAGGAGTACCCGTTAATTTTCACCAGGAAGAACTCATATTTTGCAGGAATATTATTTTCTAAATCTCTGCCAACTTGATAGCAGAAAATAATATTCTTCATTACTTTTAAATTTTTTTCTATTTTTATTTTTAATTAACAAATACATGTTTACATTTTGTTACTTCAATTTGCATTTCTTTAATTACTTTGTACAGTTTTATATGATGATGATTTGCATTCCTTTTATAAATTTTTTTGTCCTTTGACCCATTTAATTGCATTGTCTTTTTTGTTGATTTGTTTAAATACTTTTTAAGATAGGGGATTATTTTTAATCACTTCTTTAATCATCTTAAAAATTCTCAGTTTAATTTTTGTGAGTATATAACTATCGGACCATTTACCTTTTCCCCCAATCTGTTTTTCCTACCCACTATTATAAAAGTCAAATCAATTTTTTTTTTGGGGGGGGGACAGGGTCTCACTCTGTCACCCAGGCTGGAGTACAGTTGCGAGATTACACCTCACTGCAGCCTCCACCTCCCAGGCTCAAGTGATCTTCCCACTTCAGCCTTCCAAGTAGCTGGAACTACAGGTGCACACCACCATGCCTGGCTAATTTTTAAATTTTTTGTAAAGACAAGGTTTTGCCATGTTGCCCAAGCTGTTCTTGAACTCCTTGGCTCAAACAGCCCTCCCACCTTGGCCTCCCAAAGTGCTGGGATTACAGGCATAAGCCACCATACCCAGCCTTCAAATTAAATCCTAATGAGAATTTATTATTTGAATAATTTTAAAAGCCAAATTTACATTGGAAAAAAGTCTCCTTTTTATTTATTCTGAGAGGGTAACTAGAGAATTCTCTATTTTACTACTGACTTTTACTGCTTTCAGAAAGTCTTTCATTATAGACCACTCAATCACACTTGCTTTTCAATCAAATGATAGGCTAGTAGGTTGTAATTCCACCAATGATTTGTTGTATAAGCTGAAAGTTGTATTTATTTTTTAATTTCAAAGGTCTAATGTATGGTATGATAGAGCTAATGTTACTTGGTACTTCAGAAGGACAGTGTAGAATTAGTATATTAGTAATAGGACTGGAGTAAATATTATCTAAGACAAGAAACACATGTTAATCCCTTGTAATTTGTTATTAGAAGAATAGCTCTTATTTGTAACTTCTTTATAAAATCTCCAAAAGCTACTTTTTTTGGCTTTAATCTGTGGATTTATAGAACCCAAAAGCAACTTTTGTATATGTGGTTTCTTTAAATGAGATTAGTATTTCTTTTATGAGAAGTTAATTTGTTTTTCTAAAATCAAAGAGACAGGATAGGCCAGGCATGGTAGCTCACGCCTGTAATCCCAGCACTTTGGGGGGCCGAGGCGGGTGGATTGCTTGAGGTGACGAGTTTGAGACCAGCCTGGCCAACATGGTGAAACCCCATCTCTACTAAAAATACAGAAATTAGCCTGGCGTGGTGGTGCATGCCTGTAATCCCAGCTACTTGGGAGGCTGAGGCAGGAGAATCACTTTGAACCCTGGAGGCAGAGGTTGCACTGAGCTGAGATCGCACCACTGCACTCCAGCAGTGACAGAGCAAGACTCTGTCTAAAAAAAAAAAAAAAAAGATAACAAACAGTTTGAAAAATGAAAAAATTCCATTTATTCATCAGTTTAACACTTTTTACATTTCTGCTCTTACATTTAATTCTTTGTCCTCCTGTATAAAATTTGTATTTTACATAGTTGTTACTTTCATAGTGTTTTTTAAAATTTCACATTGTTAGAAACATTTCTGTATATATGGTCTTCTTAATATTTAAATCATAAAATAATATAGCCATTTTCTAAAGAATTTTGAAAATGAGAAAATGAAAACTAATATATCTCAGAGAATTAGTATATGATAAATAACTGTCATTGTTCTGGGTTTTTTCTTATTAGAAAAATAATACATGTTCACTGAAGAAAAATTGCACAGAAAAGTACAAAGCAGTTTTTTGTCATCTTTTTCTACTCATACCTTATGCTGAGACTGCACTGATATCTCAGTTTTCTAATACTCTATTGATTATATGTACACATAAGGCTGGGTGAGGTGGCTCACACCAGTAATCCCATACTTTTTGGAGGCCAAGGCAAGAGGATTACTTGAGCCTAGGAGTTTGAGACCAGCCTGGGCAACATGGTGAAACCCACTCTCGACCAAATGTGTGTGTGTGTGTGTGTGTGTGTGTGTGTGCACACCTGTAGTCCCAGCTTCTTGGGAGGCTGAGGTGGGAGGATCATTTGAGCCTGGGAGGCAGAGGTTGCAGTGAGCTGAGATCGCGCCAGTGCACTCCAGCCCAGGCAACAGAGTGAGACCCTGTCTCAAAAAAAAAAAAAACTACACATAAATCTTTGTCCTCATTTCAGATTATTTCCTTCAAATAACTTCTCAGAAGAGTCCTTAAGCTACATGGAATGGATGATTTTTAAGGTTCATAATAAAGACTACTAAATTGCTTCCCAGAAAAATTATAATCTATTTTATATTCCTACTAACTATCTGAAACAAACATCTCACTGAACTTTAGCTGACCAGGTTATTTATTTTTTAATCTTTATAAATATAATAAGTGAAAATGGTATTTTGTTTTTAATTCATATTTCCCTGAGTATTTTGAAGTTGAATATTCAATGTTGCTACTTTATGTGGGATTTAGTTTGATAGTAATCATTCTAGTTTGTCCTAATGTTCTTCAGTTTATACAGGAAACCTTTATTCAGTCCTTTAGTAGAAGGAGTATTCATTTTTCTGTCATATAAATTTATTGAAAGTTTTTTTAAGATAATGTATATATAATGATTAGAGAGTTGAATAGATGAACACCACCAAAAAAGGGGATCTTTCCATTCGTGGAGTTCCTTTCTTGACCTACTTTCTTGTTACCATGCAGATTTTGTCTCTTATACTATGTTGAGAACTAAATAAGAGAAGGGATATAGAGAGGAAGTTCCCAGAAATCTAAGTTCATTCTAATCCTTAAAAGGAACTATTGGAACACAACCCTTTTGCAAATTAAGGACTTTCAGTGCACCTTTGGGGAAATCCCCAAATACTTTTTTTTTTGTTGGTAAAATGTGTTCATCTTCTTCTTACATACCTATTAAATTGTTGAGGGTAGGAATCAAATCTCATTCATTTTTATATCCCAGGCATAATTCCTGGCACACAACAGATGCTGTGTAATGTATTACTACAAGACCCTTTGAAATAGTGAAAAGATTAAAGTTGGAGTTAGAAGGCCTAGGGTTTTTCTTCCTTAATTCATTAGAGCTTTAAGACCTTTGTTGATTATGTGACATTATTTGAACCTCAGTTTCAACTCATGAGTGTACTGCTTGTTTCATTTACTTCACAGAATTGGGAAATAAATGAGATAAAATATGCTGAAGTATCTTTAAAAATGCTGTGCAGTTGTGAAAGTCATCACCATTGTTAGTATTATACATATTTCTGGGAAGTACTTGATAGAGAGCTCCATTGTTAAGAAATTACTTGGATGAGTTTGGCAGACTGCTAGCTGATCATTGAAAACTCTGCTGTTTCCTCTTCTTTCTGGGCCTACAGCTGGACTGTTTCTATGCCACCCTTGCATTTAGGTGTGGTCATATGCGGAGTTCTAACTAATGGAATGAACAGAAGTAATAGGCACCACTTCCAGCCCTGGCCCATAAAATCACCCATGAAGATCCCTCAGAGTTCTTTTTTCCTTCTGTCTAGCTGGAATGGAGACCGCCTTCAGGTTAACCTTGGAAGCCACACATTAAAGATATTAAAGCCTCTTTGAATTTCAAAAGTCTGCATTCATCTAGTTCTGCTACGTGAGCAAGAAATAAACTTCTGTTGAGTTTGAATCATAAGTTTTGGGGTGTATTTGGTAAAGCAGTTAGAGTTCCCATGTTACAAGGAACATGTTAACTCATGCTCTGCTTTTTCTTTAGAGAAGCATAATCCTCTCCTGTAATAGCCTTAGAAACAAGGGATAGCAATGGGATATATATATATATATATATATATATATATATTTATGATCATAGGATCATAGATGGATAAAGTCTGTGACCCAAGATAAAATTGAAGGGAGAATTATATCATTTGAGTTATTTTGTTAAGAAATGTTAAATGAGATTTATAATTTTTATTAAAATTTAATTAGATAACATTTTAAACTTTTTAATATATGTCATATATTTTTCACTTTTTCATTGTTGAGGCCAACATTCCAAAAGGGTATAAAAAAGGAGCTTTCTCTGGGTAATACCTTGCTTTAATTGATATTTAATATCTAAACTCTTTCATCCCATTAAATATGACACTCAAGATATTTACATTATAAAATTGTCTCATGATAGGAATCATGCTGGGTTTTTAAAAACCATAATCCCTTCTTTCCATCTTCTTCTATTAGATGGTTGTGACCCATCTCATTATAAAAGCTTTTTCCTGGGGGCAGGGGGTGCTGATATATAGACTCACTCCTGAAATTGTAGGGTAAGACATTTTCTTCAAAATATGCATGTCCGTGAAACTTGATGTGATCTTCCTAAGGAATATTGAGGATATTCAATTATACACTTATCCTTTTATCTGGCAGCTGTTACCCAAAGTTACCCAAAATAATGGATAATAATGGATTGTATCATACTCTTCATTGAGGGGGGTTTCTTTAAATGTATTTAGGTTTGAGGTGGTCCAATAATATTTCTAATAGCGAGTATATAATATTAATCGTTCTACTTGCCTAGCAGTCAAAGTTTTACTTTCTAGAATATTTTCATTACGGTAATAATTAAAACACCACCAAACATAATGAAAAGAGCTATCACAGAACCTATGTACTTTACTCCCTAGAAAAGAAGCTTTTATTCTTAGGCGATAAATTTAATTTTATACATTATGTTTAGTAATCGGATTTCCCCTGGGAAGCTTGCAGAGTTCTACAATTAATTCAAATCAGGAAACAACCTGTGGACAGCAAGTTAGAAATAGAGAAAGGTGAGAAGTAAAACTTACAGTAGAGCTTTAGGACATAACAGCAAAGGATAGAGCAGCCATAAAGAAAGAAGAAAAACATTACATTTGACCCTTGAACAAGGCAGAGGTTAGGGGAACTGACCCCCCTCGGGGGTCAGTTGAAAGTATAACTTTTTGACTCTCCCCCCATTTTTTTTTTTTTTTTGACAGAGTCTCGCTCTGTCGCCCAGACTGGAGCGCAGTGGCACGATCTTGGCTCATTGCAACCTCTGCCTCCCAGGTTCAAGCGATTCTCCTGCCTCAGTCTCCCAGGTCAACCTGGGATTACAGGCACCCACCACCATGCCTAGCTAATTTTTATGTTTTTAGTAGAGACAGCGTTTCACCATGTTGGCCAGGCTGGTCTGAAACTCCTGACCTCAAATGATCAGCCTGCCTCGGCCTTCCAAAGTGTTGGGATTACAGGCATGAGCCACAGCGCCCAGCCTGACTCCCCCAAAATTTAACTAATAGCCTACTGTTCACTGGAAGCCTTACCAATAACAGAAACAGTCCATTAACACATATTTTGTATGTTACATGCATTATATACTTTATTCTTATAATAAAGTAAACTAGGGAAAAGAAAATGTTAAGAAAATAACAAGGAAAATACATTTATTACTCATTAAGTGAAGTGGATCATAAAGGTCTCCATCCTCATTATCTTCACATTGAGTGGGCTGAGGAGGAGGAGAAAGAAGAGAAGTTGGTCTTGCTGTCTTAGTGGTGGAAGAAAATTTGTGTATCAGTGAACCCACACAGTTAAATCCCATGTTGTTCAGGGTTAACTGTAATTGTATGAACAGGAGACTGTGGGAATTATGTGAAATGGCAAGCTGAGTCCTATTTTATTGGATAGCTTTTGGAAGCATTGAGCTGTCATAGCATGTGCAATTGCTGATATTAAAAGTTATCCTCGGCTGGGCACAGTGGCTCACGCCTGAAATCCCAGCACTTTGGGAGGTCGAGGTGGGCGGATCACCTGAAGTGAGGAGTTCAAGACCAGCCTGGCCAACGTGGTGAAACCCCATCTCTACCAAAAATACAAAAATTAGCCAGACGTGGTGGCACACACCTGTAATCCCAGCTACTTGGGAAGCTGAGGCAGGAGAATCACTTGAACCCAGGAGGCGGAGGTTGCAGTGAGCCAAGATCGTGCCACTGCACTGTAGCCTAGGCCACAGAGGGAGACTCTGTATCAAATAAATAAATAAATAAAAGTTTTCCTGAGGCCAGGCATGGTGGCTCACACCTGTAATCCCAGCACTTTGGGAGGCTGAAAAGGGAGGATTGCTTGAGGCCAGGAATTCAAGGCCAGCCTGGTCAACATAATGAGACCCCATCTGCATTAAAAAAAAAAAAAAAAGAAGAAAAGTTACCCTGAAACAATAACATAAGGCTAAATTATGTTTAGAATACCCTTTGATATAACTTGAAGTACATTTTAGAGTTTTTTCAAAACTGATAATTAAATTGGGGTGATTCCCAATTATCTGAAAAATTTATTTAAATCAGAATGCTTTATTTTCCAACCAAATATCTACTAATTTTAATAAATTAGTTCTTTTTAATTGCATGAAAAAAATGTGTGTAATCATTGATTTCTGCCTACCTAGTCATTCACCTTCATATGTAATCCCTTCAAATTATTAACCTTGGAATTGTTTGGGCTCCTCTCTAGTTATAACAGAATGAAGTCACAGTTTCTGAAATAAAATTCCTTTTACAAAGTTAAATTTTAGTGCAGTTACTAACATTTTAGTTTTTGCACTTCAATTTTTAAAAGAAAGTCCAATTGTATTTTCTCATGTAATGAGTTTTAATATTTTATATTCAGCTTTTTGTCTGTATTCTTTGAAACTTATCACTTGCTTTTCTAGGAAAATAGTATTTCAGTGCAACAGAAGCTATCTTCCGAACTGTCTTCTACTTTGCTGATCATTTGTTTATAGGTACTTCACAGCAGGATAACTAGTTGATATAGCTACTAATTTAATCAAATAAAGATTTTATTTTTTCAGTTTGTACAGGAGAAAAAAGACATTACCATTGTACTGAAAGAGAAACATGTTTTCAAATTATTCTTCATAGCACACTAAAGACACTGCCAAACAACATCTACTGCCTTACACATGGTATTAGTTTAAGAAATATTTGTTGAATGAATGAACATTGAATTTAAACTGCTATCATCAGTGTCAGGAACCTACAGGTGAAGTCTCATGTCATTTATTGACAGGATTCTTAACTAGAAAATGTTAACTATTGTATACTAATTGTATTTATTTGTGTTCTGGGATGCAGGTGGCAATAAAAATAATCGATAAGTCTCAGCTGGATGCAGTGAACCTTGAGAAAATCTACCGAGAAGTACAAATAATGAAAATGTTAGACCACCCTCACATAATCAAACTTTATCAGGTATGACTCAGCCTAACACTATCTCCATTCATTCCACAAGATAGTTCTCTATTTCGTATCATGATTTTTCTTCTTATATTTGTTTTTCTAATCAATGAAAGAAAATAAATGTATGCTATTTGTTACTAAGTACACCATTTTTCTATATTGTCTTTAAACTTAAAAATCAGAAATCTTAAGTCATCTCTCAGACTGCAAGTTGTTTTAAAAGTTTGCAGTGTGGGCTCACACTTGTAATCCCAACAGTTTGGGAGGCTGAGCAGGGAAGATTACTTGAGTCCAGCCTGGGCAACATGGTGAAACCCCATCTCTACCAAAAAATATATATATACAAATATTAGCCTGGTGTGGTGGTGCACATCTGTAGTCCCAGCTACTTGGGAGGTTGAGGCAGGAGGATTGCTTGAGGTTGCAGTGAGCTATATCATACCACTACACTTTAGCCTGGGTGACAAAGTGAGACACTGTCTCTTAAAAAAAAAAAGAAGTTTACAATGTATGATACGCTGCTTTTTAACTGCAGAGTTTTGGTGCTACTGCCTAATAAGGATGTGGCAGTTTTGCTCATTTAAAAAGGATACTGTATGTTTTATGAAAATACAACCACTAAACTAGTATATTATTCAGTGACATACTTTGTCATACATAGGACTGTATTTATTTAATTATTTGGCTTATTTTAGTAGATAAAATAAATTTGCTTTTTTTAAAAAATCAACTTTGTTATAATAATTTTTGTAAAATAAATTGAACTCATTTTAAGTGTAAGCCATGGGGTTTTTTGTCATTGTTTTTCATTGTTTTTTATAGCTTTAGGGGGTACAGGTGCAATTTTGTTACCTGGCTATATTGCATAGTGGTGAAGTCTGGGCTTTTAGTGCACCCACCAACCAGCCATGGTTTTTAAAAGGAGTGTTTTTCTCAAATTTTTAACGAGTAATTCATGTTTAAGAAGGATAATATAGTACAAAATATTGAAAACAATTATTTCTTAACATGTAGAATTTTTCTGTTGAAAAGCTCTTTTTAAACTGAAATGTTCCATTATCCTGGCCCATGACTTTGATCTCCAGAGTGTGATGTGTATGCCCATGGTATGCTGGACTCCGCCTGTACCGGCTCGTTGAGAGCTGGTTGTTAAACTTTCAGAAGCTTTGCAAGCCAATTAACATGATGTTAGTAGCTCAAAATCTGCATTGGTAGGAAGATTTACATCACAGAAACTGGCTTACAAATCAGGACCTTTTTATTTTTTGTCAGAAAGCTGGTTTACTGGCACACCAGTATGTGCATTCAAATAGATTAGCACAAATGTGCTTGGGAGTATAAGAAGAAAATATCAGAACCTCTAGTTATGTTTATTTTTTATATTTGTTTTGTTGTGTATATTTTATAATGTACATAATATTTATACAATGGCACATGTATGCAATGTGTGTTTATATATACGTCACCATATGTGCCATGTGTGTTTGTGTATGTGTGTGTGTGTATATATATATACACACACACACACACACATATATTTGGCAACTTTATTTTTAATGGATTCCCATAGGAATCATGTTTATTGTATTTTATTTTTTTTAGAGAGAGGGTCTCACTGTTGTTGCCCAGACTGGCCTTGAACTCCTGGGCTCAAAGGATCCTCCCGCTTCAGCTAGGACTACAAGTGCATGACAGTGTGTTTGGCTCTAAACCAGTGGTGCCCAACTTTTTTGGCACCAGGGACCAGTTTCGTGGAAGGCAATTATTCTACCTCAGCATTAGATTCTCATAAGGAGTGTGAATCCTAGATCCCTCACATGTACAGTTCACAATAGGGTTCCTACTCCTATGAGAATTTAATGCCACTGCTGATCTGATGGGAGGTGGAGCTCAGGTGGTAATGGGAGCAATGGGGAGCCGCTGTAAATACAGATGAAGCTTCACTGTGTGGCCCGTTTCCTAACAGGCCACGGACTGCACCAGTCTGTGACCCGGCGGTTAGGAACCCCTGCTTTAAACAACTTTTATTGATAGAGATTTTCAATGTAAAAAATGTGAAGACCATTGGCTTATGATATGCCTCCTGAGAATGAGAGACTATGATGTGTCACTCAAAGCATTTCCTAAAAATACTAAAACTACAGAGGCCTCTTAGATCAAATTTATATCAGATTAGCCCAGTGCAGTGACATGTAGTCCCAGCTACTGGGGAGGCTGAAGCAGGAGGGTCTCTTGAGCCAAGGAGTTCCAGGCTGTAGTACACCTTAATTGCACCTGTGAATAGCCACTGTACTTTAGCCTGGATAACACAGAGATCCCATCTCTAAAAATAAATAATTAATTAATTAATTCAGATTACTTCTCCCTTTAAACTTAAAAAAAATTATTAATTTTTTTTTAAAAGAAAACGTCTTGCTCTGTCACCCAGCGTGGGGTGCAGTGGCACAATCATAGCTCACTGCAGCTTCAAACTCATGGACTCAAGTGATCTTCCTGCCTCAACCCCTCCCCAAGTAGCTGGGACTACAAGCACATGCCACTATACCTGGCTCATTTTTTAATATTTTTTGCAGAGACAGGATCTCACTATGTTGCCCAGGCTGTTCTCAAACTTCTGGGCTCAAGTGAGCCTCCCACGTTGGCCTCTCAAAGTGCTGGGATTACAGGAATGAGCCACCCATGCCTAGCCATTGTTTTTTTAATTCCTGAAGAAGATACTTCTAAGAAACTAATTATATTCTTCAAAGTCTCTGATTAACCATAAACTAGACCGAGGATAAAACTAACATAATTTGCATATTAATTCTATCTATTTGAGGTAAATAATTGGTTACAGTTGATTTACTGATTTGTTTAGGCCCAAACTGTAGGTAGCTTTTAGTTTTCTGACCTCGTGGAGAATAGTCTTAAACCTACATCTTAGAACAAAATTAATTTTCTTCCTTTCAGTAGATAGCAGTTAAGAGTATTACAGATAAACACTCTAAAAATTGTTCATCTTGAATCTAAACACTCATTTTCTTTTTATTCTATTTGTATTTATTTTTATATATTTATTTTTTTTGAGACATAGTTTTCATCTGTCGCCCAGATACAAGCAGCTCTCCCACCTCAGCCTCCCAAGTAGCTGGGATCACAGGTGCACACCACCACACCTGGCTAATTTTTGTATTTTTTGGTAGAGACGGGGTTTTGCCATGTTGGCCAGGCTGGTGTCGAACTCCTGACCTCAAGTGATCTGCCCACCTTGACCTCCCAAAGAGCTGGGATTACAGGTGTGAGCCACCACACCCAGCCTCATTTTCTTTTTAAATAGACTTCTATTTAGTGTAGTTTGAAAAATCAGATGTATGACGATGACACACTTCATTCCGAATCTAGAAAAATGCATTTAAATAAAAGTATTTTACAGTAGAGCTATGAATATGAAACTTTTAAACAATTAGAGTACTTTGTAACAATATTAAAGTATAGTACAAGGAATATCACATTGTGCCAGATTAGCTAGGCTACCAACCAGGTAAACTAAAGTACTCTATTTTTTTATTCTTTTAATCGGAATCTACCATGATAACATAGGACTAGAAACGTCAGTGAGGAGATGTTGAAAAGTAGATCTTCAAAACTTATATTATCTATACTAGTACTTCTCAAACTTTAATGTACATAAAAATCACTTGGCAGTTTTGTTAAAATGTAAATTCCAATTCAGTATGTCTGGGATGGGGCCTGGAATTCTGCATTTCTTACAGGTGGTTGAATAGTGCTACTACTGCTGGTCCAAGGACCACACTTAGAAGAGCAAGGATCTCAATTTTTCACAAACACATTAATCAGAAGGATATTGTCAGGCTTATGAACTTAGCCATCTTCGGAATTGTTCATAACTGTGATTCTTTTATTAGTAGTTTCAATTTAGGTAACTCGATAGAATATTGTGGAAAATTCCAGTACATTTCTGTCAGACTAATATGGAATTATTTATCAATAGGTAATGGAGACCAAAAGTATGTTGTACCTTGTGACAGAATATGCCAAAAATGGAGAAATTTTTGGTAAGCTTTTTCCTTTAAATTTTCTATTAATTTGAAAAATTCACTAATCTGCATGAATGGGGTATTTTCTGTTAATTTTCTGCTTATTTAAGTGTTGGTAATATAAGTGAAAAAAAATTAAGTGTTAGAAAATATTCAGTAACCTAAAATATGAAATATAACTTATTTCCTTGTATTTATTATATTAAAGGTACTACTTCTGTCATCTCTATTAGAGACTGGAGAATCAAACATATGGAGGAACTTTTAGTCATATTGCAAAGGATATTTTCTTTCTTTTTATCTTCCTTTTTACCTTTCTTTTCTATGGAAAGATTAGTCAGCAAATATTTATTAAGCTTCTACTATGTCCCAGGCATTGTACTAGGTAATGGGGATACTCTAGTGACCTAAATAGCACAATCTCTGTTATTGTGGATCTTACAGTTTAGTAAAGTATTCACTATAGGGGTAAGACCTCAGGCAAATCACTAAACCTCTCTGGGACTTGATTCCTTTATCTCTAGTAAGAAAGTATTTGATTGGTGTTTATGATTCATTCGAACTTTAAAAAAAATTTAAATATTTTATTCTAGCTTTCACCTAAAATATCTGTTTATTTTTACTGTGTGGAACCAGAGCACTGTAGGTATCTAAATCTTTTTTGTTCTTAAAGTCCAAAATTGTTTTTTAAGCAGCTTTATTGAAGAATAATTCATATGTAGTAAATTACACGTATTTAATGCGTACAATTTAATGTTTTGATACACGTTTGTGAAACAGTCACCACAGTCAAAATATCCATCACTTCCAGAAGTTTCTTTGTGCCCTCTTTGTAACTCTTTTGCCCCATCTGACACCCAAAAAACCACTGACCTGTTTTTTGTCATTATGGATCAGTTTGTATCTTTTGGAGTTTTATATAAATGGAATTATACAGGATATACTCAAATGTAATCATACAGGATATATTCTTTTTTTGGTCTAGCTTCTTTCCTTTACTATAATTATTTTGGGATTCATCCCATTTTATTGTATATATCAACATATAATTTCTTTTTATTGCAAGTAGTATTATATTATATGAATATACCCCAGTTTGCTTATTCATTCATCTATCTATTGATAGACATTTGGGTTGGTTTCAGTTTTTGGCTATTATACATAAGTTACTATGTACATTCGTATACAAGTCTACACAGTCTACCTTCAGGTAATACTTACCACTTCGCATATAATATAAGAACCTTGGCTGGGCACAGTGGCTCACACCTGTAATCCCAGCACTTTTAGGAGGTCAAGGTGGGTGGATCACCTGAGGTCAGGAGTTCAAGACCAGCCTGGCCAACATGGTGAAACCCCTCCCTACTAAAAATACAAAAATTAGCTAGGTGTGGTAGTGCATGCCTGTAATCCCAGCTACTAGGCAGGCTGAGGCAGGAGAGTCACTTGAACTCGGAGGCGGAGGCTGCAGTGAGCCACGACCGCACCACTGTACTTTAGCCTGGGCAACAGAGTGAGATTTCATCTCAATTAAAAAAAAAAAACCTTACATCAGTGTACTTCTCTTTTGCCCCTCCTGGCCTTTATGTTCTTGTTGTCATATTTTACTTAAACGTATTTTATAAAACATAATACAGTGCTATTTTTCTTTAAACAATTATCTTTTAAAGAGATTTCCACATTTTTTGAAAATTATCTATCAGTGTAGCTACCTTTTTCTTTAAACAATTATCTTTTCAAGAGATTTCCATATTTTTTGAAAATTGCATCTATTTATCAATGCAGCTACCATTTCTGCATTCATATGTATGTATATATTTTTATCTAATGTCATTTTTCTTTTGTCTGAAGGATTTTCTTTTCTTTTTTTTTTTTTTTTTTTTTTTTTTGAGGCAGAGTCTTGCTCTGTCGCCCAGGCTGGAGTGCAGTGGCACGATCTCAGCTCACTGCAAGCTCCGCCTCCCAGGTTCACGCCATTCTCCTGCCTCAGCCTCCCAAATAACTGGTCCTACAGGCACCCACCACCACACCCGGCTAATTTTTTGTATTTTAGTAGAGACGGGGTTTCACCGTGTTAGCCAGGATGGTCTCGATCACCTGACATCGTGATCCGCCCGCCTCAGCCTCCCAAAGTGCTGGGATTACAGGCGTGAGCCACCGCACCCGGCGTCTGAAGGATTTTCTTTAGTGTTTCTTGTAGCACAGATCTGCTGGTGATGAAATATTTCAGCTTTTATATGTCTAAAGTAGTCTTTATTTTTGTCTTTGTTTTTGAAAGATATTTGTACTAGGTATAGAATTCTAAATGGACTTTTTTTCTTTCAGTACTTTAAATATGTTGCTTCACTGTCTTCCCATTTGCACTGTTTCTGACAAAAAAACCACTGTTATCTTTTTCTTTATTCCTGTGTATATAATGTGCCTTTTTTCTCTGGCTGCTTTTAAGGCTTTCTATTTACCACTGGTTTCAACAATTTCATTATGATGAGCCTTTGTGTGGTTTTCTTCATGATTCTTATGTTTGGTGTTCATTGAGCTTTTTGGATCTGTGACTATACTCTTTTCATCAAATTTGGATATTTTTCAGCCATTATTTTCTAACTAATTTTTCTCTTCCACCCCCTCTCTTCTCCTTCAGATATTCCAGTCAAATGTATATTAAACTGTTTGAAATTGCCCCACAGCTCACTGATGCTCTTTTCCATTTTTAAAAAATTCCTTTTTTTCTATTTCATGTTGAGTAGTTGCTATTTCTGTCTTTAAATTCACGAATCTTTTCTTCTGCCATTAATCCCATCCAGTGTATTTGTCATCTCAGACATTGTAGTATTCTTTTCTATAAACTTGACTAGGACTGTTTTTTAATGCCTTCCATGTCTTTACTGATCTTTCTGAACATCTAGAATCCAGTTATGATAATTTTTAATGTCCATGTCTGCTGATTTCCAGCATCTCTGTCAGTTCTAGGTTGGTTTTGATTGGTTGATGTTTCTCCTCAGTTTTGGTTACATTTTCCTATTTCATTACATGTCTGGTAGTCTTTGATTGGATGCTAGACATTGCCAATTTTACCTTGAGCACCACATATTTTTGTGTTACTTTAGGTTTTCTTGAACTTTGTTCTGGGATGCAGTTAAGCCTACTTGGAAACAGTTTGATCCATTTGGGTCTTGCCTTCATAATTGAAACAGTGCTCAGTCTGGGTCTAGTTACTTCCCACTTCTGAGTACTCTACTCAATGCCCCATGAATGCTGAGGTTTTTTGGCCTGACAAGTAGGAACAGGCACCATTCCTGGCTTTGTGTAAGCACCAGGCAGTGTTCTCTCTCAGCCTCTCAGATGGTTTTTTCTCTGGCCTCTGGTGGTTTTCCCTCACACGTGAGCCAATCAGCACTCTCCTGAGTGCTCAAGGGACGGATCCCTCTGCAGACCTTTGGACTTCTTTCTGTGTGTAGCTCACTCTTATCTGGGACTCTCAGCATTGTCTACTCAACTCAAAGACATTGCTGGGCCACACCTGGGTTTCCCCTCCCTGTGCTGTGGCGTAGAGATTCTCTCAAGGCATTAGTTGGAACATTCATGGTCTCGCCTCATTTGTCACCTGTTGCTCAGGGTTCACTTTCCTTTGCCTGATGTCCAGTGTCTTATAAACCATTCTCTCATGTATTTTGTATTTTTGTTGTTGAAGATGGGAAGGTTGTTTCAGGCTGGAGGACAAATCTATCTTAGCCAAAAGCAGAATTATTTAGTCCTTTCAAATGTGTTATTAATTTAAGGTATTTTAAAGAGAAAGAACCATATGCACTTCTATAGTTTTGAAAAATACACTATTTGCAGTAGGATTCTAAATAAATAGTTCTGACTAAACTCATTGTATTTCAGAAAAGTTGTCTGTTTCCCTCTTTTGCTTAATTTTTTCTTTTATATGCTACTACTTAATAAGCTTATTTTAATTCTTAAAATATTTGTTTTAGCTAGCAGCATCTTGACTGATGCTATAATAGGCTGTTATGGGCTTTGAAGCTAAGCAAATCTGATTTACAATGCCGGCTATACCATATTAATTGTTAACATTACTTTGGGCAGGTTTCTTTCCTTTTCTTCCCTTTTTCCTCTTTATTCATTTTATTTTTCTTGCCTTTCTTTCCTATTTCTTACATTCACTTATTCATTCATTTATTCAGTCTTTCAAGAAATCCTTATTGAAAACCAATTACTTGTCACACACTGTTATGTGGTAAGAAAACTGCAATGAAGAAAATAGACAAAAATCTCTACTCTTTTACATTCTAGTTTGGGAGAGAGAAACAAAATAGCTGAATTATGTAGTAGATTAGATAGTGATGAGTGCTATGTAAATAATAAAGCAAGGCTGGTTGGTTGGGAGGCATGGGAGTTGATTGCAAAATTAAATAGAGTGGTCAGAGGCTGGTTGGTTGGGAGGCATGGGAGTTGATTGCAACATTAAATAGAGTGGTCAGAGAAGGCCTCGCTGGCATTTGAGCACAGACTTTAAAGCACAGTCATGTCGATATGGTAGAACAGAGATTACCCAGGGAGAGGGAAGAATAAATGCAAATCCCTGAGGCAGCAGTGTGCTTGGTGTGTCCAAGGGGTAACAGGGAGGCCAGTATGGCTCAAGAGGAGCAAGCAAGAGAGAAGAGCAAGGAGGAAGAACAGTAGAAGAGGAGGTCAGAGGGTAAATGAGAGGCAGGAGTAGGGCAGATTTGGGGGCATTGTGTAGGCCATTAGAAGGATTTTGACTCTTACATGAATAAAATTAGGGAACCATTTTCGGCTGGATTTCAGCACAGAAGTGACTGCATCTAATGTATCATTTTAAAAGCATCACTCTGGCTGCTGTGTTGAGAATGGGAAAGGGTGGAGACAGGGAAACCAGGTAGGAAGCTGTTGGAGTAGTTCCAGTGAGGGGTGTTGACAGCCCAGACCGGGGAGTAGCAGTACAGGTAGTCCTAAGTGGTCAAACTCAGAATATATTTTGAAGTACAATCAGTAGGACTTCTCGACAGGTGGAGACTACCTAAGTAATAGGTATAATTATGGAAGAGGCCAAGATCTGATCCCTGAGGCATTTAAACATTAAAAGATTTAGAAAAGAGGAGAAACTAGCAGAAGAGACAGAGGAGGAAGAAAACCAAGAGAATGTGGTATCCTAGAAACCAAGTGACCAAAGTATTCTCAGAAGGATCAAGTGAACATCTGTGACAAATGATGCCGATAGATCAAAAATGATGAGGAATGACAGTTGACCATTGTATACTGCAGTTTGGTAAGAGCAGTTTTGGTGGAGTGACTGGGCCAAAAGCTAGATTGAAGGGGCTTACAGAGCAAATGAGAGAAGAAAAATGGAGAGAGCAAAATAGACAACCCTTTCAAGGAGTTCTGCTGCAAAAAGGGAAAAAAGAAATGAGGTAGTAGGTAGAGGCAATGAGTCAAGAGAAGGATTTTTAAGCCTTTGCCCATTGGAACATTTTTAAAGCTTTGGACTGTAGTTTTACAAGTAAAGTAGAAATAGCTGTTACATGTTAGGCATCATTTCTATGAAAATAGGATAGTCTAAATTGTTCTTTCTTGCTAAGATCTTTGAAACAAATTTGGATTACATTGTTTTATACACATTGAGACATAATTTGGGGATTTTTAAATGTATAAGGTTTATATTTAAAGTAAAATCTCTAGGGTAAATGGTCAATTGGAGTTCTGGAAAGAAGAATCTGATGTCCACAGAAAAGTTGGACAGTGAATGCTATTATCTTATTTTCCACTCTTGGGTACAGTTAATTTCTTGACCATTGAAGATAATGAGTAATAGAATTAATTTAAAAAGATCATGAAATCTTTGGATAGTCTTCACTAGTTTGGAAGGGAAGAAGCTGAATTTAAAGGAGATGTGGAGATCATTTAGTTCAATTTGTTTTTATTTGCCTTGACTTTGTCATACAGCTTGAAGCCCAGCAGAACTCATGATCTTTTTTTTTTTTTTACAAAACTATTTCTCTCTTTTCCCTTACTTGGCTTAAACTGGAAACCTTGATGTCAGTATTGATTCCTTTTCCTTCCTACCTGAATGAGGTTTTGAATCCTGCCTATTCTACTTCCTAAGTATTTCTCTAGGAGGTCCCCATCTCTATAACCACTGTTAATGCCTCAGGTTAGGGTCCTCACTCTTCCTTCTCTGTATGTTGTGTCATTATCTCCTAACTGATCTATTTTTCATTTTCTTCAGAATTGTCTTTCTGAATCACAAACGTAATCATGTTGCTTTTATTTATTTTCTGAGTTTTCTAGTAATGACCATTAACTACAAAAAAAAAAAAGTAATTTTGAAAACAAGGTAATGGCCTGCAAACAGTTTTCAGTAGGATTAATGCTCAGTGTACTGTACTCTGTTATCATGTACTTTATTACCATGGGCCCTTAAACATGCCTTGCTCTTAATTACTCTTTATAAGGAAGATTCCTTATACTGCTCCATGCTTCAGAGCTGTTTTAATGTTACACAGCAACCCTGTTTTAATTTTTCCATGTGGTCAGTTAAAAGAGTTGGGCATTATGCCAAGAGTTGAAGGTAGAAGAAAAAGAGATTGGTGCCCAAGAAGGGTAAGGATAAGGAATCCAACTAAGAAGGCGGGAGGCACAGGGAGCCTAGGAGAAACTAAGATGTAAATGGGCAAAAAATTGTTGCCTATATATGAAATATATAGGGAAGAAAAAGCATAGTAAACTGTAGATTCAGGTAGGCACAAGCACGGAATGGTCTGGTAGCCAGCCCGTTTCTGACATGGAGCCCATGAAGATATTAAAATAGAAATGAGAAGATTCCATCCAAATAACATTAATCAAGTAGTGAAAAATATGTACATTAGTCCCCCCTATCAGAGGGGACTTTCAGCGGTTTCACTTACCTGAGGTCAACTATGGCCTGAAAATATTAAGATATTTTGTGAGAGACCACATTCATATACCTTTTATTACAGTATATTGTTATAATTGTTCTATTTTAGTATTGTTGTTGTTAACCTCTTACTGTGCCTAATTTACAAATTAGCTTTATCATAGGTATGTTTATCCAGGAGAAAACATAGTACATATAAGGTTTGGTACTGTCTGCAGTTTCAGGCATCCACTGGAGGTCTTAGAACACAGCCCCTGCAGATAAGCGGGGACTACTGTATAAGATTTTAAGTGAATTAAGCCCAAAATGTTTTAAACCAATTGGAGACTTAGATGGAAAAAAAACCATAGATAAACAGTAGTTAACTTTGTACTTTGAACTGTATATTAAGATTTCAGGTTTATAACTTCAGAGTCAGTCTTTATTTAACTTTACAAGTATTCCTTTATTGCTTACTCTGTGCTGGGAGGGTGTTATGTTCCCAATGTTTTTTTCATTGTTAGTTTTGTATTTAGTTGGCCAGCAGATCATACTCTGTTCTTGCAAAATGACTTGAAATTAAATCCTTCTGTTTCCCCAGTCATCACCCTGCCCTAAGCTTTCAACACTTCATGTCTTAATTAGCGAATCCTTCATGTTTTACCATTCTCTCTTTCTTCTCTAGTCAAGTACATTTTATATAATTCCTGTTTAATCTTCCTAAAGTATTATTTTTATTATATTACAACTGTGTTCAGTAACTTTCACTCACCTTCCTATTGCTCATTGGATAAAATCCAAACTCCTCAGTTTGCAAATAGGGTAGCTGCCCTAAGTGAATGGATGTGTCCAACTATTCCTCGCATAGGTCTATTTATTTAATATTATCCGTAGGTATGGACAACCAAATTGCCGAGTATAGTGTCTGCTTCATTATAAACCAACCTTCCTTTCTTTCTGTTTGTGTCTCTTGGGCTTATCTATCTTCCAAGTTTTTATTTTTGCAAAAGTTAAACATTTACTAGTATTAGTTTAAGGAGTCAAATAATTGTGCAAAGTTTGTTACGGATGATACAGTCCCCATGCTCCTGCCACTCCTCCCCCATTTTCTCCTCTTTAGAGGCAACCGCTTTCATATCTTTCTTTCTTTCTTTCTTTCTTTCTTTCTTTCTTTTTTGAGACAGGATCTCACTCTGTCACCCATTCTGGAGTGCAGTGGCGCAATCACAGTTCACTGCAGCCTCGACCTCCTGGGCTCAAGCAATCCTCCTAAGTAGCTGGGACTACAAGTGTGTGCCACCATGCCAGGCTAATTTTTAAATTTTTTTGTAGAGATGGGATCTTGCCATGATGCCCAGGCTGGTCTCCAGCTCCTGGGTTCAAGTGATCCACATGCCTCAGCCTCCCAAAGCACTGGATTACAGGTGTGAGCCACTGCAACTGGCCTACTTTCATTTATTTTAGCTGACTAATTTAAACCTACCTTCATTTCCCTAAATAATGTGCTTGTACTGGTATTTCTGGATTTTTTTTTCTATTTTAGACACAATCTTTTGAATCTCTTGGATTCTTCCCCTATCCCTATATGTAAGAGGCATATTTTAGAGAGTCGTATAAAGACCAGTTGTGGGAAACCTTAAGTATTAGGAGTAGGAGAAGGGGTTAGGATCTTTATTAGAATGGCCATCTGAGAGCCAGGAAGTGATGATGCCTATAAGGGAGTTTTTTAGGAAGATAAATCCAGCAGTGGTGTGTCAGCTGAATTAGAGGAGGAGAAAAGAAGCCATTTAGGAGTACTTTAATTGTTTAGATGTGAGAGGCTGAATGTTTGGGTTAAGATGTTAGTTGTCAGAATCATGAGAAAAGGTTTTAAGCAAGAGGCATTTCTAATTCTAAAAATAACAACTACTGTTATTTATTGAGCACTATCTTTTTGTTGGGTACTGTCTAAAGTACTTGATTTATTTTTTAAAACCTTACAAAAAACTTACAAGGTAGGTACTGAAAGATTCAGTAATTTGTTCAAAGTCACACAGCAAATAAGCAACAGACTCTGGATTTGAACCAGGCAATCCTAGAGCCTGTACTGTTAGTAATTATACTTTAGCACCTGTCAAGAATTCCTGTTGAGTGTCAAGAAGCAAACACCAAGTTAGGATTTAAAGCAAACATGATTGAAGAATACTGTGGTGTGGTTGACAGTAGTGCCTAAGTCTGTTTTCAGAGTGAAAAATGACAAATTAGATTTTAAGTATGGTTTGGAGATAATATCAGGACAGTTAGTTTGCTACGGACAATTGATAGTTGAAAATATGGGAGCAAATGAAATTCAACAGATAATTAAATTCAACCATAAAAAGACAACCCAATTTAACAATGGACAAAAGACTGGAACCAGACAAAAGATATACAAATGGCCAAAAAGCACATGAAAAATTACTCAACGTTTTTAGTCATCAGAGAAATGCAAATTAAAAACCACAGGGAGATATCATTTCACATCAGTTAGACTGATTAAAATTGAAAAAACTGACAACAATAAATTTTAGGCTGTGAAGCAACTAGAACTCTCATACATTGCTGGTAGGAATGTAAAATGGTACAACCAGTTGGGAGAACTGTTTGGCAGTTTCTTATGAAGTTAAACATGCATATACCCCATCACGCAACAATTCAATTCCTAGGTATTTGCCCAAGAAAAATGAAAACAAGTGTCCATAAAACGATTTTGAGAAGAATGCAAATTTTTATAGCAGCCTTTTTTCACAGTCACGCAAAGTCGGATCAACCCAAATGTCCATCAGTGGGAAAATGTATCCAGAACAAATCGTAGTATAGTAATACAAAGGCAGATGATTCAAAAAGGAAATGAACTATTTATGCATGCAACAACATGCATACATCTTACAGACATGTGCTAAGTAAAAGAAGCTGGACACAAAAGAGTACAGATTATATATGGTTCTATTTACGTGAAATTCTATAACAGTCAACACTAATGGATAGTAATGAAAGCTGGAAAGTTGCCTCCAGGGAGAGGGGAGAACTGACTGGAGAGGGACAAGAGAGAACTATCTTGGGTGATGGAAATGGAAATGTTTTATTTTTGTTTTGAATGGTGGTTATACAGAATATACAATTACCTCATATAGTTAACCATCTAAGAGTTTGCATCTTATTGTATATAAATCATACTTCAGTAAATCCTTGTCTCTCTCAAAAAAAAAAGGAGAGTTTAGTAATAGAAGTATAGATTTGAGGATTACCTGAATAGAAGTGATCAATGAAGCTGTAATAATGAGATTTCAGAATTAAGAAGGCTAAGAAGTGAGTTGGTTATGCCTTTTATTAGAAGCAGGTGGAAGAAAGGAATTGATGGAGTAGAAGAGTGGCTTGGGAAATATGGACAGTTTCTTTCCTGATTAGCCAAAGGAGCTTGGAATGAAGTGGGGGTATTTGGTCATTAAGAGATCACCAGTCACTTCAAAGAAAGTACTTTTCAGTAAACTGGAAGCTACAACCAGATTTCAAGAGGTTAAGGATGCATGGGTGATAAAGGGAGAAAGATATTATAAAACTACCTTTTGAAGTTCTCAAGGTGGAAAGAAGGGAAGGAAAGAATTGAGGGGTAATAGGGTCTACATAGGATTCAGTATTATGTAATGGTTTTGGTTGTGGTCTTGGTGTTTGAAACAGCTAGAAAAGAAAAGAATGTAGGCAGGAAGAAAGAGATGGTGAAATAAGGTCCCAGAGTAGACAAGAGACAATGGGATTAAGGGCACAGAGGGAATGATTAGTTTAGAAGAGAGGAATTCCTCCTTCTCTGAAAAGGTGTGCATTGGTGCAGTTACAATGATAATTAGAGATTGTGCCAAGGATCTGGCCTACAAAGGCTCTTTGTGGTAGAATAGAAGGAAGATGAGTTTGTTGATTCAAGATAGAGGTATTTCATTCTGTAGTGTAGCTGATGAGACATCAGAGAAAGGCAGTACATTAGACACTGTAGTGAGAGAAAGGTTTAGAACAGCTAGCAGTGCTCATATGATTGTCAGGGGATGAATAGAAGGATCAATAATTAGCAGTGAGGGAGTTTATGGTAGACTCACATCAGCAGTGCTTTTCAATCCAAGAGGAGAAAAAGTAGACAATATGAATGAATGGCCCAGGTTGAGGATTAGAATGGTGGAAGATGAAATGCATGTAAGAGTTGCTGTGGTCAGAGAGGTCATTGTTGAAAAGGCTGATTGTGAGATCCAAGTTCAGGAGAGAGATAAGTGAAGCAACAAAAGGGCCTTATGAGCTGGAATAATAGAAGAGTGGAGAGACTGAAGAGGTTCAAGTACTTTAAGGGAACAACATTTATATATTAAAAATATTTAAAACTCTAGCCTTGAGTCTGTGCATAACTCCCAGCAGCTTGCCACTTTCAATTTCTCTTCTACTCTTAGCACAGTTGCCTTAACCGTGCCCTGCTAATTCCAGGAAGGCCTTAGGTCTTTGCACTTTTCTCTTCTACTTCTTGAATAGAGAGGCTTCCTGTGCCATCTGGTTTTCTTGCTCCATCTGACTAGGCTTACGCCAAAAGAGCAATTATGGTGGCATGCTGGGAATGCATCTACGGTGTGTGATTCATGCATTATGAGGCTCTGATGGTTATCCTTTATTTTTGTTCAGTTAATTATATTGTACCTCATTCCACAAAGAGTTGAAGTAGTTTCAAAGGAGAATAATACCCCCAAAATTCTAGAATATAAATAAGAAGAAAGAGTTGAATCAGAAAATAGATATAAAAGTAGAAAACAATTGTCAGGAGGAAAAAGGAACAGAAATATGCAGGACATAAGGGCCTAAGAACTTCACATTTGGCTTCAAGCTTTGTGGCTGTCAAAGTGAATAGAAGATGCAGGCATTTACCGAATTTTATCTAAGAGAAGGAACGGTACCTCTTCCTCGAAGAAAGCAAAACTTTTCTTAGTAGTAAATTCTAGAATAAAATTTTCCTTTGGCATTTCTAATAAGAGGTACTAAGTAAGTCATCTTGTTAAAATAAAAATTTGATCCTGTTAAAAATTTTCAGGGACTTCCCTTGCTTTTGGGGTAAAGTCCAGGATCCTTAACAAGGTCATCAAGGATCATTGCACTCTATATACCCTACCCTTAAAAATAATAGCAAGAAAGATTATCATTTCTTGAACTCTTACCATATATCAGGCATTGTGTTCAGTCCTGTACATAAACTATGTCATTTCATCCTCTCAGAAACCTTATAAGATGGATTTTACAGTTGAAGAAACTGAGGGACAGAGACCTTACACAATTTGCCCAGGGTCACAGAGCAAGTAAGCAAGTAGGTGGCATAACCAAGACTTGAAGCCATATTCTGACTTCATGTACTAACTGATTATATGCCGCCTTAGAGTTCTTTGAACTTCACAAGCTTCCGTCTGCTGATTTTGCACATTTCTGTTTCTTCTGCCCCGCCCCTCATCTCCTTAAGCATGTCATTTAATTGAATTGAATCTTGATGGATATCATTAATTTAATATATTAACAGTAAAGAATAGAAACAGGGAAAGCATTTAATGGTTTTGTCAACTACAGTGAATATAACTGTTCCTCTTAATTTAATATGTGGCTTTGGTCCTGTATTCCCTCCTTATCTATAATGGAAGTAGGAAGCGTTTGGGCTCCTGTCTTCTGTACTTTTGGAAACTGGCCAATGAACTGCTTACCAGATCTAATGACCAAATCTAATTAACTCCCACAAAACCCATAGCTAAGCTAATCTCCATATTCTCAAAATAGAACATGTAAATCTCTGATTCAAACTCTGTGCTCATGTTGATCTGGAGCCCTAAAGCCCTTTGCTCTCTGCCTATTGAAATACTGCCTATTTAAAAGTTCTAACTGAAGTTCCAGCTCTTCAGTCAAGTTTTTCTCAATTAATTCTATCCACATTGATTTCTTATTAGGAGAACACTGTAGTTCTCTTTCCTGCACAACTCATTTTAGAATTTATCTACACACTGCCTTTCACTGTTATTTAAAGTCTGCATGTGTATCTTTTATCTCTTAATAGATTGTAAGCTTCTGTTGAGGACTTTAGCACAATACAAAGTGTTTTACAAATACCTGTTGAATGAATGGTGTAATAGTCTGTTTTGGCCTTGTAGACCTTATTTACCGAGTGAAGCCAACAGGAGAACACTGCCAGGTTAAGTAGTCTGAGGTACTTCTTTGTTCAGTTTTTGAAAGGAGTTTTCTGTTGGTTTACTCTTCACGAGATAAACATGAACGAGGAAATACTAACTGAATCAAGGGAGAAAATTGGCTTCCTCCAGTATACTGAGCAGTTTTTGAGTGCTTACTGGTAGTTACCACCATACAATTACTTTTTCTTCTAACTCCCACACCTCCCTTCACATAACCTTTTCAGAATATAATGGTAAATAAGAACATATGCATTTAACCTGGGTAACTTGTTCTCCAGGACTTTTATGGCATTTGGTGCTCATCTCTGAAGGATAATATTTTCTTGGTCTGGCAGCATGGAATATGGAATGGCAAATGAATTTGCTTAAGAGTCCTTGGGTTATTTATGAGTACAATAAGGCCTTAACTACATTTTTTCCTCTGGAATCACAGGTGTGATTAATGAAAGTTATTCACTATTCCTACATTCTTTAGAACTATTTCTTATATTCATCCATGTGGTCATGTGCAGTAAATGGCACAAAGATCTTAGGGTGATCACCTCGTCAGACAATTTGGGCGCTGTTCAAACAATTAAACCGGCAGTTAGCAGATTCTGGCCTGGTAATTAAATTACCCAGGGTCTTTATTTACAGATTTCTGCTCCTTGATATGCTGTGTCTTTCTAGGCTGAGCATATGCCTGGGGTTTATTGATTCATTTCCTGTCTTTCTCTTTCAGTGGTAACATACTAGGATGCCAGCTGTGGTAATTGAAAAAGGGCTTTGTTTTAGCCAAAATACCTTTGGACACTGGTTACTTAGAGAACCTGAGGGACAGTTTTTGTGGTCTTTGGTTAATATCTTCACAGCCTGAAGGTAGTACTAGGAAAGTAGTTCGTTTGTTTTCTACTACAAGTTTAAATAAATTTTGAAGGTTTTTCGCACTTTATTTTGCCAGTATGAACCTAAGTTTTAATTCTTTTTTTTTTCCACTTATTATTAACCAGCGTCCCAGGTCAGTATTGCTTAAATCTGTCCTTACTTCTCCAACATCTTCTATCATGGCTTTAATTCAGATTGCCATCATTTCTCACTTGAATCACTTCAACACCTAAGTCCTTTTTGCCTCCAGACTTGTCCCTCTTCTAATCCATCCTCCATATTACTATCAAATTGATCTTTCTGTAATACAGATCTGATTCTTGTCATTTTTCTGCTTAAAATATTTCTGTGTCTTCCCATTGCCCTCATTATAAAATCAAGTTAGTGTGGAATTGGTATAATGATCTGCCCCGTCTTCCTTTCCAATCACATTCCGGGCACATGTTGTATGGGTTTTATTGACTGAACATGATCTGCTATGCAGATTTACAGACAAACTTTGCTTCACATGTGTGAGGATGGTAGATGTTAACATAGAAAGATATTAAATTGGTGTGTACTTCAGAAGGGTTATGCAAATGTTGAATGCATGCAGATGAAATTAGACTATCCTTGGCTGTAAGATGTAGGATCTTTCCTTTTGAATTTTTATTAGATATGTATAATAGTTATCTTTGAAGAGGTCAGATCTAATTGGATTATTTATAAATCTTTCTAGTTAACTTGTAGAGAGACTAGTAACCACATGAAAGAGCCAGCATGATTCATGATTCAGAAAATTGTTATTGTTCTCCCTCCCATCTTTGTTTAAATTGGGTCGGACATTAAAAGAAAAGTCAGGAGTAAGCTGTGTGTGGTAGTCCTAGTTCCGCCATTGACTTCTACTATAAACATCCTTGATTAAGCCACATAATGTTTCTGAACCTCAGTGTGTTCTAAAAATGAAAGGGGTATATGAGTTTAGTAAGTGATTTATGTGCTGGGGAAAAAAGAAAGAAAGAGAAAGAGAAAAGAGAAGAGAAGGGAAGGGAGGGAAGAAAGGGAGAAAGGAAGGAAGGAGGGAGGGAGGGGGGAGGAAGGAAGGAAGGGAGGGAGGGAGGGAGGGAAATGAGTAAGGAGGGAGAGAGGGCGGAGGGAGGGAGGGAGGGAAATGAGTAACTTGACCACTGCTCTAGTGGAGTTCACAGTCAACTTTCTACGCCTAAATAGTTGTCTGTAAATCGAAGGAAATAAAGTTAAGTTTTTCAACATGGATTTGAAGAATGGAATGGATCTGTCAGAGATGATTAAATAAATTGTTTTTAAACTTCATATGTTTGGAAATACAAGCATAAGAAGCCTTAATAAAATAGACAAGTTTCTGAAATGCAGTCCATTTTTCCTGGTAACCTCCATTTTAGATTTCAGCTATCTCCTGCTGATTATTGGCAGCCTGCCGTTAGTTATGGTTCAAAGCTGACATTCTGTACTGTGAGCAGTGAGCTGCTCCCATGTCTGGCAGCTGCAGTTGTAGCTAGGCTACAGTGAAGGGAGAGAGAGAAGCATCAGCTATTCTGATCTTGGCCATAACCATACCCAACTGAATTCTATTAATGTGAGGATTTTGGCAGTCTGTGTTTCATTTGTTCCCTAGTTTTCTGTTTCTTTCAGGATGAATTTCTATTAAGTGAATCATTGTATTAAGGAATTTCAGTAAGATTAAATTAATTCAGAAAAAGCTAATTCTTTGTTTGTGAAAGGGGATAACCAGAGGTAGATTTTATCTGCTAATTACGGTGATAAAAGAGGTAGATTTCCTACTTAAAATAAAATGGGAAAAACCATAGTCCACATAGGGAGGATCTTTTCTTCTCGCTTTGGTGAATGTCTTTCTGCTTTCAGAAAGAGGTCTCCAAGTGAGATAGCTGAAGACCTTTTATTTCTGTTGTATTTATTTTCTTGTATTTCTGAAAATGCCTTTGTTTTACTCTCATATGTGAATAGTCTAATTATTGCTACTGCTCCATTACCCACTTTTGTAAAAGTATTCTTTTATTTCTATCAGAGCAATACATTATTTATTGAGGGCCTGTTATGTGTCACACATGGTACTAGGTGCTAAGAAATCATAAGTTAACAAAGTCTCTGCCTTCTTTGAGTTTATACTTTAGTGAGAGTGTTTTAAGTTGTGGGATTAAAAGAAAATATGTGATGTCAGTGTTTCAAAGACAAATAAGGAAGGTAAGATGGATAGGAAGGCCAGGGGAGGGTAAAGATGTGTTCTTTTATCAAAGATGATCAGGGAAAGCCTCTCTTATACATACTTCAGCAAAAACCTGAAGAAAGGATACATAAATATTGTGAGATCTTACACGTCTTAAGATGCTGTTTCTCTACCATAATACAGAGTAGTTTGTCTGGGAATAGAATTTTAACTTGGAAATAATTTTCTTTCAGAATAATGAGGATATTGTTCCATTGTCTTGGAATTTCCAGGGTTGCTTTTGAAAAACTTAAAGCGATTCAATTCCTGATCCTTTGTTGTGAGTTACTGTTTTCTGTCTGTAAGCTTATAAGATCTTCTTTTTGTCCTCAGTGTTCTGTAATTTTCCAATGATGTGCTTTGGTGTGGGTCTATTTCAATTTGTGGTGCTAGGCTATCTGGGAAATTGCCTTGAATTATTTAGTAGATGATTTATTTCCCTACTTTTCTCTGTATTCTCTTTCAAAATGCCTTTTATTCAGATATTAGGCTTTCTGAACTGGCTTTCTAATTTTCTTTTTTTTCTTTTTTATTTTTTTGTTCTCCTATTTACCATGTCTTTGTCTTGTTGTTCTGCTTCCTGAGGGATTTCATAAACTTTATCTTTTAACCTTTGTTTTGCTACCACATTTTAATATCTATGAGTTTATTTTGTTCCCTAGTTATTTCTTTTAAAATAACACTCTTTTTTCAACTTCTTAAGCATTTTACTTTTTTTATTTTTATTTTTTTAGTCTAAAATTTATTGCCTAAAGGCTTTAAATTCTTGGATACATATGCAGGATGTGCAGATTTGTTACATAGGTAAACGTGTGCCATGGAATAACACCCTTATCTTATCTGATCATTTTGTAATATCTTTTTTTTTTTTTTTTTTTTTGAGAAGGAGTCTCCCTCGGTCACCCAGGCTGGAGTGCGGTGGCACAATCTTGGCTCATTGCAACCTCTGCCTCCCAGGTTCAAGTGATTCTCCTGCCTCAGCCTCCCCAGTAGCTGGGTTTACAGGTGCCCACCACCACGCCTGGCTGATTTTTTTGTACTTTCAGTAAAGACAGGGCTTCACCATGTTGACCAGGCTGGTCTCAAACTCCTGGTCTCAAGCAATCCACTCACCTCAGCCTCCCAAAGTGCTGGGATTACAGGCATGAGCCACTGCACCCAGCCTATAATATCTTTATTAAATCTCTCTCAGAACAACAATAATTTTGTTAAATTTTCATTTCTTTGTATACTCTTTATCTTTCATTTGTATTTCATTTCTTCGTGTAGTCTTTCTTCTCTGTGATTTGTTTTTTCCTGTTGGTGTGTTTGTTTTAGTGTATATATTACGTGTTAGAGTTTATTTAGGTGATTACTACGTATATTTGTTTGTCAATTCCTATTTAAGAGCAGGGAACCAAGAAGCTAATTGGAAACTGAGCCAGTAGAAGGGATTTTTTCACTGCTAGGGTGATCTGACTGTGTTCTTATATTGGGGATTTCCAATGTTTGTATCTTTACACTTGAGTTGATGGATTACCAAGAGAAGATTCTTTGTCTTCTACCCATAAGGTAAAGCCTGGTTGCCATAGTTTTGGCCTTATGGATGAGGAATGCTAACGCATGTCAGTATCCGGTATGCATGTTTACTTAAGCTTTCTGTTTTCAACTGCACCTAGGGTTCTTAGGTCTGGAGACCCTTCATTTTAGTCTCTCCTTGAGAGGATAAGCCTCTAGATTTCTACTGGGGTAGAAATCAGGGCACTCACCCAGTCCATAAAATGAAGGGAGGAGATTTGGGGATTGAATTATTTTTTAAACCATCTTCACCTGATCATCCTTATTTTAGCTTCATTTTACACCAACTTCCAGTTTCTTGTGCCATCAGTTCCTGAGTCTTTGGGGCATTCTACTATGTAAATTATATTGATTCAAGGCATTTTCCATTGCTGAGGCTTCAAGTTTCTCAAGTCAGTTGAGCTGGTATTTCAACAGTGAGATTTTTTTTGTTTCCAAGTTCTTTAGTTTGTTCTTTTTCCTGTTTCCTGTTCTATTCTGTAAAATATATGTGATATAGTCTCTTATCTCTGGGAAGATAGTAAACATATATATTTATCTCTAGATGTTCCTTTTTTCTTATGTTTTTCTTTAAATACTTGAACATAGTTGTAATAACTATTTTAACATCATCTTATAATTCCATAATCTATAAATTCTAGGTCTATTTCTGTTGTCCTTCTCCTGCTTATAGGTAATATTTTCCTGCTTCTTGGTATGTTTAATTTTTTGTTGTTGTTGTTTTTTTGTTTTGTTTTGTTTTGGATGCTAGTCATTGTGAGCTTTACATTGCCAAGTTTCTGGATTTTGTTATCTTCCTGAAACAGTGTTGAGCTTTAGTGGGCAGCAGTTAAGTTACTTATAGTTTGGCTTGATCTTTTCAAGTTTTGTTAGTGTTGGGGTTGCAGTAGCCCTATGCTAGTTGTGGTCCTTCTAAGGTTTCTACTGAATGCCTTGAATGATCAGTAAACAGTCTCCAGTTTGGCTGAAAGAAGTTTAAATGGTCCTCAGACCTATATGAGCTCTGGGAACCATTCAGCTCACAACACCTTGTCATTCTTTGCCAAACCTTATAGAACTTCATCCTAGGCACATATTTCTTAGTATCTAGCAAAGACTTAATAGCAGATTTCTGAGCCTTTATTATTATTTTTTTTCTGCATAGTCCCTCTTCTCCAGAAATTTGCTCCACATCTTCTGGAAACCTTAGACTTCTGGAATTCTAATTTCTGTCTCCTTTACTCAGGAAAACAGCCATGGCATGCTTGGGATGCCTGTGCCTGCTCAGAAATCCAGAATTTGCCTTCAGGCAGAAAGCCAGGAGATCATAAGCCTCACCTGATTTTATTTTTGCCAGTTTTCTGGTTGTTTTAAAAGAAGGTTAAATCCGATTCATGTTACAACATCATGGCCAGAAGCATAAGTCAAACATGCTTATTTTAAAATCCTATTCCATTTATTTGTTAACCCTTTTTCTTTAGATGTGTACCTCATTTGCTGAAGTTGTTTTCTGCCTTAAATGAGATTCACATTCCTCAAGAGTCTGCCCATCCTTTGATTGTATATGCATCTTTCTCATTGAAATTCATTGTTATACTCTCTCCTGCTTCTGTTTAGGCAGTCTGCTTGGGAAGGGGACTAAGACTTGCCATGGGAGTTTTGACTCAGGATTTTCAGTGAAAGTAGAGGAGTGTGTAGAAAGTATTTCTGGGCTGGATATCCTGGAGACTGCTCTACTAGGAATGAATGCTTCCTTTTTTTCCCCAGCCACCTTGGACACTGCCCTGTCTCTAAGATTTAAGATTAAATCTCTAATATTTAATACTCTCTTCAGGAGTTGTATACTCTCTGTTACTGCGCAGGGTGTGTGGCACAGGATGTGAACATGGATTGATCTGACTTGACTGCATCCCTTGTGGTATTCCAACTAATAAGACTGTTGACTGTCCCTCAGCCCTTTCCTGTTCCAATACTTCACCATTGGGCATGAAACACTTTGGGCATAGAACTCTCTTGCTGTTTTTTGTGTCTGTATATCTTAGCTTGTGATTTTCCTCTTTAGTTTGATCTAGTCTGTTGTAAATCACAAAATATTCCCAGTTGCTAGTCCATCAGTTCCTTTTGTTCTTGTGTGACTGTTAATTAATTTTCTTTCATTTCCAGGAATTGATGTAGGAGAGAAAACTAGCTGGTTCCCAGTCTGCTATCTTGAAACAGGCAGAATAATCTCTTTTGCCCTGCCTATGCACAATCATTTTAAGATAGATTTGCTTTTCATTAAATATTGGGGGTTCTTAAAATGTAAATATCCAGCTTTGTTCTTAAAATGTAAACATAAAATAACATTTAATGTTTAAATGTTAAACATTAAATAGTATAACATTTTCTCTTTGTTTCTTTATCCCATTATGAACCATTTATTTGGCCCTTCATTCAAGAAATAATGACTGGGTTTCCTGTCTTGGTATTTGAGGAGGAGGGTACTATCTAAGGGAGAATTAAAAACACTTAGAACTATGCTATACTATGCTATAAGTGCTACGGGAAACTATGAGAAAAGTTCTTTAGAAAGTCAGAAGAAACAGGCAATTTTTTTTTTTTTTTTTTTTTTTTTTTTTTGAGATGGAGTCTCACTTTGTAGCCCAGGCTTGAGTGCAGTGGCGCGATCTCAGCTCACTGCAAGCTCCGCCTCCCGGGTTCACGCCATTCTTCTGCCTCAGCCTTCCGAGTAGCTGGGACTACAGGCCCCCGCTACCACCCTCGGCTAATTTTTTGTATTTTTAGTAGAGACGGGGTTTCACCATGTTAGACAGGATGGTCTGCAAATATAGTATTTGTAGGCATAAAGTTACAAACTCGGTGCCAGTATAGCATCTGGTAAAGGCCTCAGTGAACTAATGGCGAAATTTACCTCCTTTTTAGTCCTCACCCTCTTTAACTTCACTGCAGCAACTTGACTCTTAGCATGCATTCTCTTTTTTTCTTGGAAATTGCCTTTTGTGACTGTTTTCTTTTCCTACTTTTAAGACCATTGTCTATCTCATTTTCCTGTCCTGTAAGAGAAGGAGTTCTATGCATTCCCTCACTGAGCTCTGTATTCCCAAGGCTTCAGGCCTCTAGGCAGATGAACCTCAAATCCATAACCTGAGCCTTTACGTTTCCCTAAATTCCAGGTCCCTACTTACTGACTTGTTGAAAAGAAAATTACAAACTGGGCACATTACCTTCTTCTCCTCCTAAATAAGCTCTTCCCATATTCAAAATTCTGTTAGCAGTTTGACCATTCATTCTTCTTCTGACCCTGAATTACCTTGGACTCATTCTTTTTTATATCTAATTAGTTGCTTAGTCTTACAGATTTTTCTTTGAAATATCTTATTTTCTGCTTTTGTTTACTTTATATTTTCTGCTTTTGTTTACTTTATATTTTCATTGCCTTAACCCTAATTTAGTCCCTCATTAATTCATTTTCAGCTCATGATTAGGATCCCAAGTGGTTTCTTGCCTCTTTATTTCCCTTATCAGTCTTTCCTGTGCACAGATTTTCACTTTATTTCTTAAAAATCTTCTGCAGTTCCTCCTTGCCTACCAACTTCTTTGGCACTTAAGACCTTTTATAGTGTAGACCTAGCTCTTTTTTCCAATTTCATTTCCTGTTATTCCCTATGTGTACCGTATGAGAGACAATGGGCTTTGGAATCACAGACTGGGATTCTTGTCCCAGCTCAGCCATTATTTAACTGTGTGCATAAGTAACTTTGGAAGAGTCGCTTACCTTTTCTGAGTCTCAGGTTCTCATTTGTAAAATAGTTGATGTATGAATAAGGTAAACTAAAATTTCTGGTACTACAGTACCAGACTTAGTAAATGTTAATCTCTTCTTTCACTTTCCTCAGGTCAGTTTGGTTGCCCTGTTCTTGGAATGCTCCATGTTTTCCTACACTTTTGCCATCACCCTTCTGAACGGTTTTTCACTCCCAGCACTTCTGACACCAAATGCGGAGGGTGGAGGGGCTCCCTCCACACCAACCAATTTTCCAGTACCAACTGAGTGTCCTAGAATTCATTTCAATTCTGATACTAACTACGCAGAGCTAGCCTCAGATGTGATAGGTTTAAGGGCTCATTCCCACAAGACTGCCCTCACATCAGAGGCCAGTTGCAAGTAGCAGGTTTCCAGGTTACCCACACCTTCCGTCCCACTTGACTACAAAGTTGGGAATTCCCATGACTCTCTACTCAGGTTCTATAATTTGCTAGCACGTCTCACAGAACCTAGGAAAACAGTTTACTTACATGCACTGGTTTATTATAAAGAATACAACTCAGAAACAGCCAAACGGAAGAAATACATAGAGCAAGGTATAGGGGGAGGGCAGAGCTTCCATGCCTCTGGGATGCCACCCTCCCAGCACCTCAGTGTGTTCAACAACTTGGAACCTCTCCAAAACCTGTCTGTGGGGTATTTATGGAGGTCTCATTACATAGGCATGATTGAGTACATCATTGGCCTTTGATGATTAACTCAATCTCCAACCCCCATCCCCTCTCTAGATTCCCAGAGGTGGAACTGAAGGTACCAACCCGCTAGTCACATGGTTGGTTCCTCTAGCAACCAGTGTCCATCCTGAAGTGTCTGGGGACTCACCACTAGTCACCTCATTAGCATAAACTCTAGTGTGGTTGAAAGGGGCTTGTTACAAGTAACAAAAGATATTCCTGTCACTTAGGAATACCATAGGTTTTAGAAGCTCTCTGTTTGGAAGTGGAGACAAAGACCAAATATATATTCTTATTGTTGCAACTCTATAATTCCCTCACCCTTATTTTCACCAGGCAAAATTTCTTCGTTTTTTTTATAGCTCAGTTCAGATTTCACTTTATTTGTGAAACCTTCTCATCTGTCCGCTAGTTAAAAGAGGCCTTTCTTTCATTCTCATGGTTTTGTCTATTGTAAAGTACTATTATTATTGGTTTATGTATCTTTCTTCAACCCACTGTGATTTTCTTGAGGGCAGGATCTATTTCTTATTCATTTACTATATCCTCAACCCCTAGTAAAGTGCTTTTGCACATCCTAGGCATTAAGTAACTAAATGATGAGTAGGATTTGTTTTGCTTTAAAAATTTATTATATTTTAGGGAAGGGAACAACACACACCAGGGCCTGTTGGAAGGTTGGGGGCGAGGGGAGGGAGAGTATCAGGACAAATAGCTAATGCATGCAGGGCTTAAAACCTAGATGATGGGTTGATAAATGCAGCAAACCACCATGGCACACGTATACCTATGTAACAAACCTGTACGTTCTGCCATTGTATCCCAGAACTTAAAAAAAAAAAAGTTAATTATATTTGAAAATGTAGAGTAGACAGGCAATCATTGCAAATGTATAGGCTGGGCACGGTGGCTCACGCCTGTAATCCCAACATTTTGGGAGGCCGAGACTGGCAGATCACCTGAGGTTAAGAGTTCAAGACCAGCCTGGCCAACATGGTGAAACCCCGTCTCTACTAAAAATACAAAAATTAGCTGGGCATGGTGGTGCGCGCCTGTACTCCCAGCTACTCAGGAGGCTGAGAGGCAGGAAAATCCCTTGGACCTGGGAGGCAGAGGTTGCAGTGAGCCAAGATCACACCATTGCACTCAAGCCTGGGTGACAAAAAAAAAAAAAAGAACTGTTCATTGGGCGTTTTAGAATTAGCTAGGCATGGTGCTGTGCAGCTGTAGCCCCAGCTACTCATGAGGCTTAGGTGGGAGGATCACTTGAGCCCAGGAGGTCGAGGCTACAGTGAGCTGTGATTGTGCCACTGCACTCCAGTTGGGGTGACAGAGTGGGACCCTATCTCAAAAAAAAGAAAGAAAGAAAAGAGGCCAGGCGTGGTGGCTAACACCTGTAATCCCAGCATTTTGGAAGGCTGAGGCGAGCGGATCACGAGGTCAGGAGTCCGAGAACAGCCTGGCCAACATAGTGAAACCCCATCTCTACTAAAAATACAAAAAAAATTAGCCGGGCATGGTGACTTGTGCCAGTAGTCCCAGCTACTTGGGAGGCTGAGGCAGGAGAATCACTTGAACCCAGGAGGCGGAGGTTGTGGTGAGCCGAGATCACGCCACTGCACTCCAGCCTGGCGACAGAGCGAGACTCCATCTCAAAAAAAAAAAAAAAAAGAAAGAAAGAAAAAAGAAAAGAAAGAGAAATCCGAAATCCTTATTTTCCTGAAAGGAGTAAAGCCAAAGGAAACTTTTTTTACATTTAAAAAAAAAGGTTTTTTTCAAATGTAAAATTTGAAAAAATTGTGGCCGTAAAATACAGCCACAGGCACGTATCTCGTTTTCTGAGTGACTGCATCCCACCTTTCAACTGCTTAAGCTTTATTATCATTACTAGTTTTGGAAAATTTAAATTTGCTTGTAATGTAACTGCTACAGTTACCTGTTAGTTTATTTCTCATCTTATATTCTAAACATACAGTATGTCTCATACTGCAAAACAAAGGAATCTGAAGAAGAGGAAAACTAAAAAGCTCAGAAACTGTTATGAAGTTTTGCTGCCACGTTGTATGAGGAATTTGATTTGCAAGTTTTTAAACTAACACACTTAAAAGCTCTTTATTCTTCACATATATATACATAGGTTTCCATAGTTGGAATCTCATATATAAGTTATTATGTATCCATTTTTTATATATAACATAAGCATTTTTTGAGTCACTGAGTAACGCAGTTGTCCTTCTGCTAAACTCCTGGCTGAAGTTACTAATGGGCTGGGATTTTCATTTATTCTTCTAGTAATTCAACAAATACTTGTTCAGAGCCTGTCGAGTGTCAAGCATTGTTTCAGTCACTGTTCATGTGCAAAGAGTAGAGCAGGGGACAAGTCAGGCCAACTCCCAGCTCTCATGGAGGTATAATAGAGACTGAGGGAAGATGTTAAACAAGTAAACATAAGCAAGAAAATTTCAGGTAGCAACAAGTGCTGTGGAGATAACACATGGATATGGATCAACAGGTACTCTTACATACTACTGGTGACATATAAATTATTAAGTAAAATGAAAAGCAAATATATCCTATGACCCTGAAGTTTTACCCTATTTCATGTACATATAAGCCAGATGCACCTAAAAGAACATTCATAGCAGTGTTATTTTCAATAGTTCAAAACTGGAAACAACAAAATGTCCATCAACAGTAGAATGGCTCAATACTTTGTAGTATAGTCATACAATACAGCAACAAAAGCCAGTGTACTACACTCAATGTGAATGACTCGTAAAAACATATTGTTGAGGGAAGGAAAGCAGACACAGAAGAATACCTTCTATGTATGTAAAATCCAAAACTAAGGTATGTAGTTTAGGACTATGTGCGTAGTAAAATTACTTTTAAAAAACAAAAAACAGGCCAGGCACAGTGGCTTATGCCTGTAATCCCAGCACTTTGGGAGGCCAAGGTGGGTGGATCACCTGAGGTTGGGAGTTCGAGACCAGCCTGACCAACGTGGAGAAACCAAATCTCTACTAAAAACATTAGCCAGGCATGGTGGCGCATGCCTGTAATCCCAGCTACTTGAGAGGCTAAGGGAGGAGAATCACTTGAACCCAGGAGGCGGAGGTTGCAATGAGCCGAGATGATGCCATTGCGCCCTAGCCTGGGCAACAAGAGCAAGAAAAAAAAAAAAGACAAAGAAGCAACTACCATAAAATCAGAATAGGACTCCCTGTGGGGGCGAGAGGGAGGAAGTTGTGATTAGAAAGGGAAGTATGGGGGAGGTGCTTCTGGAGTTCTGGTAATTTTTTATTTCTTGACCTTCATGGTGGTTATGTAGGTATTTATAATAATTCACTAAACTGCACATTTATGTTTTAGACACTTTCATTTGTGTTTTATATTTCAAACAAAAGCAGTGTGATGATAGCATTAAGTATAGTTTTAGTGCATGTGCGCGCACATGAGTGTATGTGTATATTTTACAGCTTTATTGAGGTATGATTGACATACAATAAACTATGCATTTAAAGTACTCAGCTTGGCCGGGCATGGTGGCTCATGCCTGTAATCCCAGCATTTTGGGAGGCCAAGGTGGGTGGATCTCCTCAGGTCAGGAGTTTGAGACCAGCCTGACCAATATAGTGAAACCGCATCTCTACTAAAAATACAAAATTAGCTAGGTGTGGTGGCGCATGCCTGTAATCCCAGCTACTTGGGAGGCTGAAGCAGGAGAATCGCTTGAACCCAGGAGGCAGAGGTTGCAGTGAGCTGAGATTGCACCATTGCACTCCAGCCTGGGCAACAAGAGTGAAACTCCTTTCTAAATAAATAAATAAATAAAATAAAGTATTCAACTTGAACACTTATGGCATATGTATTAACCCATGAAGCCATCACCACAATCAAGACAGTGAATGTGTCCACCACCCCTAAGTTTCCTCAATGTCCCTTTTTCATCTTTCCCTCCTGCCTGCTCCTTCTTATCCCCTCACCCCCGGGCAACCACTGATCTGTTTTCTGTCACTACAGCTGTACATAGATTAGCTTGTATATTCTAGAATTTAATAGAAATAGAATCACATAATGTATATTCTTAATTTTGTCTGGTTTCTTTCACTCAGCATAACTTTTCGAGATTCATCCATGGTGATGCTTGTATCTGTGATTCATTCCTTTTTATTGCTGAGTTGTTGTCTCTTGTGTGCATTTGCCACAATTTGTTTATCCATTCACCTGTTGATGAATATTTTGGTAGTTTTCAGTTTCTGGCTATTACAAATAAAGTTGCTGTAAATATTCACATACAAATCCATTTATAAACATATGATTTCTTTTCTCTTGGTTGAATACTTGGGAATAAAATGGCTGGATCATATGATAGATACATGTTTAACTACTTTAAAAATATAAGTATAGTTTTGTAACCCTGTATCTTCAGTTAATATGAAAATATTTTCAAGTCAATAAATACATTCCTATAAAATTATTTTTTAACTGTTATAGTAGTCCATCAATTAAACATGCCATAATGTATTTAACCAATTCTTTGTTGATGGGCATTTAGATTACTTCCAGTTTTTTCACTATTATAAACAGCATTACCATGAATATCCTTGAAACTAAATCTTTGAACATGTTCTTAATTATTTCTTTAAGATAAATTACTAGAAATGAGATTGCCTGGCCAAAGTTTTATTACAGATTTCCCTCCAGACATATGACAGATTAAATCATCAATCAGATTTTTTTATTTGAGTACTAGATTTAGATACAGTTAGCCAAAATACCCCTTTTTTCCAGACTGGGCAACATGGCGAAATCCCACATCTACAAAAAATACAAAAAATACGCCAGGCATGTTGGCATTGAGACTGCAGTGGCCATAGTCACATCACTGCACTCTAGCCTGGGTGGCAGAGGGAGACCCCCATCTCGAAAAAAAAAAAAAAAAAAAAGGCTGAACACGGTGGCTCACAGCCTGTAATCCCAGCACTTTGGGAGGCTGAGGCAGGTAGATCACGAGGTCAGGAGATCGAGACCATCCTGGCTAACACGGTGAAACCCCATCTCTACTAAAAATACAAAACATTATTAGCCGGGCGTGGTGGCAGGCACCTGTAGTCCCAGCTACTTGGGAGGCTGAGGCAGGAGAATGGCATGAACCTGGGAGGCGGAGCTTGCAGTGAGCTGAGATTGTGCCACTGCACTCCAGCCTGGGTGACAGTGCGAGACTCTGTCTCAAAAAAAAAGAAAAAGAAAAACCTCCTTTTTTGTCATGAAGATGGTTTTTTTACTTTTTTTCTATTTATAGATGAAAATAAGTCTGCAGTCTCAAAAATGGAGTATTCCATTTTTATCATATAGTAAATGAAATTTCTCTTTCTAAATCAAATGCAGCTGGAAAAAGAATTACCCTTGGAATTAGGGAATCTGTAATGTTAAAAAATAAGTTGTTTAAGGATGAGCTTGCAGTCAAAAAAAGAAAAAATAAAGAAAAAATAAAAATAAGTAATTAAGAGATTTTAAAACATAGTTGTAGAATACTATGCATGGTATGATTTCATTTGGGTTTTTAAATATATTATTACTATTTACTATTTAAAGCAGTTTATTTTAATGCCTTAGTTCTCTTGAGCTGCTATAACAAAATACCTTAAACTGGGTAACATAAGCAACAGAAATTTATTTCTCGCAGTTCTGGAGGCTTGGAAATCCTAGATCAAGGTGCCAATGGTGTCTGGTAAGGACCCACTTTCTCAGATGGCACCTTCTCACTGCATCCTCACACGGTGAGGGGACAAGTTAGCTCTCTTGGGTCTCTTTTAATGGGCACTAATCCTGAACAGTGCCCTCATGACCTAATCATCTCCCAAAGGCCACACCTCCTAATATATCACATCAGGGATTAGATTTCAACGTATTAATTTTGGGGAAACACAAACAAGACCATAGCATATAATATGGGCTCCTATTGATATATACTGTAAATATATTTATACATGAAATATATATATTTCATGTATATATATATATTTTCACAGACTGGTGAAAAAGTTTAGAAAATATGAATCAAGCTGTACAGTGGTTGTATCTATGGAGTTGGGATTATGGGGAACTTTCATTTGTACATTGTATGTTTGTTCTTGTGTTTTAAATTTTTTCACAATGAGTATACACTGCTTTTCCTACTGGAAAAAATAGGTACTGTATTTTCATCTGGAACAAAAATGAGACAGCTCTACAGTTCAACTTAGAGACATGTTAGCATGTAGATCTTTTGGAGAAGCTCCAACGAGAGAGGAAGCTAAGGCAAGTGTGTCTTATTGCTGCAGTATATGTCTCCCTACCAATTATGGTCTCCTGCTCAATGTGTTCTTGAATTGTTAGTCAGCAAAATGAATACTTTTTACTCTTTCCTAAATTCTGTCAGGCTACACATATTTTATAATTGATATGTAGCTTGTCATTCCAGTGTTCTAGTGCCCCTTATATTTCAGCATACTGTAGCTGGTTAAGATAGTGTCACATAGTTTCATTCTTTTTTCTGTGCATTTGTCTCTCCATCTGTGAGTACAGCGTTGTGTTGATCCTTGCACATATTCCATGTATCTCTCTATACTCTGACTTTGAATCTGCTAATCAAACACTGTACACTTTAGTTGGTGACCACTGTGTCCTAAAATAATATATTGTTACTGTAAATACATGATAAATTATTTTCTCTGAATCAGGTAACATCTCACTATAAATGAAGGTAACCACATGAAGGTATTTGAATATATTACTTACAGTACTTGAATATAGTATAAAGTTTTTACTTTATACTATAAAGTATAAAAGTAATACTTTTATACTTTTTTCCCTAATAAGGGAAAAGTCACTTATTAGGTACCAGGAGACTTGTGTAATTATCCAGCTCTATTATGTACTTGGGTAGTTACATTATCTACTTGGGGCTAATAATGCTTGCTGTGGTAACCTAACAAGGAATGAACATTCATTCATTTGTTCATTCATGAGGATTAAGCAAGATAATGTATGTGAGAGTATTCTATAAATGGTAACATACAATGCAGATGTAAGTCTGTACTTCTGTTATTGTGCTAATACAGAGTCTCTGTGATGGCATAGGTGGCAGTGATGTCATGATGGTGGTGGGAGTCCAGAAGGAAGATACTGCAAATACTTTTTTCAACATCACTTTCTCATAACTAACAAGATCTTTTCTCCAGAATAGCTCTATTTTTTTAAAAAAATTAATTGTGCTAGGAGCTCTCATAAGTATTTGCATATCCAGAAGTTGACCTAGGGAATAAAAAGAGGCAGAAAAATAGTTTAGTGGCTTACTAATTAACACAAATTTGAGTTATATGCAAACTCAGTAGTGTCTTCTCAGCATTAACTATAGACAGTTCATTTGTCCTGAAAGCTTTATTGTTTGATTGTGATTGTGTAGATCTTTCTCCCATAAAACATTGGATTAGTAGGTGTACATATATGCTAAACAACTAAAATACAGCTTAATATCCTTAATTTAGATACATTTTAAATCTTAACTTTAGCAATTATCTTTTCCTTTGGCTTCTCTGGGCAACTAGATTTCAACTCATGACTTGATTAAGCCATCTCCATTTTGAACTTTCTGAAAAAACGGAAGAAAATCTCTGATTTTTCATAGTAAAACATAAATTTAATTACTGGTAGGTATATATTCTACTTGCTTTTTTTGAAAGCTTTAGGGAGAATTTCAACCTCTGCATTAAAAGTCAGTAAGAAAAAGCTCTTACGACAATAACTTTCCCCTAAAAAGCACAAATGCTTCTTTGCCTGTCATTTAAAAAATATTTATTGTGCACTCAATGCAGAAATTGTAATGATATGATGCTCTAGTAGAGTTATAAAATCTTTGACGTAATTATTAGTTTGGAGAAAGTAAAGGCCTAGGTATCAATATCTAAAAATATATAAACATTTTTTTGATCTTAAACAGTCATTCTCAACCTCTTCCATTTTTTCTATTCATACCTCTTATAATTCAAACAGCAAAATATAAATCCTTTGAATTGATTATGTTGCTTGTTTTTTCCAAGTTACTCTATGTTGAAAATAGGAAAAATATATAACTTTCATAAAGTTATATAAGGTAGATGAAAGTAATAGACTTGTGAAGCAAAGTTGTATTCAATAGAGCTAAAACCAAAGTGAGCTCTACTTTAATGTTTAATCAAAGTCCTAAAAATACGGTTGGTCTTAGTAGGCATGAGTTTTCTAGAAAGAGTACTATTTTGTTGAATTTTGGCATAGAGGAAAAGTAATGTTTTATATCTTTTGATTTTATACATGAAAATAAAAATGATTTTTACCACTTTTAATGGACCTCTGTCTTTTAGGAGCACATCTGACTTCACGTTAGAGTTATATATTAAGTTTTCTCAAGCTACATATTCTTTACTGAGATGCTTAATATTTCACATATCATATAAAAGGAAGATTGTTCTTTAATTTACTAAGGTAAAATTAACCAAAAGTAATTTAAATTTCAGTTATTAGTGTAGCAATCTGTAGGAATTAGGTAGACTCTGAGTTTGAATTGGAAACTTGCTTGTATTTAGTTGTGTTTTTTTAAGGTAAAATAATGTGCTTACAAAGACATGGAATCAACCTAAATACCCATCTATGATAGACTGGATAAAGAAAATATGGTACATGGAATACTTTGCAGCCATAACAAGAATGAGATCATGTCCTTTGCAGGGACATGGGTGAAGCTGGAAGCCATTATCCTCAGCAAACTAATGCCGGAACAAAAAGCCAAACACCACATGTTCTCACTTATAAGTGGGAGCTGAACAATGAGAACACAAAGACACAGGGCGGGGAACCACACACCCTGGTGCCTGTCAGGGGAGGTGATGGGAGGGAGAACATCAGGATAAATAGCTAATGCATGCAGGGCTTAATACCTAGGTGATGAGTCGGTAGGTGTGGCAAACCACCATGGCACACGTTTACCTGTGTAACAAACCTGCACATCCTGCACGTGTATCCCAGAACTTAATAATATGCTTACACTTGATGTGTATATAGGTAGCCATTGTTTGTACATTCATTCATTCATTTAACAGATATGCATTGAACACCTACACTATGGCAAGAACTCCATTTTAATTATTTTGCTACAGCGTAAGTTGCTATTTGGCTTTGTCAGTGGCAAATACATTATTCCAGCCAGGAGGACTTTGCAAGCTCTATAGCTTTTTTCTTGGTGAGCTGATAATTTTAATGGAAGTCATTTGCTACTCCAAAAGCTTTGCATGAATGCTGCATAGGAATAATTAGAAGCTGTAACAAGGAGTCAATTCTTTGTACAAATATTTATCTCACATAACTTTATATGATTGAAGATAATACATCGGTGCTTCTAAGATCCCACCTAAACACAATTTCTTTACAAACCTGTCAAAATTATTGAGTATCCGCTGTGTAAAAATACAGAAATAAAAAAGATAAATATTACATATATACATACATATATATACACATACATATGTGAAACAATGTAATCAATCTTGAGATAACAAAAAACACATAGAACTTCAAGTCTTGTCATTAGATACACTAAATCTGTGGGAAATTGGCAATGAAAAAGTTATGACCAAAATGAATTGCTTCTGAGTTTTTAGCCATTTTTTTCAGTCAGTTGGGACATTCATATGTGAGGATTATGGAATGTAAGGAATGACAGAAATTGGTAGAGCAGCGAAATCTAGTCTCCCAGTTTGCAGTTTTGCCAAGAATTGCGGTGAGAGATTGTATGTCATTAATTTCATCTTGGGGCTTCCTTTTGATATACCACTCCAATTTTGAGCAAGTTATCATGAAAAACATGGATCACTTAGATGTGAATGAGAGTAACTTGAATAATGTAACTGGGCATCTAATTAATATAAGTTCTTGAAGAAACAAAACCAACTAGATTCAGAAGGCCTTGATTAGAAAAGGTGCTTTTGAAACTATTGTTAATAATGCTAAATACAATAACTTGACTAAAACTTTTATTAATAATTACCATGTGGCAAGTACTCTACCAATCATCTTGTATGTCTTTTCTCATTTAACCCTCACATAGGTGGATGTGTTATCATTATCTTCATATAGATGAGGAAAGGGAGACTCAAATTGATAAAATAAATTTGCTCATAGTGACACAGTTAATAATTAGAAGAAGTAGTCTTGATTAAATCAGAGGCAGGTGAGTCTTGGTTTTAAAAACCCATGTTCTTAACCATTATAATGGTGTTTCTCAAAGTATGTTTTGTAGACCACAAACATTGAAATTATATTAGGTAACTATATTAAAAGGTTCCTAGGTCCCATACCAGACCTTCTGAATCAGATTCCTTGGGTATGGGATCCAGGGCTCTGAATTTTTAACAAGCTTTTCAAGGTGATTCTTACGGACGCTAAAGTGTGAGAACCACTGCACTACCAGGGCTGAGGGTCAAGTTAGGCCAACTACCCTTCCCCTCAACCAGAAGGGCCACCCTGAGAGTAGGTCTGAGAGGAAGCCATCCAACAGTAAAGGTAATGGGAAAAGACGTTATTACTTTGATTATGAAAAGACAGTTTAGTTGGAGATTCTTTAGTCATAGTATACATTATAGAAATAACTTCAGACTCGAATTTGATTGCTGTCATTTATGGAACTGTTCTCGGAACCATAGATTGAGAAAAACAACGTTGTATCCTTTCTCCTAAGCTCAGAAATGCTCAGTAACTTGACCTTCAGCTTTGGCACCAACTTCCCTTTCCTTGCACCAGAAGAATTCTTCCAACAGAAGGCAAGAAAAGAGAAGATCCAAGAAGATGGACAGTGAGAAAGGGAATTGGCATTTTCGTAGGAAAGAGGACTACTTCAGAGAGAGGTTCCTAAAATTGAGGTGTAATGAAGGCTTGTCTTCCTCACAGGGTGGAGATCAGATTGGATACAGATATGAACGTGCATATTGCCTTGCAAAGAAGCTTTCTAAGGACATTAAACAGTGAGAAATGGTCAGTTGTGGCACCAGGACGGAGATTTATGCCAAAGAATCTTATCGGAAGTAGATTCCATCCATTTTCAGTGCCAGCACCAAAATGTTCCACCCATAATTTTAGGATTGCCCTGGGGCAAGCTGGGAGGTGTCTGTGGTGTAAATTAGCTTTTTCCCTTCTCAGATCTGTCTTCCTTTCCCTTCCATGTTATCTACATTTCATAAGTTATCTATACAGTTTAAACACCTCTTTTGTTTTACTTTGCTTTGTTCTATTTTATTGACCATTCTTTGACACTTGCCATGTGTGTTTTGAATTCCAAAGTCAATTTCAAGATGGTTTCCATTGTTAAGAATTTGAAGCAAAAGACTGTGAGGAAAGCAAATATAGAAATTTCTTAGGGAAAACATGATTGTAATAAAGTATATGTTAGTAAATATTTTTCTGCTCTATAGCAGTGGTCTTACTATTCCTTCCTAAGGGAATTTCTTTATTGTTTTTTCAATTTTTAATACAAAATAAGTGCATCTGAAGGGGAGGAAGAACTCTTAAAAGCTCCAATGATTGGGTGAATCCTTATGGAAAAATCATAAAAAGAAAAAACCCGGCTGTCAGAGTTAGAGTATCTAATTTCCTTTTCTCTGCCAGATATTTTATTTGCCTGTTGAAATCTCTGATTGTTATATTATCTCCTATGCTGTAGATTTTTAATCTTTGGAATGTAGACTACTTCAAGATCTGAGTTATTATTATTCAGTAATGACAAGAGTATTTGGCCATTGTCAGATCATTTGGCCAAAAGAGATCCTGTTTGCCTAATTCTTTTTCTTATTTCTTGACTCAGTTGTGTAATATTGTCACTTGTACCCTGTTTATAGTTCTATCTGTGTAAAAACCAAATTATGAGTTACTTAAAGGTAAGTTCTTTAATATTATGCTTTGTTTAATCAGTATAAAACAACTTTTCAAAGTGTTGTTCTACAGTTCTGAGATAAGCATCTCAAGTAGCTTTTAAATTAGTTCCCCACACCTAAATACAAGTGAGAATTGTACATTTTTCTGCTTGTCATCAACTGCCTCTTCTCCTCAGTCTTAACCATGTTTCACTAACCATGCCCATCTGTTGTGTCTTATTAAGAATCTGTACACCATCAGCTTCACACTTTTGGAGTATTGTACAAAAGCTTCATGGAGAATGTGACTATGTTTTAAATGAGGTGAAATTTTCCTCCCCAGGTAGGGACTAGTTTTGTTTCTCACTTGAAATTGAGACATTTCAGAAGATTATTATGAGTATGAAATCTGATTTCAGAATACATTACAATCATTCTCTTGACAGAAAATTTAATCAGAATATTTAAAGCATTGTTCTACAATGAAGCAATTTGTCAGTTTTATCAGTAGATTCTTCAAATAAATATATAAATTTTAAAATTTTTCAAAAAAATGTTTTTCTCTGGCTGGGCACAGTGGCTCATGCCTGTGATCCCAGCACTTTGGGAGGCCAAGGCACGCAGATCACTTGAGGTCAGGAGTTCAAGACCAGCCTGGCCAACATGGTGAAACCTCTTCTCTACTAAAAATACAAAAATTAGCCGGGCATGGTGCTGCATGCCTGTAATCCCAGCTACTCAAGAGGCTGAGAGGCGAGAGAATTGCTTGAAACCAGGAGGCGGAGGTTGCAGTGAGCCAAGATTGCGCCACTGCACTCCAGCCTGAGCAACAGAGCGAGACTCTGTCTCAAAAAAGAAAAGAAAAAATATGTTTCTCTTCCTTTGTTTGCCTTATTTACCAATAAAATCTGAAATCCCAAACTGCTTCTATAGGTCAGGCAATATCAGTAATTTTTATTTTAGTGTTTTATATTAACTGCTGCTTAAAATCTGTGGGGATAATCTGCTGTATTTTGGGGTGTTTATACAGAGGCTTTGACAATGGTAATGATGGCGGTGATAGATTTTCTTGGAAGACAGTGGCCTGAGAAGACTCTCTTGGCTTTATAGCTACCTAGGTGGAGGTCTCTTGTTATGGTCCTTCCTAGAATGGCCTGTGCATATCTCCCAGTGCTTTCTTGCTATTTTACAATTCTATAAACTATAGGTCTGTGTCATGTACTAGACTGAACTCTGTGGGGGCAAAGAATGTTTCTTATTTATATTTGTATCTCTAGTACATGGCAGAATGCATACCCCACAGCATATTGTAAATACTCTATCAATGTTTATTAAGAGATTGAGAAGACCAGGTGCAGTGGCTCACACCTGTAATCCCAGCACTTTGGGAGGCCAAGGCAGGAGGATTGCTTAAGCTTAGGAGTTCGAGACCAGCCTGGGCAACACAACCCTGTCTATACTAAAAATGCAAAAAAAAAAAAAAAAAATAGCCTGGTTTGGTGCTGCGTACCTGTGGTCCCAGCTACTCAGGAGGCTGAGGTGAGACGATCACTTGAGCCTTGGGGGCAGAGGTTGCAATGAGCCAAGATTGCGCCACTGCACTCCAGCCTGGGTGACTGAGCGATACTGTATCCAACAAAAAGAGAGAGAGATTGAGAGAATTAACACTCTGACATTGACAATTACTGTTTTGAATTATCAAAACAGTGGACCAAGATAGAGTTGGCCAAGAACATATTTATATTACTTTTAACTATTTCTCTGTTAATAATGGCTCTAGTTGTTCATTTACTAAGGAATGTGTTGTTTTTCAATTTACCAAGAAGGTTCAACATTCTAAATGTATTTATATGCACATAATTTTGTTCAGGAATATTTATGTTTTGGTTATTATATGAATTCAAGCTACTTTTTTTACCTACTCTCCCTCTGTACAACTCACCAGTTTTAACATTCCATGAGGATAACTAACATAGTAGTTGTCGCCATTTTTTAAATGTTTTTAGAGAAACTCATTAAGGTTAATGGAAAGAAACAGGGACAAGTCATTCAAAATGCAAAATTCAGTTTGTTTCTGAACTGCATTTCTTAATGTTTCTGAAATGTCTGTTCTGAAATTTTGTTTCACATTGTGCCTTATTTATTACTGGTGATTTTGGCATTTCAAATAAAATTTTAAAATTATGCTATGGAATTCTTACCTGAGTTACTCGTAAGCTAGTTGCCCAATTCTCATTTAATTTTCTGACTTAATCTTTTCTCAGACCCATTTTATGTTCTTATACTCTAGATGTTTAGCTAACTTAAATTTCCCTTGAGAGATAAATAGAAACTTTAAAAAAGGACTTTTGTATTATTTTAATCTGAAGATAGAAATGGAAAGAAACCTCAGTATGCTCTTTGTTTTCCAATAGCCTAAGAATAAATTTATGCAAATACTTATTGAGCATCTGTTACTTATAAGTCCTTATTCTTAGTGCCATGGACTACAACTTGTATAAGATGTGTTTTTTTACTTTCAATTATTTTGAATAAATGAGACATATTTACATAACAAAGCTTAAAGAGCAAGGCAGGATTTTTAAAAATGAGATGGCATTTGAATTGGAACTTGAAGGACTATTGAAAATATGTAGTCTGCCTGACTGGTATTTTTGGATAGATCTTGAATTATCACTGCCTTTGCTGATAAACTCTCATTTTGGGTGCATGTTTTTTCCGTTTTGGTAAATATTGCTGGTTTTGTAGTCTTTGAGGTGATTTTGCATATGTTTACTCTGATTCATTCATATGCAGATTTTATTAATTAGAATATACTGGGGGTCTTTTTGGGTTTTGTTTTGTTTTGTTTTTGAGACAGGGTCTCACTCTGTTGCCCAGGCTGAAGTGCAGTGGTGCAGCCATGGCTCACTGCAGCCTCAACCTCCCAGCCTCAAGCGATCCTCCCACCCCAGCCTCCAGAGTAGCTGGGACTACAGACACATGCCACCATGCCTGGCTAATTTTTTTATTTTTTGTAGAGCTGGGTCTCATTATGTTGCCCAGGCTGGCCTCGAGGTCCTGGCCTCAAGCGATCCGCCTGCCCTGGCCTCCCAAAGTGCTGGGATTACAGGCATGAGCCACCATGCCTGGCCAGAGTAGAAGTAATAGATTTTTATTTCTACAAGGATGGAAGAGAATTGGTGGGGGGAGGTGGGGAGTAAGTGTCAGATGAAAGTAACAGCATGAGCTCCAGAGTACAGAAAGTTATGAGGTTTATATGAGAACAAAGCAGTTCAGGTTGGCTAGAGCAAATGGAAGAGGAAAGGTAGATAGGAGGAGGAGATGTAATAAGAACAGAGAGTAAGGGAATAAAATGGGCTGCAACTATACGTCATGCAGGTTCAGTATTCTGACTAGGCTAAGGAGTAACATGGGCTTAATTAATTCCATAGGCGTGGAAGAGCTATTAAGAATATTTAAATAAAAAATGACCTTCTTGAAGTTCTGCTTTAGAAAGATGATTTTAATTTACTTATTTATTTTTTCATTTTTATTTTATTTATTTATTTATTTATTTATTTATTTATTTATTTATTTATTTATTTTTGAGACAGAGTCTTGCTCTGTCACCCAGGCTGGAGTGCAGTGGCGTGAGCTCGGCTCACTGCAACCTCCGCCTCCTGGGTTCAAGTGATTCTTCTGCCTCAGCCTCCCTAGTACTAGGACTACAGGTACGCACCACCACGCCCGGTTAATTTTTGTATTTTTAGTAGAGACAGGGTTTCACCATATTGGCCAGGCTGGTCTCAAACTCCTGACCTCGTGATCCACCCGTCTTGGCCTCCCACCAAAGTGCTGGGATTACAGGCATGAGCCACTGCACTGGGCCTGGAAAGATTAATTTGTATTAGAATCGAGAGATACGGCCGAGTGCAGTGGTTCACACCTATAATCCCAGCACTTTGGGAGGCCGAGGCAGGCAAATCACTTGAGCCTAGGAGTTCGAGACCAGCCTGGGCAACATGGCAAAACTCCATCTCTACAAAAAACACAAAAATTAGCCAGGCACAGTGGCATATGCCTGTAGTCCTAGCTACTCAGAGGCTGAGGTAGGAGAATCACCTGAGCCCGGTGATCAAGGATGCAGTGAGCCATGACCACACCACTGCACTCCAGCTTGGGTGACAGAGTGAGGCCTTGTCACAAAAAAAAAAGAAGAAGAAGAAGAATTAGGAGATACTAGAGCCATAGTGATTATTTTAAGAAGTACTACAGTAACCAAATGAAATGGGTCAGTACTAATATGAGGTAATAGCAACAGAACTCATTTGGGGAAGAGGTGGTAGGGGAATGAGCCAGATGGGAGAGAGATTCCAGAAAGAAAATGCAGAGCCCGGCATTCTTTTCCAAAAACATAAGAATAAATGAAAGGTTAACATGTGTCAGAGAAGGATTTGAAAATCAAATGCTTGATCCAGATACCTTTGTATTAATACTATCTATAGAACATCTTTGCCAGTTACATGATTTGCTGTCTTTTAATGGCCAGTTTGTGTGATACTGATTACATGATCATTTTTTCATTTTTATTTACTTTCATAATCTTCTTTATTAAGTTTTACTATCATTGGAGCTATTCTTTAGTCTCTTATCTGTTATTGTCGGTGCCTTTTAATTTTGCAATTTTACTGTTATTGGAGACATTTTTTGTCTCTCATCTGTTATTGTTGGCCCCTTTTAATTTGCAATATTAGTCTGATTTGACTTTTGCCTTTTCATCTACCTCCCATGTTCTAGACATGGCTTGTTAAGTAGGAGAACACACACGCAACCCAACTCTTGTGAAGGGAAATACAGTGTAAGGTTACAAAGATGTCTCATGGTAATTCAAGGATAGGAAGTGCAGCTTAGGCAGGCATCGTGGGAACCAGAAAGCTAAAAGATACCTTTTTTCTTAAAAGAGTAGTGTTGTTCTTTTTATTGGCCTCTCTGCTTCTTGAGACACATCTGTCTATGCCTCCTCACTGTCCCAGCTGGCTTCCTCCGTCGCTTATTCCTTTTACAATGGCTCAAACGCATTCTCCATTTTTTAAAGCTCTTTCAGCTCAGTTCCACACAGCTCACTGGCAGCTTCCGTCTTTGTCTCTCATTTTCCCAAGAAAGGGAATCTGATTCACCCACCTCACTTTTCAATCCAAGTCACAGAATCCTTCCTGAGCCATTAGCCTTTCAGCTAAAAGTAATAAAAACCTGATTCAAATTGGCTAAGAAATGAGGAAATGTATTATCTCCTGTAACAGGAAATCCAAAGGAGGGGCAACTTTTAGAGTTGATTGGAGACGCAACCGTGTCAAGGAGACACAGGTTCTTTGCATCTCCTCACTCTGCCAGCCTCAGCTTTATCTTTAGTAAAATGGCTACAGCAATTTCAGGTGTCACATCCAGATATTCAGAAAACCGAATGGCCATTTCTTCCTGTGGCTTTTTCTTAGGCGTGAGAAAACATTTTCCTAAAATCTGCCCTGAAAATGAACCTCATGTTTCATTGGCTGGATTTGCAGTTAGAGACCTGTTTGGATTAATAAGCTCTGTTGGTGAGAAAGAGAAACCACCAAAATATACCATTTCTATACCCATCACTGGCCAGGGGGAAGGATTGCCCTGAGACGAAATCAGGCCCATTTGTGAAGTTGGGATTGAGGTCATTTTCCTCGGTGGTTAATGAAGCCTTGTATCTGGAGGGTGGAAGGGAATGGCAGTCTACTGATGGGGTCCCAGAAAAGCCCTTAGGTCCATATGCACCGTGTATAAGCTCTTCTTCTAAAATGAAAATTACTGTGAGAATTTTACCTGAAGAAAATTGAGTTTACTGCAACTATCTTTGGGTCAGGTGTGTACCTGTGTAGTATATATTACATACTTAGTGTTTATACTATGCATGGTGTAAAACCAGGCCACTTTGTGCTATGAGTGAGGACTCCCCAAAAGGGCATGGCAGACAGGTACCCTGAAATATATCTGGTATATACCTCTTTGAGATCAGTCTTCTGAAATCTTATAGATACAGTCCTTCCTCAGATTTTCCATAATGAATTATATTGATTTCAGTTAAACACTGCTTCAATTTTGTCATAAAAAATATTTAGCAGTCAGTCACATGAAATTTTTACAAAGTTTGGAATATCTTTTAGGGAAAAGTTGCTTGGCCACAATGACTGTACCATGTGAGATTATAGTACCAGTAAAGACATACTTTCCAAAACTTGAACCTAATGGATTTAATATCCAAGCTGTGAAGTTGGCTTTTTTTTTTTTTTTTTTTTTTTTTAGTTCTTGTTTTGTTTAAGAGATGAGGTCACACTGTAGTTTCCCAGGCTGGATTTGAACTCCTGGCCTCAAGTGATTCTCCTGCCTCAACCTCTTGAGTAGCTGGGATTAAGGCACACACCACCGTACCCAGCTGAGCTGTGTTATCTAATATGACTTTCAGGATTCCTAGTAAGGAGTGTCACACTTTGCATGGTATCTTGCTGAGTTTGTGCATACCAGTCGAGATGAATCTAAAAATACTGAGTATATACTCTTTCTCTTTGCTTGGTACAGCATGCAAGCAGAAGATTCAAAATACATCATTGAAGAATAAGACTATTTATGCATCACAAGGAATATACTGCACTAGGTTAGAAGCCCAGAAAGTTCTTCTTTTTAAAGATGTATGTCAATACCCATACCAGCAGTTTGAGATTGATTGACTGATTGATTTTTTATAAGCCTTATTGCTAACAGAGAGAAGCCACAGAATGGGGAAGAGGGAAAAGAAAAGGAAGCAGGAAGAGCACTAAAGACAGCTGTCTTCTTTTCAGTTTTACCAAGAGCCCTGATGCCTACTTTTGAAAATGGTTTTAGATACTTCTATAAGCCAATATTTCCTACATGTTCTACAGAAGCCAGTCCCTGACCAGCTCCTTTAAAAAGGATTCTGTAGTCACAAATACCATAGTGGAAAATATTAAATTCTTCTTCTGGGTATTTACACTGCATGTTAGTAAATTAAAAGACTGAGACTGTGTATTAGTTGATTCTCATACTGCTATTAGGAAATACCTGAGACTGGGTAATTTATAAAGAAAAAGAGGTTTAATGGACTCACAGTTCCACATGGCCAGGGAGGCCTTACAATCATGGCAGAAGGCGAAGGAGGAGCAAAGGCACATCTTACATGGCAGCAGGCAAGAGTGCATGTGCAGAGGAACTGCCCTTTATAAAACCATCGGATCTCGTGAAACTTACTATCATGAGAACATCATGGGAAAACCCTGCCCACATGATTCAGTTTACCTCCCACCAGGTCCCTCCCATGACATGTTGGGATTATGGGAGCCACAATTCAAGATGAGATTTGGGTGGGGACACAGCCAAACCATATCAGTCTGTAATAAATAACTCAAATTTCTTTAATCCTATATTTTCCAAACTTTCTTAGTCACCAAATGTCTCTTTTCACATACATCTTTTAACATCTTGCAGGGCACACTGGGAACTGCTAAGGTCAGAGAGGAGTGTTCTTGAGCAGAGGAATGACATTATGAAAGCAGTGTTTTAGTCAAAGTAATGTATATAGGATGATTGGAGACAGAAGAGATTGGAAACGTAAGATCCTGTTTGGAAGCTATTGGAATATTTTGGGATAAAGAAGATGTCACAGATGGATAATAATAGCAAATATTCATTCGTCAATTCAGCAAATATTTATTAAGCACTAACTATATGACAAGCATTGTTCCAGATCCAGGGGATACAGAGAGAAAACAGTTCAAAATCCTTGTCCACATTCACATCCTAAGCGAGGGAAAAAAACAGTAAAACAGACACATATATAAAATGGCAAGTGGTGAAGAGTACCAAAAAGAGAAACAGAGCAGGGTAAAGGGGCCAGGTGCGGTGGCTCACACCTATAGTCCCAGCACGTTGGAAGGCTGAGGTGGGTGGATCGCTTGAGCCGAAGAGTTTGAGACCAGCCTGGGCAATGTGGCAAAATGTCATCTCTACAAAAAATTAGGCCCAGCACAGTGGCTCACGCCTGTAATCCCAGCACTTTGGGAGGCCGAAGCAGGCAGATCTCTTGAGCTCGGTAGTTTGAGACCAGCCTGGGCAACATGGCGATACCCTGTCTCTACAAAAGATACAAAATAGTAGCTGGGCATGGTGGTGTGTGCATGTAGTCCCAGTTACTTGGGGGGCTGAGGCAGGCAGATTGCTTGAGCCCAGGAGATCAAGGCTGCAGTGAGCCGTGATCATGCCATTGCACTCCAGCCTGGGAGATGGGCGAGACCTTGTCTCAAAAATACAATAAAACAAAATATTTTTAAAATAGCAAGTGGTGAAGAGTACTAAAAAGAGAAATAAGGTAAAGGGGCCAGGCACAGTGGCTCATACCTGTAATCTCAACACTTTGGGAGGCTGAGGCACGTGGATTTCTTGAGCCCAGGAGTTCAAGACCAGCCTGGGCAACATGGCAAAACCCCATCTCTACAAAAAATACAAAAAATTAGCCAGGTGTGGTGGTATGCGTCTATAGTCTCAGCTACCCAGGAGGCTGAGGTGGGAGGATCACCTGAGTCCGGTAGTCTAGGCTGCAGTGAGTCGTGATCACACCACTGCACTCCAGCCTGGGCAACAGAGTGAGACCCTATTTCAAAAAAAAAAAAAAATAGTAGGGTAAAGGTAGAGTCTCTGAGGTGGTGGTTAGAGGGAGACCTTTCTGATGAGTGGTCATTTAAGCAGAAAAGTTAGGAATTAAGTTAGGAAGAAAGCAATGTGGATATCTAAACACAGAGAACAGCCAGACGAAGGCCTTGAGGTCAGAACCCAAGACTAGAGGGTGGTAGAGGGTGGTGGGAGATGCAGGGAGGCGTGGTGAGGCATGGGAAGGGACAGGATATGGTTGAGATCACATGGGGTCTAATAGACCATGGTAGAGACTTGGAATTTTGTACTGAGTGAGACTGGAAGCCAGTGGAGCATTTTGAGCAGAGCCGTGTCATGGAAAGACTCATTTTTTCAGTGGTTACTTTGACTTCTGTGTGGAGAACAGACTGGAGTGGAGCTGGAGTAGAGAGAGGAGACTGGTTAGGAGCATTGCCACAGTCCAGGCATGAGACGATGGTGTCTTGGCCTTAGGTGGTCATGGTGCAGGTGGTAGGAAGCAAGAGCTTCGGGGTACGTTTTCAAGGTAGGAGTTGACAGAAATGGATGACACCATGCTCCAGATTTTAAGTGTTTAAGCCTAATTATTTGATCCTTATAAAAACCTTTGGGAATGGATAGAGTTATTATCACTGTTTTGCATTTGAGGAGACTAAAGCACAGAAAAGTAGCTTGCCTGAGATCATACAGCCAATAAGTGGTGGCACTGGATTTGAAGCTTCAGATCCTGTGCTCTAATCATTATGCTACACCCTCCCCCACTCCCCACTCTCCAGGGAGGAAGTAGAAGGAAACCCTGGGCCAGGGCCAAATAGCACATAATGCCTCTGCCTTCCACCTTCCAGCCAGTAAGTGCAAAATTCCTAAGAAATGAAATCAAAATTTCTCCTCTTTAATCAGCTTTTAAAGTGTTGACCTAGTTCTGCATAACCTTGTCCTTTTCTGTATTTTTCTATGGAACAATTTTTGGAAGACTTTCAGAGTTTTGGGGGGCAAATCGTGTCTTCTATTTTTCACCAAAGGGAAAGATTGGGGCAGGGTAAACTGGTAGTGGGCAGACTGGAGTGTGGGAGAGCATGAAATAAGAACCAGGTATTCGGCCAGGCACGGTGGCTCACACCTGTAATCTTTGGGAGGCCGAGGCGGGCGGACCACTTGAGGTCAGGAGTTGGTGACCAGCCTGGCCTACATAGTGAAAGCCTGTCTCTACTCAAAATACAAAAATTAGCTGGGCATGGTGGCACACGCCTGTAGTCCCAGCTACTAGGGAGGCTGAGGCAAGAGAATAGCTTGAACCTGGGAGGCGAAGGTTGCAGTGAGCCAAGATCGCGCCACTGCACTGCAGCGTGGGCGACAGAGCGAGACTCCATCTCAAAGAAAAAGAAACCAGGTATTCTTTCAGGGTTAATTCTGACAGTTTTTTGAAACATTCTATTCCCCCCATCACCACCCCCCCCACACACACACCTCTACACCCCTCCCATTAGAGAAATGGGATAGCAATCAAGGCATTGTACACTGTCTTTTGTTTCTCTGCCTAAGATGGCCTAACTACTTTGATTCTGATGGGTTTAGTTGGAACAGCGGAACTCTTAGTACTGCTGATCGTATCACCCTTTCTTTTCCTTTTCCCCTATTAGCTTGGGAGCTTGGGGACTTTAGAGCACTTTCAGGAAGGGAGAAGACAATTCTAAGAATTTACACATTTGAAGTATTTTTTTCCATTTACAGTGGCTCTAAGCTAACCAAGTAAATCAAGGTTAAATTAAATATCTCCCACAATCCTACAGTCCACTGAACTCTGCTTCTAAAATAGTGGACTTGGAGAATGGTTGAAGTAAGAAAGGAATGGATCCAGATGCTGTAGGAATTTGGTAGGATTTGGTGATGTACCAGGGATACTATGGGGCAAGTGTAGACCAGGGATGGGATGGAATGATCACAGTAAGGCCAGAGTGGGTAGGAGATATTAGAATCAACATTTAGAAATGTCAGAAGTTCAAGACCAGCCTGGGCAACATGGCGAAACCCCATGTTTACAAAAAAAAAAAATACACACACACTAGCCGGGTGTGGTGGTGTGTGCCTGCTGCAGTCCCAGCTACTGGGGTAGGAGGTGTGTGGTGGGGGTGCTTCTGAGGTTGGAGGAAAGTAGAGACAGCGAAACCCTGTCTCTACTAAACCTTGAGCTCAGGAGATCAAGGCTGCAGTGACCGTGATTGCGTCACTGCACTCCAGCCAGGGTGACAGAGCAAGACCCTGTCTCAAAAAAAGAAAAAAAAAGGAAAAGAAATATCGGGGCTGGGCGTGGTGGCTCACGCCTGTAATCCCATCACTTTGGGATGCCAAGGCGGGCAGATTGCCTGAGGTGGGGAGTTTGAGACCAGCCTGACCAACATGGAGAAACCCCATCTATACTAAAAATACAAAAAAATTAGCGGGATGTGGTGGCACATGCCTATAATCCCAGCTACTCACGAGGCTGAGGCAGGAGAATCACTTGAACCCGGGAGGCAGAGGTTGTGGTGAGGTGAGATTGTGCCATTGCACTCCAGCCTGGGCAACAAAAGCAAAACTCCATCTCAAAAAAAGAAAAAAAGAAAGAAAGAAAAAGAAAAAAAAAAAGAAAAGAAATATTGGAAAAGCACTAAACCTATGGTTCTGTTTTCCATGGACTTTGGTTCTCCATGCATTGCTCTCTAAGTTACTAGACCACCGTTAAGGGTCAGAACCTTGGAGAGTTCCAGGCAGTAGACGCTTTACAATGTGTGTGACTACTGCACTAGCATGAAATGGACAGGATGAAGCTAGTATAAATGATGCTGAAGCAGACCTCTCATGTGCTTTCTGTTGAAATCTCCAAGTTTAAAAGGCTGCCACCTCTACCTCCCCGCAACCTCAAGGAGATGTTGGTGCAGTGAAATATTTCAGTCCATCTTGTGAAAGAGGCATGAAATCAGCATAGTTACCGTAGGGTTTCTGTTAAATTTTGATGTTGTAGAGGGGTGTTGGAGTTCCTTTCAGGTTCTGTGCTTTCTCCTGAGGTCTTTTCTAAGGGTATGGTATTGCTTCTCTGTTATTTCCTGACCTGTTATAAAATTAATTGGAATCTTTGTAGGGTTGGAAGAGTGAGTTTGCCTAAATCTACCCTTGTCGTTTTCTGGTAAGTGCTTATATTTGTAACAGAAAGATTAAAAAAAGATACTGTATGTTATACAGATAGTTTGTAAAAGCTGAAGGTAAGTTTAGGCTGTTGCTAGCCATAACAGACTTTTGCAGTATAATTAAGTTAAGGCTATCTCTGCTTTTTACCACCTCTAATTTCAGTAATCTTGTTTTGTTTTGTGGCACTAAAATAAATCTAGACACTTAAATTTTCATTGTTACAATCTCTTTTTCTTCAGTTTTAGGAAAAATGATGGTTTTCACATCAGATTACTAAATTTCTGATGCTTTGATTAAAATTTCATCATACTGTTTTTAAAAATGTTTAACCATCTGCATTTATGATGTCATATCAGGCTAAAAATAGGAACTTGAGTGTAAATATTAGGAAACACCTAACTAGCAAATCCTGGGCATAATAATAGCAGAGAGCAGAAAATTATATGAAAATAGAATTTTTTGCAGATAAATAGTCATGACATATTTACACTCTGTATTACAGTTCCAAGATGTAGTCATTATCTTTTTTATTTTATTTTATTTATTTATTTATTTATTTATTTATTTATTTATTTATTGAGACAGAGTCTTTTTCTGTTGCCCAGGCTGGAGTGCAGTGACACGATCTTGGCTCATCGCAACCTCCGCCTCCCAGGTTCAAGCAATCCTCATGCCTCAGCCTCCCGAGTAGCTGGGATTACTGGCTAATTTTTGTATTTTTAGTAGAGATGGGGTTTCGACATGTTGGCCAGGCTGGTCTCAAACTGCTGTCCTCTGGTGATCCACCCATCCCGGCCTCCCAAAGTGCTGGAAGACCATGCCCGGCCGTAGTCATTATCTTTTTATACTATTTGAGAGAACAGGAGCATTACAGTAAAATTCCTAAGTAGCCAACTGATTTGCAGTGCCAGAAATGAATACCGATCCTAAAAGGTGTGTGATGAAAAGGCAGTCTCCAGCATTACATTAGCATTTCAATTAGATTTTGGAGATGATTTAGCTATGGATAACAATAATAGGGATCAGTGAGAAATATGTAAGATTTTTAAATGATACTGATCAATAGTTATTGTTGGTTATCTTTTTTTTTTTTTTTTTTTTTGAGTCAGGGTCTCACTCTGTCGCCCAGGCTGGAGTGCGGTGGCACAATCTCAGCTCACTGCAACCTCCACCTCCTGGGCTCAAGCAATTCTCCTGCCTCACCCTCCCATGTAGTTGGGATTACAGGCATGTGCCCACCACGTCCGGCTTGTTTTTGTATTTTTAGTAGAGATGAGGTTTCACCATGTTGGCCAGGCTGGTGTTGAACTCCTGACCTCAAGTGATCTGCCCATCTTGGCCTCCCAAAGTGCTGGGATTATAGATGTGAGCCACCACACCAGGCCACTGCAACACATTTCTATGTAATGTTTAAGATCACTGGGGTAAGGCCATAGTTGTATGTCAGTGGTAGATCTTGTGGCATATAAATAAATTATATTGAATTTGAGAGAAAGAGAATAGATAACAATTAATTCGAGAATGACATTTCAAGCTAATTTTTAGAATATAGAAAATGTAGATTTTTTTTCTTTATTCTATTCAGCAAACATTAAGTGCAAGTCCTACCCAGACAGGAGTCAGGAAAGGCTTTCTTAGTGAGATGATACTCTGAAATTAGTCTTGAAGGATGAGCAGGAATTCTTACAGTGAGGAGGGTGGAGATATTCAGAGGGAATGGTAAGGGCTCTATGTAGGAAGCTCTTCTCAGTATGGAATAACTAAAGTAAGGAGTGTGTGTGTGTGTGTGTGTGTGTGTTTGTGCACACGCATGCATGTCCATCCACATGCACAAGGGAAAGAGAGACACTTCCGTGTAAATGCTTAAGGATTCATCACATTTTTGCAGCTTCATAGTATTCCATATAGTATGATTATATGCCATAATTTATTTAACCATTCCTCTTTTGATAGATATTTGTTTTCTGGTTTGGGCTATTTCAAATAATGTTGCACTGAACAAACTTGCACATGTGTTCTTGCAAACTTGTGACTGTAATTCTGTGTCAAGGGTTAAGGTTTGGTTTTGGTAGTCACCATTGATAAATTTGAGTACACACCTTAGGTCTGAGCTATGACCAGTCACACTTCATTATATTTTATAATTTTTGAGTCCTCATCTATTTTGATCAAATTAAAGATGTCTTCAGTTTCCGATCATATGGGAGCTTATTGTGCCATGGTAACAACTTTGGCTTGTAGTCCGAGTGACGTGGGAAGCCATTGGAGGATTATTGGCAGAGGACTGATAGAACTGTTTCTAAAGATTGCTCTGGCTACTCTGTCAAGAATGGAAGACAGAGATGCAAAGATAAAAGGAAAACCAGTTAAGAAACTATTCTAATAGTTCAGGCAAGGGATAATCGTGACTTGCACTAGAGGAGGATTGATGCAGTTCAAGAAAAATGGTGGGATTCTGGACATGTCATAGTTAAGAGTTGAAAGGATTTGTTGATGGATTGGATGTGGAGAGAGGGCAGGGTGTGGAGATTAGCTCTAAGATTAGAGTGGCATCATAGATATCCATGTGGAGTTGGTGAATAGACAACTGATAGTTGAGGCTACACATCAGGGTGCCCAATACTTTATTAATGAATGAATAGCTGATAGATAATTCAAGAAGGAAATGTATAAAATGAAAGTTTTAAAGAGAACAAGAATTACAGTTAACTCCTTTACTATGACTCACATGGTCCTTTTCTCTATGCTTCCAAGCAGATCTCATTTTGACTAGAATACAACTAAACTGGTTAAGAGTTTGGACAGGGTGAGAGAGAGAGTGTGTGTGAGCATGCTAGAGGAAATACATTTGTATGTGTATATTTATTTCTCTCAGAATCTAAGTGTCTGTCTCTCAGAATCTAAGACTTGACGTCAGAAAAATTGTTGCTACTAATCTATGTAGAGATATTACAACTTTATGGAATTGTGTTTAATTAAAATTATTATTTTTAAAACTTCTTCATTTTAACTTCCATATAAAATTAGAAATGTTTTCCCAAAATCAGGCATGGTGGTGCATGCCTGTAGTCCCAGCTACTCTGGAGGCTAAGGCAGGAGAATCGCTTGAGCCCAGGAGTTCTAATCCAGCCTGGGCAACATAATGAGACACCCCCCCTCCCGCCCCGCCTCCATCTCTTTTAAAAAAGAAAAAAAAAGAAAGAAAGAAAGAAAAGTTTTCCCACACCAAAAAAATACTAATAGACTGAGTTGGAAAACTTGGTAAACAAGCAATTAGGTTGTTACTCCTTAGCTGTCTTCTGGCTGTGGCAATTTACCCAGTATTTAGACTTTTTGGCCTTTAGACCCTGACTTGGTTTGCCTTTCGAATGCATCATTTCCTTAACCCCCTCCCATCCTCTCTGATCTTGGCTCCCTTTCTCACTGGCCATAGTCTATCTTTCCAAACCCTGCTCCATATTTTCAGCTCCTAAAGTATCTTTTCTACCTTTTTTAATACTTTTTTAATTGATACATGATAGATGTACATACTTTCAGGGTACATGTAATAATATATTCATATAAATTGTAAAGATCACATTTGTGTAATTGGGATATCTGTCACCTTAAATATTTGTCTTTTCTTTATGCTGAAAACATCCTATTATAATTATTCTCCTCCGACTATTTTGAACTGTACATTGGATTATTGTAAATTATAGTCACCCCACTGATCTATCCAACACTAGGTCTCATTTCATCTCTCAAACGGTGGGTTTGTGCTCATTAATCAGCCTCTCTTCATCCCTCCTCCCTGCTGCCACTTTTGCGCCTTTAATCTATGTGTTATGGGGATGTCCATATTTGATAAAACTCTGTCCCATTCATGGCACAAGCTGCAACCTAACTATAGTAGTTTAAAATACTGTGAATGAAATATTTGTCATACATCTGCATGATTAAATTTTCTTCGTGAAACGTAAAGCCAGAAACTCAGTGCATGTGAGTTATAAATCCGTGGTGGTACTGATAGCTTAATCCTGCATATTTCAAAGAATCAAATCCAAAGGGATTGACAGATCACTGGGTTTTTCCAGCTTGTCTGGTTAATAGACACCCTTATTTATATAAAAGTTTAATGGTCCGCAAAATATTTGAATAGCACATGAGGTAAACTGTTGGGAATATTAGTGCGTGATGAACTTTAAATTTAAAGTAGAGAAAGTTCAGAATTTCTGCAAGGCTTGAGCTCCTCTTGGATTTATGCAGTTCTAACAGGACTAAGTATACAATCAAAATTATAAAAGAATCATAATTTTTTCCTTTTTGATGGTTGGCAGAGCTAGCTGGGGCTTTATTTTGGAAAAAAATAATTGAACTGGTTTTTAGTTGGGGGCATGGGCAAGAGTGGGTACCCCAGGCAATAAACTCCTCCAAGGGGCTGAAGGCTAGGGCTGAGCCTCAGGTGGGTTTCCTTTTCCTTATGCTCCCCTGCACAGCTGCCTCCCTGACAGGCTCTGGGACAGCCACAGAAGGGGGTAGGCAGGGAGGGGCTGCCATGGCTGTTCACTTGGACGGGACATCAGAGGACTTAGACATCAGCTTCCCATCATGGATCTTGATCTTCTTCACAATCAGGTCCCTGGAGGAGCTGGGGCAGCTGAAGGAGCCGGAACCCCCACCAGAACCAAAGCTAGAGCCCAGGCCATAGTTGAGACCAGAGCTTGTGAGACCCCTATAGGCCCAGCTCAGCCCACCTGAGTAGCCACTGGTGGTCTTCCTATGGATACTCATATTCTGCATCCCAGACTCCAGCCAGCTTTCCTTGCCCTGCAGCAGCTTGCAGTAGGTAGTGATCTCGATGTCCAGGGCTAAATTGATGTTCATGAGCTCCTGGTACTCATGCAGCTCCCACACCATGTCCTGATTGGCCCATTGCAGGGCGGCCTCCAGCTCCACCAGCTTGGCATTGGTGTGCTTAATGGCCAGCTCCCCACATACTGCTCAGCATCTGATGGCAGCCTCCAGGGAAGCCCTCGGTCTCTGAGGCCCTTTGCTGATGTTCTGGGTCATCTCTGAGATCTCTGTCTTTGTGCAATGCAAGTCATCTCAGTGCTTTCCAGATAGCTCCTGCAACTCCTCATACTTGATCTGGTACATGCTCTCAGCCTTGGCCTGGCTGTGATTGGAGATGTCCTCATACTGGGCACAGACCTTGGTGATGATGCTGTCCATGTCCAGGGAGCAGCTGTTGTCCATGGACAGAACCACAGATGTGTCCAAGATCTGGGACAGCAGCTCCTGGATCTCCTTCATACAGCTGCTTGAGGAAGTTGATCTCATCAGTCAACCCTTCCAGGTGAGACTCCAGCTCTGCTTTGTTCATGTAAGCTTCATCCACATCCTTCTTGATGAAGACAAATTCGTTTTCCTTCTCTGTATGCTTGTTGATCTCATCCTCCTACTTTTTCTTGAAGTCCTCAAGCTGCCCCTGCGTATCACCAAGCTCCACCTCCAGCTTCAGCTTCTCTGACCCAGAGTGTCCAGCTGCCACCAAAGGGTGTTGATGTGGCTCTCGAACATCTCATCCATGTTGCTCCCAGCCATCTTCTGCTGCTGCAGGAGGCTCCACTTGGTCTCAAGTGCCTTGTTCTGCTGCTCCAGGAACCACAACTTGTTGATGAAGGAGGCAAACTTCTTGTCAAGGGTCTTGATCTGCTCCTTCTCCTGGTTACACACGGCCTGGATGTTGGGGTCCACTTCCAGCTTAAAAGAGCTTAGCAGGCTCTGGTTTACCATAATGGCTGTGATGCCCCCCCATACCACTGGCCTCAGCATAGCCTCCACTCAGACCTATGCTGGCACTTAGGCCACCCAGGAAGCTGCTGCTGTTGCCCACCAGGAGAAGCTCAAGGAGCTGATGCAGGCACCAGGCCTGCTCGTGGAGGAGCAGCTGCTGAAGGCCAAGGGGCCAGAGGTGGACACCTTGTAGGACTTCTGGGTCACCCTGATGGACACAGTGGAGGCAGGAGTGGCCAAACCAGACAGAGATTTGAGGAGGATCAGAGAAGCTACTTCTAGATTATAATTTACTTTTGATTAACACGTCATAATAATTGGATAGTTCAATAGCAATTAGATTAAACATGTCTTAATTCCTAGAAAGCAAAATGAATTTACCATTAAATTATTTTTTTTTTCCTTCCACTAGAAGAGGAAGGAAGATGGTGGAAAAGATTGATTAGAAAGGTAGGTCAGAGACTGTCAAGAAGCTGCTGACTAAACACCTACAAGGTAGTCAGAAAACTCTTACTCTGAAATCTGTAGAAACAACACCTTCAAGAGGATACAAGGACTTTTAATGTCTTTCAAGTCCTAGAATGATGTTTTAACTTTGGTAGGTCCAGACCTTTGAGCAAAGGACGCAGAGTAAGACACTTTCTAAACTCTCTTGATTGGACCACTATTCGTTTAAAATCTGGCTTTAACAAAACTTAAGGGTTAGTGAGAAAGATACCAAACTGTATTTTTGAGTACTATATTTTAAACTTGCCTTTATTTTAAACTTTGTGCATCAGCATTACATGGAGTGTTTGGTTTCCCTACGAATAATGATTGGAAACCCATGCTAATCTCTTAACTGGTTAACTACACTTGTGGTTCAAGACTAACCACTTAAACCACCTGGAGACATCATTAAATGTAAATATTGAATCTGCAAACCCAACTCTATGAAGTCATGTCTTTTTGCTGAATATGAATCTTTTAAAGGCCACAGAAGAAAACCTTGCTCAAGACTACCTGTTCCTCTGTTAGTCAGAGTCATTATCACTAAGTTCTTAGAACCAGCAAGTTTTAGAACCATTGTCAGTTTCTTTTGCTGTTGTTGAAAGCAACATTTATTAAATAGCTACATGGTCACAAGGTTTGATATCCATTCTGTCATTTGATTGTATTTCTGCAACTCTGAGTACTCCTGTTTTGGCACATTACTGCTAGCTTTGTGAAATGTCAGGTCTTGTTTTCTGAAACTACCATAGGTGGAGATCCAGGCTCTCCTGCCTTGTTAGATCCCTGAATACTGCCCAAACTGGAGCTGTTTACCTTTGACTTTCCTGTGGGCCTCTTGGATTTGTTCTGTTCTGGCGTCTAGCAATCAGATATTTTCTACTTAGGATGTTGTCCTTTCAGCCTCACTGCTGAATGAGAAGCAATTTCAGAGCTGCCATTCCATACATCTAACTTCTCTCCAGTCCTAAAACAAGTGCCCTCAGAATTTTTGTACTAGAAATTATAGGGTAAGAGATTAGATAAAAATAAGCCAAAAGAATATTTGAAGTCACATTTTTATATAAAACTGATAACCTTTGAAATATTAATGTTGAATTAAAAAGCATCCTCAGAGAGGCTGGGCGTGGTGGTTCACACCTGTAATCCTAGCATTTGGGAGGCCAAGGCAGGTGGATCACCTGAGGTCAGGAGTTCGAGACAAGCCTGGCCAACATTGTGGAACCCCATCTCTACTAAAAATACAAAAATTAGCCAGGCGTGGTGGCACGCACCTGTAATCCCAGCTACTCGGGAGGCTGAGGCAGGAGAATCACTTGAACCCGCGAGACGGAGGTTGCAGTGAGCTGAGATCGCACCGCTGCACTCCAAACTGGGCGACAGAGCAAGACTCCATTAAAAAAAAAAAAGAAAAAAAGAAAAAAAAAAGCTTAGAGGTTATGTAGTTATATTTAGAAACAGGCCTACAAAGACTAAGGTGATGGCCCAGGAGCTGAGAACAGAGCCCAGTGTTTTTAACGTTAGTCCATGTTGTTGTGGAGCTATCGTCTTTCTTTTATTGCTCCCTTGATTTAGGAGTTAGCCACAACTAACCCCTCTGTCTCTTTTATCTCCCTATGTTTCTGGTATTGGATCATATGATTCTTCAGAACCATGCCTACACAGTTGTCCCCCTTTCCCAGTATTGAACTTGGAGATAGGAGGCAGTGGGTAAGTCTGGTGGGTGAACTGGCTTGGAAAAAGTGCTCAAGTGACTTCTTTCTGAGAGGAAACTTGAGACTAGTCTTTTCTACATCATCTTACTTAATGGGGCTAATAATTAATGTAGTCCGCATGAATAGTTCCCAACCAAATGTTTTTCAAAGCCAATCAGGTTGGTCTTAATATCTAAAGATGTCATCCAGATGTGTAAAAATAATGCATGTATAATAGTTAAGGAACATAAAATACCACAATCGTAAATTGTGTAGTGAAAATGTTCAAAAGATGTCTTTGTACAATTGTGAGTTTTATAGCTGAGTAAACTTGTTTCCAATATTGGAAATTGTATACCAGTCATATTTCTACTGTGATAATTTTTTTTTTTTTTTGAGACGGAGTCTCGTTCTGTCACCCAGGCTGGAATGCAGTGGTGCAGTCTCGGCTCACTGCAACCTCCACCTCCCAGGTTCAAGCGATTCTCCTGCCTCAGCCTCCCAAGTAGCTGGGATCACAGGCGCATGCCACTTCACCCAGCTAATGTTTGTATTTTTAGCTGAGATGGGTTTTCACCATGTTAGCCAGGCTGATCTTGAACTCCTGACCTCAGGTCATCATCCACCCACCTCAGCCTCCCAAAGTGCTGGGACTACAGGTGTGAGCCACCACACCCAGCCTCTACTGTGATAATGTTACATAACAAACAGCCTCTAAAATTTAGTGGCTTACATCAACAGATATTCTTTGTCTATGAGTCATTTAGGGTGACTCCATTTCAGGCTATATAATTGGGTTCAGATCTACTCCTCATGTCCCTCATTCTACATATGCTTTTCTCATGGTAGATGATAGAAACATAGGAGATGAAATCAAAGCACACACATTCTCCATGACCAAAACCAGAAGCAAGGCAGGGATATGCACCACCTATTCTACTGGGAGGCATTACAAAGTCACGTGACAAAGGGTATGGATAAATCTCTTACAGGCAGGGAGTGAAGAAATGGGAAAAGTAATGTACTACAGCAGTATTTCAACCCTGTCAATTCATCACTGAATTCACCATCCTCTGTGATTTCTAGGTGAGCAGATAGTTTTGGTTTTTGCAGCTGGCCCTTCCCTTTCACTGTTTTCTTTCTTTTCTCTGACAAGTGACTTCACGATGTCATTATTACTTACTGTGTAGGACCTCAGTAAACACATCATAGTCAAGCCACTAGCTAATAAACTAGGGCTTGACTTTTCATGAACTTGTTTTCCCAAGAACTTTGATTTACTAGTTAGCTAACTGTATTGAAAAAGCTTCATTGAAAAATTGTTCCTGCTTAGCACAGCTTAATCTGTATTCTTGGGTTCCCAGTGCCAATTTTTTTCTTTCTTCCAATTTTTATGTTAGGTTCAAGCGAGTACATGTTCAGGTTTGTTACATGGGTAAATTGTATGTTCCTGGGGTTTGGATATACAAATTATTTTGTCAGTCAGCTAGTAAGCATGTACCTGTTAGGCCATCTTTCAACCCTCACCCTCGTCCCACCCTCCACCCTCAAGTAGACCCCATTGTCTTTCTTGCCTTCTTTGTGTCCCTGTGTACTCAATGTTACTCAGTGTTTAGCTCCTACTTAGAAGTGAGAACATGCAGTTTTTGGTTTTCTGTTTCTGCTTTAATTCACTTAGGATAATGGCTTCCAGCTGCATCCATGTTGCTGCAAAGGATAGTATTTCCTCCTTTTTATGGCTGTGTAGTACTCCATCATGTGTATGTATTATGTTGTCTTTATTCAGACCACCATTTATGGGCGTCTAGGTTGATTCCACACTTCTGCTATTGTGATTAGTGTGTAATGAATATACACATGCATATGTCTTTCTGGTAGAATGATTTACATTCCTTTGGGCATATACCCAGTCATGGGATTGCTGGGCTGAACAGCAATTCTGTTTTATCTTCTTTGAGAAATCTCCAAACTGCTTCCCACCGCAGCTGAACTAGTTTTTATTCCCACCAGCAGTATATAAGCATTCCCATTTCTCCACAGCCTTGCCAGCATCTCTTCTTTATGGACTTTCTAATAACAACCACTCTGACTGTTGTGAGATGGTCTCTCATTGTGGTTTTGATTTGCATTTCTCTAAGGATTAGTGATGTTGAGCACATTTCTGAATGAACCATCCAGCTTGGCTTCATTGTTTTTTTATTGTTTCACCTGAAGAACTTAAAGAAAGAAGTAAAAGAGATATATTTGCCCTTTGATTTATGAATGAATGATGATGTCTTAGATCTCAAATATTTGCTAAAAATGTAGATACCTTTAGAGTACTTCTATACAGAAACCAAAATATTAAAATTAACAAATCTGCTTCCTTCATTAGTATCTCATTCTCCAAGTTTGACATTTGAATCCTAATTCCTAAAAATTGAATGTTTTGGTAAATCATAGTCTGTTCTTTAGACTACATTTCTTTCCTTCTTAAGAAATAATTGCATATCAATATAGCTATCTGGATGTATTTATCTGTGTAAAGAATGTGTTAGAAGTGTAACCAGATTGCATTTATAAATATTATTATAACACTACCATAAATAGAGTAAATAGCACACAATATCAGTAGTTCAGCTTAGAGTGACTCATTTGTCAGTCCAGTCATAGTCATCACTTAGAAATAATTCACAACAGACTTTGAGGTCCTGGAGCGATGATAAAAATAGGTGGGATGAAAGTACCTATTTGGGGAATTGTCTGGAATGTTTAATACCATCCAGATGACATCATCATAACCTGGTAGTATTAAATGTGACTCTGGCACTTTCCCAGGCTATTCAGTTTTTGTTTTTGTTTTTAATTATTGCCTAAAAAAACAGCTCTGGGACAGTTAATGAAATGTTACTACATATATTGAAATCAGTAAGAAAACCCAGCTATTGTTCTGGAATTATATTAAGAGAGTTCTGATGTTTCAGACAGTATCTCATCTTGTCTGTAAGCCAGTATTGCCTCATGACATCTCTTCTATTATTGTCTTGAAGTACTGATTAAAGTTGTTTTTTGTTTTTTGTTTTTTTTGGAGATGGAGTCTTACTCTGCCACCCAGGCTGGAGTGCAGTGGCATGGTCTCAGCTCACTGCAACCTCCGCCTCCCAGGTTCATGCGATTCTCCTACTTCTGCCTCCTGAGTAGCTGAGATTACAGGCGTGTGCCACAATGCCCAGCTAAAATTTTTTTTTTTTTTTTTTTTTTGGTATTTTTGGTAGAGACAGGGTTTCGCCAGGCTAGTCTCGAACCCCTGACCTCCAGTGTTCTGCCCACCTCAGCCTCCCAAAGTGCTGGGATTACAGGCTTGAGCCACCACGCCCAGCCTAAAGTTTTTATTATTTAATCTTCTTATATGTACTTGTTTGCATTGGGGACTGAATTTTATTTCCTTGTGGTTCCCACATTAGCATTTAGGACCATTGTCATAGAGGTGCTTAAATTTTTTGTTTTAATTTCTGCTTAATGGGACTGTACAGATTATTAACCTGAGTTTACAGTTTCACATTATTTTTCAGTGCTTTTTACAAATGTAAATTAGATCAAGTCTCTCATCTACTTAAAGTCCTTAAGTGGCTATCAATATTTTAAGATACAGACCCCCTTGTTAGGCCTAGAAATCCTCGCTTAGTTTGACTTTGACTTCTTCAGTTTCATCGTACGCCTTCCTCCTTCCCTGTTCTTTATGTGTTAGCCTCATTGGTCTCCTTTCAGTTTTGTGAACGTGCTGCACCTTTTTTTAGAATGCTTTTCTCCCAGTTGAAATAGTATCTTCAAAAAGAAGCCTTTCATGATCACCCTGTCTACAGTGGCCTCACCCAGATACTTTCCAGTTGATCATCCCTGTACCTCTAACATTTATTGCCCCCTGAAATTGTAATGTTTGTCTCCTTATTCATTGTCTTTTTCTCCACTCAAATAGAAGTTTCATGAGGCCAAAGTGCCAAGCATCGTGAGAGACACAAATAAGTCACTCAAATATTTGTCAAATGGAGTTTATTCTTCAAACTCAAGTAGTGTAACTTTCTTTCTTAATTTGATTCCATGAGGGAGAAAGCACTGTGCTTTGAGATTGACCTGAAAAAAAGTCAGGACAGTTGAGGGCCGTGAGTTCTGTGCTACTGTGCTCATCACTCTTATGTAACTGATTTTATTCTCATTGACTGAGATATTTAGGGTGCTTTTTAAGATCTTTACATATGTATGAAAACTGGCAAAAAAAATTATGATTTTCTGTACATGTTTATCAGCCTTGATTTGCCCTATTAAATATTTCACAGTTAGAATTATAAATTTCTTGCTAATGTACATTTTATGTTGTAAGTACTAGGCTCTTATTTGATGCTGCAGACAGCATGATATTCTTACGTGACAGGAAAAAAAAATTGCTATGTGTGGGCAGAAGCCAGTAGGATAGATGTGGAATAAAACCCCCTTTAAGGGTTCTTTGCCATGAAGTGCCAGTTCATGTGCAGAGCAATTTAAGGTATGACTCTCCCAGCAAAAACAAAATTTGGGGTTTTTTACTGACAAATCAGAGTAACCCAAGGCCTGAATAACTTGCCCAACATGACACAGCAGTGAAGAATAGAGCCTCAGTTCAAAATCAGGCTTGTCTGACTCTAGAATTTATTTCCTACTACATTTTGAAATCTTCCTAAGTAGAAAGAAATCTAGAAATGTATTTTACTTACATGTTTTATTAAAGATGTGGAAAATGTTTGAAGTCATCTGTTTGATATCTGTTACTGTCATCATATATTACAATCTAGTAGCTTCTGTGTGGGAATTATAAATAATTTTAGGAAAGTTTGACTATATTTGCCTTTAATTAAACCAGAAACTTGAACATATAGTCATGAAAGTCAATTGTAAATAACCTTGAAAACTTTCAACTATGTAACTAAAAATTCTCAGAAGACCATGGTTTGCTTCAGTAGTTGCACATAGCTTGAAGAACTGATTCAGAATCTAACAGATGCGAACAGCCTAATGTAGGGAAATTGCTGAAAGCACAATTAAATTGCCAGAGTATACACAAGCAACAATTTCCTTAATTTTTGTCGAACACACAATTTGAAATGATTATGTGCTTACAAAAACAAACAGAGAAAAGCAAAGTGTTTTACAATCTGTAGTTTTATATTCATAAATATATCTCAAGGTTAAAAGTTTAATATTATAAATAGTATTATAACCTAATATTTAAAATTAGGGTAACCCACGTTATCCTAATTAATACAGAATCAGACACCTAATCCATTTTCTGCTAGTGTTCACATGTCGGGTGGTACATATATCAGTGTGCTAAAAACAGTTCAAATTATTTCATCTAATGGGACTTCCTTTCTCAGTAATATTCCAAGATTGATTGGCAAGAACCAGCACAAGCTGAGCTGTCAAGATTGAAGTCTTGATCTACAATAAAAAGGGTTTTTTTTGGCTGGGCACGGTGGCTCACGCCTATAATCCCAGCACTTTGGGAGGCCGAGGTGGGCGGATCACAAGGTCAGGAGTTCAAGACCAGCCTGGCCAACATGGTGAAACCCCATCTCTACTAAAAATAAAAAATTAGCTGGGCATGGTAGCAGGCACCTGTAATCCCAGCTACTTGGGAGGCTGAGGTAGGAGAATCATTTGAACCCGGGAGGCGGAGGTTGCAGTGAGCCGAGATCACACCATTGCACTCCAGCCTGGGTGACAGGGCGAGACTCCATCTCAAAAAAAAAAAGCAGTGGGGGGCGTTTCATAGTAACATTTTTGTACTGATCAGAAGAAAAAACTGTTAGAGGAAAAGATGAGTATAGATTTAGATGTGAGGATTGAAAATAATAGCTCTTCAAAATATTTTAAAGAGAGCAAATTAGCCAGTTTTGATTACCTTATTGGAGCTTCATCATTCATGGTGGTCATATTCCTGAAAACACTGTTTCTCTTCAAATTTATAACTAGAATTGTGAAGTCTGCAGATTTGTGGGTTAGGACCTCTTGCCAGGATTTAATTGAGTTTTTTTTTAAAAAAGATTCTTTAAGCATAAAATATTAAATTGGCATCAACCTTTTTACTTTACTCCAAAATTACAAACCGATGAAATTACAAATTAAATCCTTTTAACATAATATTAAATATTTAATTCCATAAATTATTAATCTTTTGTGCTGTTATTCAGCTCCATCTTTGAGGAATGCTAGTAATTTCTGACTGAAGAACATGAGGCTTAAAGATAGTCATGCAAAGATTCTCACACCCCTGAGACATGAGGGAACTCAGCTGTCTGGGTTTCCTCCACTTCTTTGATAAGATGCTGGGAAGGCTGCCTCTTATCCCTGGGGGAAGAGAAGGGATACCACTAAGCAGTGACGACGATGATGATAGCAACTAACATTTATTGAGCATTTATTATGTATCAGGCACTATGCTATGAAATGTACTTATCTATAAGTGCAGACTGAAAGCATTGATTAATTATACTATATACATAACTTTAATCTGTATAATTTGAAATCTGCTTGTTGGGGCATCAGCCTTCAGGGTTGATAGAAGATGACTCTTGAATTTTTGAGGTTGACTGACTGTAAGATGATAGTTATAGTGACTTAGAAGGTGGTAATGAAGTTTATAAAAAGAAAGATGAGCTCTGTCTTGATAACATTGCAGTGGCAGAAAGAAAATCTGTATAAGTATATAATTAGGTAGCTGTTGAAATGTCAAATATCATTGGCAAATTTGGAGATTATTCTTACAAAAATTCTAAGGAATGAATGAAATCTCCCAGGGCAGAGTTTCTTAACCTGGTATTAAACCTAAGATTTTATAGACCTCCTTGAAATTATATACTAAATTGTATATGTGCATGTGTATCTATGTATCATTTTTATTAGACTTTCAGTAGGGTCTGTGAGCAGAAGGCCCAAGGCCAGACTGTTAAGGTATCTCTTGACTGGGGTAATGAAAGGCACCCTGAGACAGGCACTAAATGAGAAGATTATGAAAAAGAACCAACATCATTCAGCTAAGAATAAAGCAGATCAAAGGTTAGCCACATGAAGGTGATAGTTTATTTTTTTTAGAAATGATATTTCAATATGTTGCCTATGCTGGTCTCAGACTCCTTTGTAGTCATTTATTATGGTGCTTGAATCATGAAAGAAAGAAAAAAGAAAGCTGGGAAATAAACACACAATCTTAATGGTCATCATTGGAAGTGGCTAGCATGCCAACTCCTTACTTTGAAAATTGGTACTTAAAGAGGAAGAATTAAGCATTCATTCTTCCAACCTATTGAAGTTTTTTTCAGAATAATAACTCTAGTTGACAAGAAAAAATACTTCTCTACAGAAGAATTTCACCTAATAAATGTGGCAGGAATCAATTAAAAAATCACAATTTTGCAACCCCTAATGAAATCATTGATTCATGTAACAGCCACTAATGAATACTAAAACTGTTAGTGCTGTGGTTCTCAAAGTCAGGCCCCTGTTCCAGCATCTTAAATATCACTTGGATACTTCTTTAAGAAATATGAAAACTCAGGCTCTTTCCAAAACCAACTATGTCAGAAACTCTAAGGGTAAGTCCCAGTAAGCCGTGTGTTAACAAGCCCTCTGAGGGTTCTGACAATCACTGGAGTTTGAGAACCATGATATTAGGAGAAAGATTGCTAAGAATCTTTAATTGAAGGATCAGGCTGTCACTCCCAGTACTTACTGACCAATCTTAGCACTCCTAAAAGAAGAATCAGATGTTATATTCCTCCTAGTAGAGGCACCTGTGATGTATTATTGCCACTCCCAAAAGATATTAAGCCTGAATCTATTCAGTCCTTTATAGAAACTATAGGAGATGGAAGAATAAGTTAAACAGTAATGTGAGGAAGCAAAGGACAAATCCAGAATATAGGATGACCGACCCAGTTTCTTCATGACAGTGGCATAGGAAAAAGGGGGAGGGTGAGAGTAAGGGTACTGTTCCAGCGTAAAAGGGCTCCAGAAACAAAATAAACAAATATAAAATGTTCATCTTGGTTTGTATCCTGATTCAAACAAGCCAACTATGGAGATTTGAATTCAGATTGGGTATTAGATGATAATAAGGAATTGTTAATTATGTTAGGTTTGATAATGATATTGCACTTATGTAAGAAAATGTCATTTTTTAAGAGATACATAGAAAAGTATTTAGAGTGAAACAAATTGATGTCAAAAATTGCTTTATGTTACATGAGGAAAAAAAGGATAAATGAAACAAGTATGACAAAATGTTGATAACTCGAATTTAGGTGATTCATTATACTATTTAATATGATTTTATGTATGTACAAAACTTTCATAATAGAAAATTTTTAAAGATACCTGTGAAACAATGTATTTATTAGGACATTTCTACCTATGCTAACCTTCATCACAGTGTATTGTAATTGCCTGTTTACCTTGCCTGTGCTAGTATTTCTCAGACTATCAAACTGTCAATATTGAGTTTAAATTAGCCAGTCTGTTGCAGACCATGATTTTTGTAAAATGGCAGTAAAAAATAATGACCAGAAAAGCAAAACTGGAGGGGGTGTTGACATACAAAATATAACCTTAAAAGTTTTCATTATTAAAGTTAACAAACATAAAATTATATTTCACTTAACAATTAGAACCAAAATAAACATAGGAAACAAGAATTTTCTAAAAACTGTATTTATTCATCAAAAATACATAAGCAGATATGAGAGCTATCTGGCTGTGACATCTGTCACCCCACTGATCGCCAGGGTTGATTTGGCTGATCTGGCTGGCTAGATGGCTGTCCCCTTCCTCCCTCACCCCTCCATGTGTGTCCCTCCCAAAACTGCATGCTCGTTCGAAGAGGACAACCATCCCCAATAGAGGAGGACCAGTCTTTGGTCGAGGGTATATGAGTAGCTGCACTCCTCTGCCAGAATCTCCAAACAAGCTCTCAAGAATACACACATAAGCAGTTAGTATAGACAGTTGCTATTACATTCATAAGTTTGTTCTGTAAATAAGGTTTTTATTTTTTATTTTTATTATTTATTTAATTTATTTATTTATTTATTTTTGAGACAGAGTCTTGCTCCGTCTCCCAGGCTGGCATGCAGTGGCGTGATCTCGGCTCACTGCAACCTCCACCTCCCAGGTTCAAGCGATTCTCCTGCCTCAGCCTCCTGAGTAGCTGGGATAACAGGTGGCCGCCACCATGCCTGACTAATTTTTGTATAGTTAGTTGAGATGGGGTTTCGCCAGGTTGGCCAGGCTGGTTTCGAACTCCTGACCTCAGGTGATCCGCCCGCCTCAGCCTCCCAAAGTGCTGGGATTACAAGTGTGAGCTGCCACACCAGCCCATCAATAAGGTTTTTAATGTGAAACATAAATGTGCTTTTTGTATGTTAACTTCAAGACCATGTGCGTTAACTTGAGCTTGGATTGTGTTCCTTGAAGGGGTTGATGTATGCCTAAACAAATTTTATTTGCAGCCACATGTTTCTGGCTCACTTACTTCTATTACTGATTTCTCAGCAGATGTTACAGTTTTCAAGGATGCCTACACTGCAGAAATCATAAAGCATGGGGAAGATAATAGATACACTGGAATGCCTGCCGAGATTTTCACCTGAAGAGTGAAAGTGCCACTTCTCTAAATAGTTTGTCTCTGGAATTTAGACCATTTTTCTCACACTGTGTGTGAGATTACATTTACTGATAGGTGATGATTCTGTCTTTACATGGTAACTTTAGATTCAGATATACAATGCCTTTGTTTTTCAGACAGTGCCTTCCTGCTGCCACGTTTCAAACTTTTTCTTTCCCCTTGCCTGTGGTACTCCCAATTTGGACTGATAGCTTCAAAAAACAATAACTATAGATTCCATTGTGCTTCCTAGGACTCATTTTGTAGTCAGTAGTTTGGGGTCTCTTTCTATATATGTAAACTTCCACTCATTCACATTAAATCTGTTAGATTTCTCTGTGTTGCCAAAAATCTCAAAAATCTTTCCCACTAACCTCCATTGACTCAGCACTTTCTTCAGGGAAAAAAAAAAGTTGTCTATTTGGACAAGTCAGTCATTTGTCCATGAAAAAATGGTCTCATTTAGCGGTACAGCTTAAATAGCATTTTGTGTGGAATCTTAGGAGAGATATTATTAACTACTCAAAAGATATTCTCTTATAGAAAGCATATTGGCATTCCCCTCAGTAGGTTATATTTGCCCAAAGGTCCGTATTTATAGTGGACTTCCCAGCTCATCCAGTGTAGAAGTGAGCCTCTGGTTCGCTCTTATGCAGAGAAGGCACATTGTCTACTTGCCAGTTCTTAAACATAATCTGTCTCTGTTGGCAGTTTGGACATTTTGACTAAAAATTATGCATACTTGTTCTTAAGTGATCTGTTCTCCCTTAGAATTATGGATAGCTACTATGCAGGTTCTGCAAAGGCAAGAGGAAGATGTAATGAGCTGACCATCTCAGTTTCTGATGCCAACCCATAAAAAAGAATAAAATGCCCACTTACATTTAAAGCCTGTAATATTTAGAATATGGCTAATAGCTAAGTACTAAGAATTATACATGGGATGCTTTGTGCTTATGCTTAGTGCTAAGCATTGCAGAGTACAAAAGAGAATAATATGGTTCCTGTCTTCAGGAAGCTTAAATGAAGTTGTCTTTAATACTTCAAAACACTATGTGTTAGAGCCGCAGTCCCCAACCTTTTAAATGGCACCAGTGACCAAATAAGTGGAGGACAATTTTTCCCAGGTTGGGGAGGATGATTTGGGGATGAAACTGTTCCACCTCAGATCATCAGGCATTAGTTAGATTCTCAAAAGGAGCATTCAACTTAGATCCCTCACATGTGCAGTTCACAATAGGGTTCACATTCCTATGGCAGGGGGCCGGGTTCCTAACAGGCCATGGACCAGTGCTGGTCCGTGACCCAGGGGTTGAGGACCCCTCTTTTAAAGTAAGGGCTATGTGTATACACATGTGTGTGTACCTTGGGATATTTGTGATACACATGCAGATTATTACATACAGTGTGAGGCAGTGTATGATAAGTGACAAGGTGTTGAGAGAACAGGTTATTTCTGTTTGAAGTGAAGAGGGACTTAAGGTCAAGGTGGCATTTAATTAGAGTTTCGAAAGGATGGTTAGGGTCTGGTGTGATGGCTCACACCTGTAATCCCAGCACTTTGGGAGGCCAAGGCAGGAGGATTGCTTGAGTCCAGGAGTTTGAGCCCAGCCTGAACAACAGAGTGAGACCTCATCTCTACAAAAAATAAAATATTAATAATTAGCCAGATGTGGTGACATGCATCTGTAGTCCCAGCTGCTCAGGAGGCTGAGGTGGAAGGATTGATTGAATCCAGGAGGTTGAGGTTGAGGTGAGCTATAATTGCACACTGTACTGCACCCTGGGCAACAAAAGAGTGAGGCCCTGACTAAAAAATAAATAAACAAATAAAATAAAAGGATGGTTAGGATTTCAACAGGAGTCTAGTAAAGATGCTTAATATAATAAAAAAATTATGTCAAATATTACAGCCCCAGATTGACTGTTCAGTCACCAGTTGTACAAATTCAGCCAGATTACTTAATCCCTCTGATTGTCAGCTTTCTCATCTATAAAATGGGAATTGAGTAATAGTTATCATAGAAGGTTTTAGGAAGATGAAATGAGACACTGTGATATGAACATGCTTTGTAAAGTATAAAGTATTGTATAAATGTTAGTAAATTTTATAGTAAGTAGGCCAGGCATGGTGGCTCACACCTGTAATCCCAGCACTTTGGGAGGCCAAGGCGGGCAGATCACCTGAGGTCAGGAGTTTGACACCAGCCCGGGCAACATGGTGAAACCTCGTCTCTACTACAAATACAAAATTTAGCCAGGCGTGGTGGTGTGCACCTGTAGTCCCAGTTATTCGGGAGGCTGAGGCATGAGAATTGCTTGAACCTGGGGAGCAGAGGTTGCAGTGAGCCAAGATTACACCACTGCACTCCAGCCTAGGCGACAGACAAGACTCTGTCTCGAAAAACTAAAGAAAAAAATACATAGTAAATATTGAGAAGGACATGAGCCAAAGGCAGGGAATTTAAAAACCAGTAAGCTAGTAAACACTAGAGCAGAAAATGTGTGCAGGTGACTGGGAATATTGAGTCACTCATACAGTTCCCTAGTTAGGACAATTATGTTAAATTTAAAAGTCTTTCAAGATTTGTGTTGATCAAAAGATAATTTCAGAGGACTTTCAGGTCTTTGGGTGAAATGTTAATGAGTGGTAATGTTTAGTTTTATTGAATTGATGTACATAGTCACATAGAATTAATTTTTAGGTAAGCTTCTTTATTAAAGATTATAACATTGCATAAAGATAGTATATCTTGCAAAATATATTTGTCTTACAGTTGAGAGAATATGGTTGTCATGACAATGTTTGGTTTAGAGCACAAGTCTGCATGTTCTTGGGTAGACGAGAATTCTTTCGAACAGCACAGGGTGTGAATTATTTAAGCTACTTCCAGTTATCACCATATCTCATGTTACAGGTGGTTTGTATAATAATTGCATGAAAACAGTGTTTCAGAAAAGATGTCTTTCTGTGTGACAAGATGTCAGAGAATTCATTTATTTCCTCTGTTTTACATAAATTTTATTTTTTTAAAGTGTGAAATAATAAGCTTTTCAACAAATAGAGAGAGTACCTAGACATTAAAAAAATCATGTTGAGTTGTACTGTGAATATTATGCTGCTTGCTGCTGACTGGTCTTGGGCTGTCACCATTTATTTGGACTCCAGTGAAATATGATTAGAAATATTTCTTCAGGCTGGGCACGGTGGCTCACACCTGTAATCCCAGTACTTTGGGAGGCTGAGGCAGGAGGATCACGAGGTCAGGAGTTCGAGACCAGCCTGGCCAACGTGATGAAACCCCATCTATACTAAAAATACAAAAATTAGCTGGGCATGGTGGCAGGTACCTGCAATCCCAGCTACTCGGGAGGCTGAGGCAGAAGAATCATTTGAACCTGGGAGGTGGAGGTTACAGTGAGCTGAGATCACGCCACTACACTCCAGCCTGGGCAACAGAGCAAGACTCCATCTCAAAAAAAAAAAAAGAAAAAGAAATACTTCTTCAAAGTCAAGAAACTTGGAAAACACCATATTACTTTATCACTAATTATTGTTTTTTTTAAAAAAAAAAACTTTTTTTTTTGAGATAGAGTCTCACTCTCGTCCAGGCTGGAGGGCAGTGGTGCGATCTCGGCTCACTGCAAGCTCCACCTCCTGGGTTCACACCATTCTCCTGCCTCAGCCTCTCCAGTAGCTAGGACTACAGGCACCCGCCACCATGCCTGGCTAATTTTTTGTATTTTTAGTAGAGACGGGGTTTCACCGTGTTAGCCAGGATGGTCTCGATCTCCTGACCTCGTGATCTGCCCACCTCAGCCTCCCAAAGTGCTGGGACTACAGGCATGAGCCACTGCTCCTGGCCAGAAAAAAAACTTTTTGAGGAAAAAAATTTCCTGACTACTAATAGTGGAGTTATTTTATTTTGGTGACTAATTCTTAATCCTCTCTTCATTTACAGACTATCTTGCTAATCATGGCCGGTTAAATGAGTCTGAAGCCAGGCGAAAATTCTGGCAAATCCTGTCTGCTGTTGATTATTGTCATGGTCGGAAGATTGTGCACCGTGACCTCAAAGCTGAAAATCTCCTGCTGGATAACAACATGAATATCAAAATAGCAGGTAACTGGGACACAACTGGCTCTAATAAGATCCGAAGTGAGCCACTGCACTCAGTGTGTGGAAACAGACCTGCAGGCGCAGATTCAGCAGCATTTCTACCTGATGACATCAGGCTATCTCAAAGTCCATTTTATTCATTTCCTTAGTTCTGTGTGTAATTAAAAGTAAGGGAATGAGTTCATTATTAATATACACAGGTCAGAGCTACATCTGGGGTCTGATGTGTCCAGATTCCATTGGCAGGGTTTCGGGGTGCTCTGCTGGAAGAGGTACATTTATCTGAGTGTCAGAGTGACTGGAGAAAAGACAGGGCTGGAGGAGTAATGCTGGTTGCTGGTACTCTGGCCTGCTCTCCTAATTATGACTGATGGCTACAGCCAGAAGCAGAGAAAAGGCAAAAGAAGTGATGGAGGTAGAATGAGAAATAGTTGAGACAGAAAAGCACCTTTCCTTGATCTGATACGATAGGGTTTTGATTTATAACATGAAAATTAAGTTGGGTAGAGATTAGTTTGCCTGTTTTTCTCCTTGCCTTTTCACAGTTGTAAAATGTTTTATTTTATATTCTCAGTCTCTTTATTTACATAGTCAAAACTCTCATTCACTCAATAAATATGTATCAGGTACTGTGCTATGTTAAGTACAATATGATATGTGGAAATCATTTCACAACATATCCATATATAAAAATAGCATGTACACCTTGAATATACACAATTTTTGTCAATTACATTTTAATAAAACTGAAAAAATACAGTATGATAGTTGCAATTTTAAAAGTATATACAAACTGCATGGGAGTATAGGTGAGGGAACAAGCAGTCTACCTGAAGAGTCAGGGAAGCTTCACAAAGAAGGAATTATTTGAACTTAGACTTGAGAGAGAAGTTAGAGAAGCTTGTCAGGAAGATAAACAGAAGCAGAATGTTGCAGGCAGGTAGACAGAGATTGGAATGTTGGGGAACTGTAAATTCAAAACTGGTTACATGTAAAATCTGTAGGCATGCAGGATTGATACAGGGGGAGCAGATAAGTAAAGACCAGAATATGAAACATCTTGAATGCCATGTCAAAGATTTTATAGTTTATTCTGTAGGTAATGGGGAGTCTAGCCTACTGAAAATTATAGGGCATGGGTAGGGGTAAAGTGGAATTGGGATAACATGATTAGATTTGCATGTCAGAAATATGTCTCTGGCAGCAGAGTTAAGATAGGTGGGAGATGTGGGTGAGGTGGAAGACAGGAAGACTAATAAGGAATCTAGTGCAATAGTCCATTTAAGAAAACATGAGTCTGAACTAGAGCAGCAGCAGTAGAGGTTGAAGGTATGTAAGGGAGATTTTGTTTGACTTGGGTTTTGAAGAGAAAGAGTGTGGGTTAAAAGCTTAGCAAAGTTACACATGGTGGTGTTTTGTTCTAAGATTGTTAAAGAAGAGCAGGGAGACATCCAGATGACAGGGACTGACCAAGAAATTATTAATTGACCTGTTAGGTTGGATACTCATTGAACTTAGTAAGTTTAGGGACAAAGTAGCTTCCTCGGTTTGCTGTATATGGTGTAAAATATAAGGTAAAACCCTCATGTTTGTACATTGAACTGATTTGTTTCTGTGCCATTTCCCATTAGTTTTTGTCTTAGGCAATTAGGGGAAGGCAAATTATTTTTACTCATTTTAAATGTCAATATTACATATGTTACAGGATATGTAATGGATTTTCCATTCTATAGTCTGTGATTTTTTTTTTCTAATGGGATTGCCTGAATAAGACAAAATGTTTTTAAGTTAATTTGTTATATTCATTTGTGTGTGTGTGTATGTGTATATATATATATATATCACACATATACACGTATATATAAAGATTTATATCAATTTGTCATTTTTGTTGTGAAAATGTGATGCACAAAATTAGAATACTTTCATAGTTTATGTCTGTTCACTTCCATTTGTTTTTTTCCCTTCCTCTGCTTTTGGCCCTTCCATTTGGTGTCATTTATTTCACTCTTTTTTGCCAACCTTCTGTGAGGAACTTCACTGGGATATTTTGTTTAATGCTCCTTGAAAGCATCGGCTGCCCTAAAATTGTCTTTTTCAGAGAAGGTCTTTCTTTTTTTTTTTTTTTTTAAGTCCTTAGCTCTGTAGAAAGAAGGGGGAAAACTCCTGCTACACCTTTACATTCCCTTATTACCAAAACGAAATATTTACCAAAACAATAGCACAAAGGAGTTCTAGGAGTTGTTTTTTTTTCCAAGAGAACTATTTTATTTATTTTTTATTTTTTATTATTATTTTTTTACTTTAAGTTCTGGGATACATGTGCTGAATGTGCAGCTTTGTTACGTAGGTATACATGTGCCATGGTGGTTTGTTGCACCTATCAACTCGTCATCTAGGTTTTAAGCCCTGCATGGATTAGGTATTTGTCCTAAGGCTCTCCCTCCCCGCCTCCCCTCACCCCCAAAGAGGCCCCCATGTGTGATGTTCCCCTCCCTGTGTCCATGTATTCTCATTGTTCAACTCCCACTTATGAGTGAGAACATGTGGTGTTTGGTTTTCTATTCCTTTAGTTTGCTGAGGATGATGGTTTCCAGCTTCATCCATGTCCCTGCAAAGGACATGAACTCATTCTTTTTTTATGTCTGCGTAGTATTCCATTGTGTATATGTGCCACGTTTGCTGTATCCAGTCTATCATTGACAGGCATTTGGGTTGGTTCCAAGTCTTTGCTATTGTAAATAGTGCTACAAGAAACATACATGCACATGTGTTCTAGGAGTTTTTTTAGGCAGAGAAAGGTTATAGGTGTGTAAATCATATGCTGTAGGAATTACAAAGTGCTGTCACTAACATCTCAAAAGAAAATGTCAAAGTAAGACACCAAAGAAACTTGCAAACAAAAAACAGAATATTGCTTTGACGTTATAACCAAGTTTTGCCTGGCTATAGTATGTCTATTATAATTCTGGCATAAAATATACGTGGGTCAAATCAGTGTTTCTGATGTCATTGTGTGATATCTTAGGTTTTTGTTTTGTCTTTTTGGTTTTTATTTTTGCTTTTTAGTATCTAATCTTCAAGCCCTTCTAATTATATAGAAGTCAGATAAAAATTCAGATTGGTGAAGTTCTCTCTGGTGAAGACAGTGTGATGACTCACATTTAATTGGGCCCTCACTGTTTTCAGGTATTCTGCTAGATACTTACTTCATCTTCACAGCAATCTTGGGAGCCGCTTAGCTATTGCCAGTTACTAGATGAGAAAGCTGAGATGCAAAGAGATTAAAAAATTGGCCGAGCTGACACAGATAATAAGTAGCAGACCTGGAATTCAAACCTAGGTCTCTCTGACCACAGTATCTGTCCTTCTCCCACTACACCATTTTGTCATTTCCAAGCATTCTGTGTCACTTCTTCCTAAAGGGGTACTCACTAATTGAATTTTGGGGTCCATCATTCTATGGTTGTACATTTAGTGTCCCTGCTTCCATTCATTACAAGCAGACACACACACACATGTGTGCACAGAGTATATCTAAGCACTCAAATTTTCTTGCCCACACTTAATTCTCTATCATCTCCACTATCCTCAAAAATTTTAGTAAATGTTTATTAAGCTTCTACTCTGCTCTTGGACTAAGTCCTGGATATTCATACATTTCAAGACAAAAACAGCAGCAGTGACAAAAAGCTTAACTCTGCTCTTACCTCAAGGAGTTAATCAAATAAGAACCAGACCTTTAAGTTAATATAACACAAAAAGATCATTGTTTTCAGGGACATGAGGCTAGGAGAAAGACTAACTCTGTCTGGAAGAATCAGGGAAATTATTAGCTAACACTTGATTAACAAGAAGGTATTTGTGGCAGGATTGGGGATCGGGGAGACAGAGAAAGAAAGAGGGAGAGGCCAGGCTCGGTGGCTTATGCCTGTAATCCTAGCACTTTGGGAGGCCAAGACGGGCAGATTGCCTGAGCTCAGGAGTTCGAGACCAGCCTGGGCAACATGGTGAAACCTCGTCTCTACTAAAATACAGAAAATTAGCCAGGAATGGCAGCATGCGCCTGTAGTCCCAGCTACTCCGGAGGCTGAGGCAGGAGAATTGCTTGAACCCAGGAGGTGGAGGTTGCAGTGAGCTGAGATCCTGCCACTGCACTCCAGCCTAGGCAACAGAGCGAGACTCAGTCTCAAAAAAAAAAAAAAAAAAAAAAAAAAAAAAAAAAAAAACACAAAAAGGAGAGAGGGAGAGAGAGAGATAGAGATCGAGGCTGGGGTATCTGCCTCAAGCAGATGGATCCACACATGCAAAGGCTGAGAGGCCAGAGCGAATTGGAGTGGTAAGGAAACTGCAGGTATTAGCCAGTGAGAATGATAGGAAAAAAGCCAGGAGAGGCGGGCATGGGCCAGATCATTCACGTGCTATAAAGTGTTTAGATGGATTCCAATGTCTTTAAAGAATTTCTCTAGGATATTTATTTTTATCTGTAAATTTTATAACTTCTTGATGGCCCTGATTTTCTTTAAGGATCATCTTCTTATCTCTGAGAACTCTTAAATCTTAATGGAATCTAACACATGGGAAAAATAGGGCTCTGTGGGAAGAAATTACAAGAACCCTTACAAAGTTATTCCCTCAAATTATACTTTTTTCTGGGTTTTTTTTTTGGCTTATGAAAATCTCTTTAATTGCAAAATAAGCTGAATAAATGAACTGCTTTAGCCATCTTGTATATTGAAATTGAAGAGAAGCACAAAATTAAAATATTTTTGTGTTTATAAAACAAAATGGAATAGAAGTATCAAACATGGTTCATTTTAATAAATAACAGAAACATGGCTTTGAGATCAGTTTCCAGGTTTTGTTTTCCCCGTGGGTAAAAACTTGAGACAGGCCGGGCGCAGTGGCTCACGCCTGTAATCCCAGCACTTTGAGGGGCCAAGGTGGGCGGATCACGAGGGCAGGATTTCGAGACCATCCTGGCCAACATGGTGAAACCCCGTCTCTACTAAAAATACAAAAATTAGCTGGGCATGGTGGTGCATGCCTGTAATCCCAGCTACTCAGGAGGCTGAGGCAGGAGAGAATCGCTTGAACCAGGGAGTCAGAGGTTGCAGTGAGCCGAGATTGTGCCACTGCCCTCCAGCCTGGTGACAGAGGAGACTCCGTCTCAAAAAAAAAAAAAAAACTTGAGACACTAATGAGCCATGGATTCACCCACACCAGTGTGTACTCATTGCCTCAACCATGAGACCTGCAACCTTTGTAAAAAGTGAGTGTGAGGACATTCACAGTAGGAGGCTGAATGCAAATACTGGCTTTCAGTAGTTTTAGTAATTGCAGTACTATTTCCACCTGTTTTGGCCCTGGCTGTTCAGGCATTAAGTTGAGAATAAAATAGATGAGGAATATTTAGTTTTATTCTCCAACTTTCCCAATCTAAAATGTTTATAATAAATACTTAAATAAGGATAAAAATCTATGAATTAATCACACGTCAAACAGGGCTTCATGTAGAGTACTGAGTTGAGTAGCAGTGCTGGTGCAAATTCTGTCTGTGCCACTTAGTAGCTATAACCTTGGGCCGATTATTTACACTTTCTAGGCCTGAGTTTCCATATCTATTAAATACAAATCTGTTTTTCAGGAACAGATTATAGGGATTGGTGATAATATTGGAGACAGGGAGTCGATGTAGGGTAATAGGTCAGAGTATGGGCTGTGTAGTCAGGATACCTGAGTTTGAATCCTATCTCTGCCACTTACTAGCTTTGTGACCTTGACCACGTTTCCTGACTTCTCTCTTCTCAGTTTCCTTATCTGTAAAGGGAGAGTGATAAAAGTTCATATCTCATAGTGATTATTACTTGAGTTGATATTTGTAGGGTACTTAGAACAGTGCCCGGCACACAGTGCTAGTTAACTGTTTGTTAAATAAATTGTTAGATAAAGCTCCTGGCACCATGTAAACACTCAATACAAGGTAGCTATTATTTGTATTCAATGTATAATTGATTCCCTGTGAAAACAAAGCCTTAAAATTTTAATAGCCATATAACCCTCTCGGCATGTTTTTTTAATTAACTAAGGCTTTAAAGCCTTATTAATACAAACCTTTTAGGACCAAGGAAAGTTTTTCACATATTCTCAATTGTCTCTGGTTGATGCAACTTAATTTTTTGCTGAGAGAGACCTTAAATGTAATTAGTATTGTATAATTAGCCTGATTAATCTGACCTGTACATCACGAGTCACTTGTCTTTAGCCCAAGAGGAATGCTTCCTTTCTGATTTGAGGCAGTGGCCCATCATTGCTTCTAGCAACCTTCCTACTTACTAGATGACCTTGAGTCAAGGTTTCTGTATATATGATTTCAGATTTGTCCCCTAGAACTGAAAAAGGGTAGGAGAGGCAAAGATAGGAAAAATATTTTTTAAAAATTTTTAAGTATTTTATTTTTATTGGGAAAATATTTATTGTAAGTCTTCCATTTGTTATCCTTCTGCCACTAGCATTACGTAAAAAGTAAAAAGAGCTTTACATCAAAAAGCACAATGAAACTTTGTATCCTTAAGTCCTACTTAGCATTCCACAGTAAGCTGGGAATATGGAAGATGGCTCAAAGGGTTTGGTTTGATTTGATTTTTTTTTCCCTCTTCATTTCTCTTCCCCTTCATTTAAGCTAAGGAAGATTATTTATTTGCTTCTTAGCTCATTGAACTCTCTGACTGGACAAATAGATGTCTTACATTGGTCAGCAGGATCACATTTCATCTCAACTGTGATGATTGTTCCCTTCCCTCCTGTCAGATGGGAGAGTGACTGATGTTTGGAAATGAACTGTGCAACTGACCTTTTCGTGCTGGTGGGCAACAAAGTATGCATTGACGTCAGTGTTGGCCGATCCACATTCAGTTTGTGCAATGGGTCAGCTTCATCTCTATCACTCTCCACCTCTCATTTGTCAGCTTTCATTTCCTCATAATTGTCTTCTTCACTCCTATTATAATTACAAAGGATGTGTAACTCTTCATCGAGGCTGGGTAGCTGAATTCTGCTGGTAATTTTAGAAACAAGGATAAATTTAACCCTAAAGCCATCTGCTGCTCTGTAGGAGGATTTTTTAAATTATAAATTAGACATTATAACACACTGCTGGAGATTAAAAATTGCCTCAGTGGTGTTGATTCCTAGAAATCATTTACTTTTCCTTAGCTTGAAGATTGGTTTTCAATGTTTTGTGTGCTTTTTTCCTGTTTTAAAAAAAAGGACTTAGTTTAACCTAACGATTTTCTTATTTAATCTCCTATTTAAATAAAAAACCTAAAAGTATTTAGCAAGTGTAATCTTTTGCAACAGTAAACATTGACAAACTGTTTAAATCTTATGTATATTTTTCACCGCCTCTGTTTTATTCTGTTTTCTGGCTAGTCAAAAAGTGGTCTGGAGACCAGCAGCATGAGCATCACATCAGAGCTTGTTACAAATGCAGAATCTGAGGCCCATCCCTAAATGTACTGAGTCAGAATCTGCACTTTAGCAGTTTCCCCAGGTGATTTATATACATGTTAGTATTTGATTTATTTCATTATTTCATTCCAACAAACAGAATTCTCCATTTTGTATTTGGTTCCCATTAGACAACAATCATCAGAGTTAGCTTATTTACTCTATGCAAGACCCTCTTATTCCTAAAACATTGTGCCTTTGCTAATGATGTTTGGGCACTGATAATTTATATAATTTAGTGATGACAGTGATAATGGTTTTTGTTAGGACCATATAGGTCAGTCAGTCAACTTTCAAAATACAGAGCAGAAAACAATAGCAGCTCTAGGGCTGTGTTCAGATATATCCTTGGTCTGCTGCGGCTGGTTAATTAAGTAAGAGACAGAGGACTCAGCTTTTGAGGCCTAGTTGATTTTCATGAGAGTCGATAACTGATCTGTAATTAAAGACTCTACCCCTAATCCTCTTCTATAAATATTTCAGGCCATATAGAACCCAGGTGAGAGAATATGAATACAAATTGGAGAAGACTAAGGAATCATGAGGCTAAATGCAATGTGGAATCCCTGAACTGAAAAGGAACATGTGACAAAACTCATGAAATGTTAAGTCTGTAGTTTAATTAATAGTAGTGAATCAGTGTTTTGATAATTGAAGCTTAGTTTTGATAATTATACTGTAGGTATGTAAAATGTTAACATTAGAGGAAGCTGGGTGAAGGGTATGGGGAATTCTGAATTTACTGTTGCAACTCTTCTATAAATCTAAAAGTATTTCAAAATTAAAAGTTTAAAAAAGTCAAAATGAAGCCACGTGGCATGGCATAAATGTTTTGTTTATAATAGCAAGCAGAATGTCTGAGGAACATAGCCATAGTTTTAGGTATTAACCTGCATATCACAATTAGAGAAGACATTAAACTAGAAAGATGTTTGCTTTCTAGCAGGGCTAGGCTGGATCTGAGTCTGGTAGAGAGAGAGACGAATGCCCAAGTGATTGTTTTCATAATGTTTTCCAAAAGTCAGATGATGATGTGGAGTCTTATTATTTTGTGTTGTTGCAAGACTTCTGTGTTTGTACAGTGGTTGACATGTGTATGGAATGCTGATGTTTAATGAAGGAATGAATGAATGTGGTTAGTATGATGAAGCATGAGTATAGTCCATTTCATTTGAATAAATGGCAGTAAGAAATAAATCCTGCATTTTCACATTTCATTCCCCCCCTACTCACCTCCCACTTCACTATATGCATTTAGGCAGAAAGCTGCAGACTGGGTGAAGCAAGTTATCCAGATTCCTGTGAAGAAATTAAAAGGCTCTTATTTTTAAGTGTCTTTTGCTGCCACTTTTTAACCCTGACAATTATTAACTTCTTCAAAAATAACTATTTTTGACATGCCAGTGAGAGACATAAAGGTGGTGGTTAACAATGAAGGCTCGAAGTAGTTAAACTTGGTTTCTATTCCACTGCTGCAACTTAGTAGCTAGCTGTATAACCTCTGGCAAAATACTTAACTTTATACCCTCACTTTCTCCTAAAATAAGGATACTTCATAGAACTAAGAAGAAATTATCTTCAGAGAGTTTAAATCAGCTCCTGTCACATAGTAAAGCACTTTTAAGAGGTGGGAACAACATATTCATCTAGCAGATCTTTATCGAGCAGCTGTTGTCTGCAGATGATATGCTGAGAGCTGGGAGTACAGAATGTTGTCCCCCATTCCCTGCTCCCGAGGAACTTAGTCTGATGGGATAGACAGATAAGTAAAATAATAAATAATAATAGCAATGATAGCTTCTGTTTATTGACTACCTACTATGTTTCAATCGCAATATAATATCTATTTCTATTAATTCAACTACTTCATGAAATGTAAGTGTTGTCCCTATTTTTCAAATGAGGAAACCAAGGCTCTAAGAAGTTAAGTAATTTGTCCAAGATTGCATAGCTAATAGAAAACCCAGGATTTGATCCCCAATCTGCCTAACACCAAAGTCTTCCTTAACCCATTCTTCAGATGATTACAAATACAGTGTTTGGCAGAGGGCAGTGGCTCACACCTGTAATCCCAGCACTTTGGGTGCTGAGGCAGGAGGGTCACTTGAGCCGAGGAGTTTAAGACCAGCCTACACAACATAGTGAGACCTTGTCTCTACCCAAAAAAAGGAAAAGAAAAAAGGAAAAAAAAATTAGCCAGGCATGGTGGCGTGAGTCTATGGTCCCAGCTGCTTGGAAGGCTGAGGCAAAAAGATCACTTGAGCCTGGGAGATGAAGGCTACAATGAGCTGTGATTCACACCACTGCCCTCCAGCCTGGGCAACAGAGCAAGACCAGTCTCAAAAGAATATATAAATATAACATTTGAAGTGCTTTGACAAGGTTATAGAAGACCTCAGCACATGTAATATTGTAACAGCTTAGTGAGCCTGTCTTTCAGTGTTTCTTTTAATATCCCTATAGACCCAAGTTTCTATATTCATATTACCTACAGAAAATAGAAATAACTGCTTAGTACCACTCCTCCTGTAAGCAAACAGGAAGCTTTCTTTGTGCTAGATTTGTAAAGCAGAGGTTGAAACTGGGCTACCACGGGTCCAGAGAAGTGTTCCCAGCTCTTGTTCTCTTGCCTGTGAAGTGTACTATGAGAGCCTAAGGCAATAAAGAGGCCAGGCCACCTTCTTGACAGGCCTCTGTCCCATTCACTCCTTTGAGTTTATTTCACCAGCTGTGGGGAAGTTCAGAATGAAGTGGCTCTATAAGGGCTCCTGGAGACATTAAAACTTACCAATGGGCCAGGTGGTGGCTCACACCTGTAATCCCAGCACTTTGGGAGGCCACAGCGGGTGGATTGCGTCAGCCCAGGAGTTGGAGACCAGCCTGGGAAACATGGCAAATCCCTGTCTCTACTAAAAATACAAAAATTAGCCTGGTGTGGTGGAGCACACCTGTGCTACTCAGGAGGTTGAGGTGCGAGGACTGCAGTGAGCTGAGATCGTGCCATTGCACTCTAGCCTGGGCAACAGAGCAAGACCCTATCTCAAAAAAGAAAAGAAAGAAAGAAAAACAACCTTACCAGTGCTATTTGGAGAGTATCCTCAATTTACAGGCACTAAAACTCATCCTGTGATTATGGTTTAAAGTGCAGCAATTATTGTATGTATTTCAGGATCTCTGAACACACATCCGAGAGCTTCTTGTGCTGCTTTATCCTGTGAGTGAAATTAACATTTGAACATAGTCCTTGACTCATTTAACATCTAGTCCTTGACTCATGAGAACATCTAGTTTTCGACTCATGGGAACATCTAGTCCTTGACTCATTTGAGAGTATAGTTTTTCTAGAAAATTAGAAATATATATATCTGTATGTGTCCATATGAGATATGATGTTCTAGGAGTGGTTAGTCATAGAGGTGGTACTGTGAAGATAAGGCCTTTCTGACAGTCATTTTGGAAAGTGGACTGTGGAGCTGAGCTGAGGTTACATTGTAAAGAGAGAACTTCTCCCTGGCACCACCTTTGCCTCACACTCCTGGATACCAAAGGCAGACCACAGTGTTGTTCACCAGGTTTAGACTGTATCTGAAGCTCTTTCCCCAGATGTACCCTCTTTTCTCTCCTAAACCTTGAAGCTCCCTCTAAACTTTTTCTACCCCTCCTATCTACTTTTTTGGGACCTTTTTCTCTGAAAGGCAACAGTTGGTGGTAATGGTTTCACAGGAGGAGGAGAGCTGACCTTTCACGTCTAGTATGCTCTGGCATTTTACATTCTTATTCTCATTTAATCCTCACAGCATCCTATCTGGGTAGGTGGATTATCACTACATTTATAGATATGGAAAAAATAACTTTCCTAGAGGACTTGAAGCTTGAAAGTGATAAAACTGGTAATTAGCTGTAGTTCTCATAACTTCATAGGTTGTACTCTTCCATGAAGCTGTAATAATGGGGATTGTTACTGTTATTACTGTTACTACTGCTTGCCTCTAGTTTTTATGTTAGCAAGCTAAGAGAATGCTTTGCCTAAGGTGCACATGTATGTATGGTCTCAAGGTATGAATGGAGTGAGCTTATTTTAACACATTGGGCCTTTACAGCAACCTGCTGACTAAGTGTATTTATCATTTTCACTTTACAGATGGGGAAACTAAGGCTCACAAAGACTGATCCAAAGTCACAAATCCAGTCAATCTGTCTGGCAGTAGAGACTTGATCCAGTCTTTCTTGAGCCATCTCTTAAAGCTCACTGTGCATGCAATGCTGTGCTCCAGCTGGGTGGAGAGCCAGTTCCTGTCACTGAGACAGGCTCTTCAGTCAGGAGTATGTAGCAACATAAGACAGCATGAGTATAACTTAACAAGATAATAGGTATTTGTTTCTTCGGTAAGAATATGAGACTATAAAGGCTTAGCAAAAGGGTATGAACTTGCATTTGTAACAATACTTACTAAATTTTTTAATGCATGTTGAAGGCATCTAAGTAGTGTTTCCAGAGTGCATTCTCTGTATCAAAACTGTAGAGTCAGTATGGCTAAGATCATAAGGAGAAGGCCATTAACTGTTTTGAACTATAATGCCACTGCGATCCATAAATTAGTAAATAAGTGATGGTGATAGGTGGCTTGTGGCTGGGCTATGTGGCCATCATATGTTAATGAGCTATTCAGATGGTTATCTGCCTAAAACAGGATATGTGGACCAACACTTAGAGGGTTGTTACTTAGGAAACACTGCACTCAGTTGCCTTCAAGGGTTATATATCTGGGGTAATGGCAGCCAGTCACTCAGTTGTGTTTAGGTGAATGTCTTAGAGCTTTACTCATTTGTTTCTTTCCTTATAGACCATTTAAGATAAAGAGCTCTTTAGCAGTCATCAGGTAATTGAAATTCTAAGATTATCAAATACTAGTTGGGTTGTCCACTTTAAGGCTGATTTTCTTTCACATGATATAAAGTATTTTTCCAGTCTCTCACTTACTCGCTTTGGGAAGAAAACTTGATTCATTTACACATTCATTCAGCAACATTCCTTGAGTACTATTTGCTAGTCATTGTGCTAATGCCAGGGAAACATCACAAGATAAGATGCCATCCCAGTCCTCACAGTAAATAGTAGTGATATTGTTAATATAGCATATTAGAAAATTTATTACAGAGAAATGCAGTATAGTTTGAGAGCATAGATGAAAATAACATTTATTTCCATCCTAATAGATTTCGGTTTTGGAAATTTCTTTAAAAGTGGTGAACTGCTGGCAACATGGTGTGGCAGCCCCCCTTATGCAGCCCCAGAAGTCTTTGAAGGGCAGCAGTATGAAGGACCACAGCTGGACATCTGGGTACTGCTTTGCTTTGCTGTGTTGTTAAATGCATCTATACTGATAATACTTGGTGTTCTGGCCCATCTTAGAAGCTCCTGGTACTTAACACATAAGCAGTATTTCATATTTTCCCCATCCACTGGACTATAATTACTCAGAGCATCTTGAAATGGATCCCTAGGAAAGAATTTCTAAGGATAGGTGTTGTCATCCTAATATCAGCAGTAATTTAAAGTTAAGTAGTAATCAAAATTATCAGATTCAAATTCTTTGGTATTTATTATAAGATACTTATTGTAGTAGTCAGGGTTTTGGATTTTTTTCAAATTCTGAGAAAATAATAAATCCAGACAGGAATTTTTCAGTCCATATGATTTCAAGAGCCCTGGGGATGTTCAGGAAAACAAAGAGTGTTTGACGTTCTTGGTAGAAAAGTCTCTGCATTGTTTTCTTCCCTAGAGTATGGGAGTTGTTCTTTATGTCCTTGTCTGTGGAGCTCTGCCCTTTGATGGACCGACTCTTCCAATTTTGAGGCAGAGGGTTCTGGAAGGAAGATTCCGGATTCCGTATTTCATGTCAGAAGGTAATCAACTTTTCATCTTATTAATGGTGTTTTACAGTGTTAGTGCTCCAAGTGAAATGCCTAGGTAAAAGCTTCTTTTTTTCTAAGAGTTTGGGTGCCAAATAAAGTGACTGAGCTGTAGGTTAAAAGCTATAGAAAGAAGCAACCTCCTTTATGTAGGCGAGACAGGTTCCAGCCTTCTACTTGTAACTAAACACACAGCATTTCCCAGATTAAGAGCAGCATGTCTTCTCATTCATTCTGGGTCTATAAATGTCCCAGGTTTATTTTAGATTTAACGAAGCCCTTTGTAGATACAGATTCACAACCATTTTACTCCAATATGAAATGAACTTTATAAAATTAAAATTTTTTTAATTAAATAAAAAGCCAAACTGGCAAAACTCTGCTAAATTCAGATGATATGCCATAATCCCTGCCTGTCGTGTATTGAGCTGTTACCTAGATAGCAGTTAAGTTTACCCCTTAGTTTCATTTTGGTTATCATTCTTAACTCTGTTCTTTCTACTAAGAGTAGAAATAATAACTCTTCATAGTTAAGAGCATGGACTGTGAAGGCAGACTACCAGACTGCCTGGTTTTAATCCTGAGTCCACTGGTTACTGGCCATATGACTTTCACAAGTTTTGTCTCCTCTCTATCTGCTTCAATTTCCCCATCTATAAAATGGAAATAACAATAGCACCTACCGCACGGGTGTTGTAAGGTTTAATTAAATTAATCTGTCAGTCAGGTGCAGTGGTTTATACCTGTAAGTCCAGTGGTCTGGGAGGCTGAGGCGGGAGGATCTCTTAAGGCCAGGAGTTGGAGACCAGCCTGCACAATATTGCAAGACCCTGTCTCTACAAAAAAGTTTTTTTTCAATTAGCCGGGTGTGGTGGCATGCACCTGTAGTCCTAGCTACTCAGGAAGCTGAGGCAGAAGGATTGCTTACAGTGAGCTGTGATTGCATTACTGCACTCCATCCTGGGCAAGAGACTGAGACCCTGTCTCCAATAATAATATAATAAATAGGCATAATCTGTGTAAAGCACTTAGCACAGCGCCTGCCATATAGTGACAGGAGGTTACCTTATGTGTGAGTGAAGAGCATCATGTCAGCTCAGAGAATATGCTAGTGCTCAAAGTTGCAGCAGTGCGGTTTTCTTGGTGTAGTCAGAAGTAAGTAATATTTTATGTACACTTTTCTCAGCTACAGTGATGTGGAGGAGAGCAGCAGCCCGTTGGAGAGCTCTTTGCCTCGCTTACGTAGCCTTAGTATATCAGCATTAGATATGACTGAGGATCGATTTATTATTTGCTTGTTCTAGGAATGAGGCTTATTTCTTTCCTTTAGTGGAAACCAAAGTCTGTTTCTAGATATTTTCAGTTGTGAAATTCAGTAGAAAGTTTCCTTTAGCCCAGAATCTGATAGACCTACACCCTCCTGTTTTTCTTAGGTATTTGTTCACCATGTGAACTTGAGAAATATAAGTAGCCTGCATGTGTTCATTTATTCATTTGACCTTCTGCTTTCCAGTAGAGGATACAAAGATTAACACCCTTGTACAAAGTCACATGAGTCAAGCAAATAACCCTGAAGTGCAAGGTGATTCTTGTGACTTTTGTAACATTGTGTTTTCTATAGATTGCGAGCACCTTATCCGAAGGATGTTGGTCCTAGACCCATCCAAACGGCTAACCATAGCCCAAATCAAGGAGCATAAATGGATGCTCATAGAAGTTCCTGTCCAGAGACCTGTTCTCTATCCACAAGAGCAAGAAAATGAGCCATCCATCGGGGAGTTTAATGAGCAGGTTCTGCGACTGATGCACAGCCTTGGAATAGATCAGCAGAAAACCATTGAGGTAAAGTGATCAGAGATTTCGGGGTTCTACTGCACTTAGCTACTTGAAATTTCATGCTCACACCTGTCATCCTGGTCTTTTAGCACATGTATCTCCAGCGCCTAGGCGTACTGTTCAGTGTTCCCTATAGATGACATCAGACTCTATTTATATTTGCTTTTATTCAGCATCTTAAATTCCTTTCTTTGCCCCCATCTGCCAAAACATTCAAGAGGAGGCATTTATAAAAGACTCAGAAAAGGCAAAGATGGAAGCTTAACAAATACAAGGTAGAAAGTTTCTTCCAAGATGAAGCATGAAGTTTTACATAGGTATTTAACTAGTTTGTATGGAATGTAAATGTGCAGATAGGCAAAGGGCCAAGCAGGAAACAAGAAGGGTAGGTATCAGGTTTAAGAAAGCCAGGGGATTTAGATTGTGAACTGGAGAAACTAAGAAGGCAAAAACAGGTGGGCTCCTGATTTGGAAGTATTAGGGGTCATAGAACTGTGAAGGGTCATGAACCTGGAAAATTCCTCTTGGCTTTTATTTCTGTCCTCGAATAGTTAGCATACTTATAGGATATACGTATTTCTAATACCTTTACGATAGTAAAAAAGCAAACAGTGCTCTTCAGGAAGAAACATAACAAGAAAGAATATCAAATGCCGCCTTGTTTGCTGTGAAAGACCAAGGCTCCGGGCTGTGCTGCCTTTCCCCCGCCACGTAGCCATAAGTGAAACCAAACTGATTCTCCTGCTTTGCTCACTTTGCGCCCAGTGATGTTTTTCTGTACTTGTCCATGAAGTGCATCCTGAGCAGTAGCTGGGCGTGTGATTCCACTGACCTGTGATTTTTGCTGAGAGTGCTCTGCATCCTGGTGCCCTGCACAGCACCCATGCCGACTGTCAGGTGGAATTAGAACCCAAAGGAGCAGTTGTTTCTCTGTTCCCTCAATATCTGGGAAAGCTGGCAGGCTAGAGATGTGAACATTTGGGAAGCAACTTTATTTTCAAGGTTTTAAGAGGGTGGGACTGCAAAAACAAGAGGAAAAAATTACCTAAGAACGGAGACATAGTGTCTCTCAATTTAGCATCCAGATGCCATTCTCCAGCCCAAAATAATCAACAGAAAGTTCTCCACATACTTTAACCATTCACTTCAGAGTTTTCAGTGGTTCAGATTTGTGTTGAAGCCATGGAATTAGAGCCTCGGGCTCAGGTTGCTAACTGACCTTACACCACCGTTACAGCTATGAGATGGGGCCATATGGCAGCATTGGGGAATGTCTACATGAGACAATGATGGCATTTTCTCTGACTGGAGAAAAATAAATGGATCTTGTTAATGTTAAAGGGCTGGTAAACCCATTTAAAGGGATCATCCTTTATATAATTAATACTAGAGACTTGAAGTTTTCTGCCTTCCAGTCACATTTTTGGAGCAGCTTTCATCTTGAGACACTTTGTTTTTCACCCTATTTTTAAGAGCACACAATTTCTTTCCTCTTTTTTTTTAGGCATGTGTAGATCATTGCATTGGTCTTTACAGTTCTTTGCCTTTACCACTTGTTTTTTATTTCAGTCTTTGCAGAACAAGAGCTATAACCACTTTGCTGCCATTTATTTCTTGTTGGTGGAGCGCCTGAAATCACATCGGAGCAGTTTCCCAGTGGAGCAGAGACTTGATGGCCGCCAGCGTCGGCCTAGCACCATTGCTGAGCAAACAGTTGCCAAGGTAATGCCCCCTTAGCTGAGAGTCTTATCTGTGCATGTGCCTGTTCACATGTTTGATACATTTTTCATCTTATACACAGGGTTAGGATTTCATCCTCTACACTCCGTTTTTCTGTAAAATTTCTGCCTGCCATTCACTAGATTCTCAAATGTTTTAGCACTTCCTCATTTTTAAGGGTTAACTTTATTTCAAACAGTTTTTTAAAATTGTTTTCATCATTCACAATGTTGAGAATTACTATCACTAGCCTTTACATTCAATTCCATTTAACAAATTTTTATTACAGATTTACCACGTGCGAGCTTCTATTCTTAGGCACTGTTGGGGGTAAGATATATAAACTACAGTCACTGCCCTCAGAGACATCGCGCTATAAAAATGAAATAAGACAAGATCATAAACAACCATCATTCAAAATAGGGAAAGATGAGAGCTGTAGCAGAGCAGGGACAGGGGAGAGAGGGGCACATCTGAACAGGGGGAATGGCATGTAAGACACATCTTCACAGATGGGGAGGACTTGGTCAGTGGTGAGTTGAAGCATTATTGTGAAGAGTTTTGAATGCCAAGGTAAAGAGTTTACTTACAATTCAAGAAGCAACAAGGACCTACTGAAGGCTGCTAAGCTGAAAAATGATAAAATTCTATCGATGCTTTAAGCTAATTAATCTGGTAGCATTATGAAGGATGGGTCAGATAGAGAAAAGAAGAAATTTGGAGAGAGCAGTTAGGAGAGTGTTACAGTAGAGATGAGAAATACCGAAGGCTTAAACTCATATGGCACTGTTGGAAGTAGAAAAGAAGGGGCAAGTATAAGAACCATCTTAGAGGTAGACTCTGTATGAAGTTAGCAATGGTTCGGAGAGGCAGCTCAGTGTGGTGGTTAGAAGCAGGGACTCTGGAGCAAATCCCAATTCTGCCACTTCCTGCTATGTGACATTTTAAGTTTCTTAAGGTCTTTTTGTGCCTTGGTTTCCCAAGTGTGTAATGGGGATAATAATAGAATGCTATGACAATTAAATTAGTTAATATCTGTGAAATAGTTAATATTTGTGAAATACTATATGCCTGGCACATAGTAAGTGCTATGTAAGTACTTGTTATATAAAGTAATAAATAATTGCTGGGGAGGAAGGGACAATATGACTTAGAGATGACTCTGTTCTTGAGCCAGAGCCTGAGAAGATAGGGGTGGCATTAACTCAGTTGCTCAGGAGGAAGATGTGGATCTTGATCCAAGGAGAGAGGCTGAGGCTAGAAATTTGGGAATCATCCAGAGGTTGAGATGAATGGTTGGTTAGTATGCTCCATTGACTTTCCTGTCTACTTCTGTAACTGACTTTGTTCAAAACAAAAATAAGGGCAGGAGAGTTTTGACTTTGTATTTCTTTGGCAGTTTTACAAAATTTACAGGATTATAATAAAATTTTGCATTGGCATCTACAGAGTATGTTTTAAAAAAGGGAATTAAATCTTCTTGATTTTAGTAGATAAATGGTATATTTTGTTATACGTACTTTATATATAAAATAAGAGTATTGGCTGGGCGTGGTGGCTCACACCTGTAATCCCAGCACTTTGGGAGGCTGAGGTGGGTGGATCACAAGGTCAGTAGATCAAGATCATCCTGGCCAACATGGTGAAACCCCGTCTCTACTAAAAATACAAAAATTAGCCGAGTGTGGCAGTGAGCACTTGTAGTCCCAGCTACTTGGGAGGCTGAGGCAGGAGAATCGCTTGAACCTGGGAGGCAGAGGTTGAAGTGAGCCGAGATCCCGCCACTGCACTCCAGCCTGGGTGACAGAGCAGGACTCCGTCTCAAAAAAAAAAAAAAAAAAAAAGTATTGATACAGATGTAAGTAAAATAATGTGTCCATATAGTTCCAGACACTTGAGTTAGGGTATCTTTGAGCACTTGGAAATCTTCGAAGTTGAATGGTATTGCTTTCAAGACCGAGAAAGAAGGAGATAAAATGAAAAACATGTAAGACGTAGTGGAACTCTTTCCTTCTTGCAAATGCCACTAGACAAAAGGATAGGAAGCTGGAAAGCCCCCAGGGCCAGCAGGCTTTCCCTGCCAAGTCTCTTTATTCTTCTTAAACATTACGCAAGTGAGGGAGTGGTGAGGGGTTATATAAACAGTTGTTCCTGAGCACGTGCATGTGTTATTGTACACGATATCCTTTCATGTCTAGACTATGAGCAAATTCCCCGGCATATCTCAAATTATATTTAATTTGGCTTAGGGTTCAGATACATAAACGTGACTTCTTATGTTCGATAATTTTTTAAATTACCAAGCACTCTGTGTCCTTTTTACTTTATGCATTGACCCAAGTCTCAATGGAACCTGCTTAGTGTAACTGAAAATGCTTCTACTTCAAATGGAGTCTTCAATGCTCATTCACATGCTTGCCTGAGAGCCTTCTGGATGCTGAGCAACAGGCCCCCTCCTCTCAGAGATTTCACATTTTGAGTTTTAGTGTTGAATTTGTTAAAAAATAGACTTCTGTTTTTATGGATATAAATGTGCCTAAAGTTTTAGTAAAGGCTTCTCACTTTAATTCCTTGATGTTCTAATTTTTTTAAAAGAAGTGGCAAATCACTTGTTTCTTGATATAGTAGCAAAAAAATTGAGGAAACAACATGATCCAGTCAATACAAAGATAACGTGAGCTGTGGAATCATGCAGACCTTGGGTTCCACACACCAAGCTGAGTGACTTCGGGCAAGTCAGCGTCTCTGAGTTCCTGTGCCCTTAAATACAGAGTGGGAACAGCAATACGTACTTCATTAGATTGCTACCAAGATACAGTTAGTTAACCTGTACCGGGAGTTTAGTTAAACAAATAGAGCACTGACATGCCAGGCACAGTCCTAGCCACTGTGGCTTCAGAAGTACCCTGGAAACAGTTGCTCCCCTTAAGAAGTTCATAGCCTAGTTACAAAATACCCATTATGACAGGGCACAGTTGCTCATGCCTGTAATCCCGGCGCTTTGGGAGGCCAAGGCAGGTGGTTTGCTTGAACCCAGGAGTTTGAGACCAGCCTGGGCAACATGGTGAAATGCCATCTCTACTAAAAACAAAAAAATTAGCCGGTTATGGTAGTGCGTGCTTATAATCCCAGCTATGCGGGAGGCTGAGGCAGGAAAATCGCTTGAACCCAGGAGACAGAGGTTGCAGTGAGCCGAGATGACACCACTGCATTCCAGTCTGGGCGACACAGTGAGGTTCTGTCCCAAAAAGTAAAACATAAAAAAAAATAAATAAAGTACTCATTATTATTATTTAGACAACAGTGGGATTCCCCTCTTAGATTTGGAGTGCTTATGTTTGCTGTATAACATGCAGGAAGTATTAGATCTAATTGAGTTGAGACTATTTAGAAAAAATACGTCATATTTTTTTCTCATACATTCTAACCACTAATTTTGGTGGGGTTTTGGGGGAGGTTTTGTTTTTGAGATGGGGTCTCGCTGTGTCACCAAGGCCAGAGGACAGTGGCAATCACAGCTCACTTTAGCCTCAACCTCCTGGGCTCAGGCGATTCTCCCATCTCAGCTTCCCAAGTAGCTGGGACCACAAGTGCATGCCACCACGCCCAGCTAATTATTTTTTTATTTTTTTGTGGAGATAGGGTCTTGCAATGTTGCCTAGGCTGGTCTCAAACTCCTGGGCTCAAGTAATCCTCCTACCGTGACCTCCCAAAGTGTCGGGATTGCAGGACCTGATGAAGGTCACACAATTAGTGAGCCACCACACCTGGCCTAACCACTTGTTTTTAACAGTCCTTCCACTGCAAGTTTCCATCAGCTGGAAACAAACAAGAATGAAACAATCACCTCCAATTCTTTAATTACTGTTTAGAGGTTGCCCTTCACAACAGGTTGTGCCTGTTTGCTAGGGCTGCCGTAACGAAATACCACAGACCTAGTGGCTTAAACAACGGAAATTATTTTCTCACAGTTCGGGAGGCCGGAAATCAGGATGAGGGTGCCATGAGGGTTGCTACCTGGTGAGGCCTATCTTCTTGGCTTGTAGCTGGCTGTCTTTTCACTGGCTTTTTTCTCTGCGCAAGTGTGGAGAGAAAGATCTCTGGTGTCTCTCCCTCCTCTTATAAGGATACCCGCTGTGTGGGATCAGGGCCCCAACCTCAGGACCTCATTTAACCTTAATTACCTTCTTCAAGGCCCTGTCTCCAGATATAGCCACATTAGTGGTGAGGGGCTCAACTTGTGAATTTTGGCAGGACACAATTCAGGTCATAACAAGTATTTGCCTATTGGAATAGCAACGATTTTCCCATAGGAAAGAACGTTATTTTCATTTTAATGGTTCTGGAGAGCACAAAGTCCAAAGAAGAGATTCAAAGCACTAAACATGTGGTCTAAAGAGTGATCACAATTTGTTGGACATAATCATTGCGTATTGACACTCTTAAAGAATATCTTGATAATATCTGCTTCCTTGGGATATTGACCATCTATTTATTTAATATTTGCTAATCAACTGTGTAATGCTGAGCATGCTGTCTGTATATTTATACCCTCTCTTGTTCCAAAAAGACTCCTTTGGTCCCCTCAGTGATCACAAGACTCCTAAAACCCACCATATTTCCTAGGAAGTGATTGTCACAACAAAAAGCGTTATTCCTTGATCCTGTCTGTTATTCCTCTAACCGAGTTCACAGTCAGTTGTAGTAGTCCAGGTCGGATGTGAACACTGTCAAGGACTATGTGCTACGCTTGGTCTGGCACAGCACCGTCTGGCCATTTAAAGCGTCCGAGCTAGTGAGAGTCAGGGACGGAGCAGTGTGTCGTAGTTAGGGCATGGGCATCTCATTTCCATATAGCACCCCCAGTCATGCGTTGCCCTAATAATTCAGACTACCTTCATAGAGAAGGAGCAGTCTAATAAAGTTGGGAAGTAGAAATCAATTCTTCAGTTTTATCCTTTGATTGAAAAGCTATTGATGGGGGTAAGAAGAATGTAGCAAATATACTTTAGTGGGAAGTGTAAATTTTACATATTGACTAGATAAAAATTTTACATAGTAGCTAGATAATTTAAAAGCCTGATATTTGAAAAGAAAAAGTTGTTTAACATCAGAAGTGGCACAGAATATAAGCTTGAGGAATGACAACACAAGGAAAGCTATTTCTTTATCACACTCTGAATGGTATGCAGTTGTTTACTTGTTTGTTTATTTGTTTTGGGGCATCCATACCATTCTGACACTTTGCTAATGCTACTTTATCTTATACAGTATAGCCAGTGATATTAATATTGGAATATACCAAATATAAAGTATGTTGAAAATATATTCAGAGTATATTCAAATATAAAATATATTTCTAACATATCCCCCCATCCTTGAAAATCATCAATCCAAGATTCTAACTAGGAACCGTTAGTATTTGAGAACGAGACTGCATTCATTTTGCAAACTAATTCTTACATTCTTGTGATCATTTGAAGGCTTTAGGAAGAAGGGGAAAGGAGGAATTAATGTTACTGAGTTAAGGACATTGCATGTTACCTTTTACAGTCCTGACTTCACTGTGAAGTTGGCATTGTGCTCTCACAGTTGAAGAAGATAAGTTTCAGAGAGGTTAGGAAACCTGATTAAGGTCACACAATTTGTACGTGATGGAGCCAGGAATCAAACTCAGGTCTTGGTAGAGGAGAAGCTAGAATCTCATACCATTTTGTCCCTTTGATTTGTTTGAGTTTAAAATTCACCATCCTGTATCCCTTGAAATAACTATAGCCGGAAAAATACAGGCTGTCCTTCTGCCTTTCATAGTCTAGTATGATGATTGTTTTCTCAGATGTGGTGCAGTGCCTGTTGTATTCAAAACACATCTAATAAATTATTCTGGTAGTTTTGAAGGGATGGTGATGAAAGGATCATTCAGCAGCTTCATCTTTAAAATCAATTTTTGCCAATTGTCATAAGGAAAAATTCTCTTTTAAATGATTTTTTTTTTTTTTTGAGACGGAGTCTTGCTCTGTTGCCCAGGCTGGAGTGCAGTGGCGGGATCTTGGCTCACTGCAAGCTCCGCCTCCCGGGTTCACACCATTCTCCTGCCTCAGCCTCCCAAGTAGCTGGGACTACAGGCACCCGCCACCACACCCAGCTAATTTTTTTTTGTATTTTTAGTAGAGACGGGGTTTCACCATGTTAGCCAGGATGGTCTCGATCTCCTGATCTCATGATCCGCCTGCCTCGGCCTCCCAAAGTGCTGGGATTACAGGCATGAGCCACCGCGCCTGGCCTTAAATGATTTTTTAAAAGAAGCATTTGTAATGCTTGTTTCCCTAGAGTAGTTAACAAACGAGACGTGAGAACAGACTTCAAACCATCAGGAGCTTTCTATAGTGGGTTGACTTCAAAAACATAGCTTGCAGTAAGCGTAGCTTGCAGTAAGCTTCTCTCCTTCCACTGGGCCAGCAGGCTGAGTCCAGGCTGTGCATCTCCTTGAAGGAAGGAAGATGTTCCTGTCACCCCATGTGACTGCTGCTTCTCTTTCTTCCTCTTCGCATACACCCTTACCAATAAATATTTACCATCTCACCTACACCAAAAAGGCGGGTAGGGCAGGCAGAGACACAGCACTGACTCCAGCGTCCCTTGTGTTGTAGTTACTTGTGGGTGTGTATATATCTGTCCCTGGTTTAATTTTGAGCTCCTAAGATTTTTCTATTCTTTATCTGTCTGGGTATTATATTTAAAGAAAGAGACAAATATGTTTGTTGAATTGAACGAGGAACATTCTTGATTCCTCACAAAAGCTAGCTTTCTCGTCACCTGCGTGAAAGTCAAGCATCCCCTCATGAGGCAGAAATGAAATTCTGTACGACCTCTTTCAGAGTAACCGATTGCTGAGTCTGCTTCAGATCACTGTCTGCACCATGTATATATTTCACTAAATCTTTCTGGAGTTTCCAATAAATAAATATTCATTCTTTAATTGCCACAGGAAGAATTATTTTATTCTTAGAACTTTGTGTATTTATAGAGAAGGTATTCATGTTCCCAAACTGTCTGTTCTTGCCATATTTACAGGCACAGACTGTGGGGCTCCCAGTGACCATGCATTCACCGAACATGAGGCTGCTGCGATCTGCCCTCCTCCCCCAGGCATCCAACGTGGAGGCCTTTTCATTTCCAGCATCTGGCTGTCAGGCGGAAGCTGCATTCATGGAAGAAGAGTGTGTGGACACTCCAAAGGTACGGCTATGTTTGAGAGTCTCAGAACTGGCAGTTTGGCGAGAGATTTCAGTTTGGTCCACAAGTGTTGTACTTTGGCTTTATTGAACTTTATCATTTCGTTAAGTCACTCAGGAGTGATGCTTTTGTGGAGAAAAACCTTAGAACAGTGTCCAGGCTCAACTCTTGTCAGTGTTTATCATTATGACCAGTATGACCATTACGTAATTTGTCAGACCTCGTGGACTTCTGAAAAGTCCTCCCTGTCTTTCTCGCTCACTAATTCCTTCTCTCTTCAAGTTTCCAGATCTCTCACAAGTGTTTGGTTTGTTTGTTTGTTTGTTTTTTCCCTAACAAATTAATGCTGAAAACAAAAAAATTAACTTTCATGCCAAATTGGGCTTTATTTGATTACTATTGCTGCTCTTCTGCATAGGTACCTCAGGTACAAAATGATGGGCCGTCTTTTGTGATCAGTTATACATGTGTTTTTGTCCAATTTGGAAATGTTTAAAAGTTAATGTGCTGGGCCAGGCACAGTGGCTCAAGCCTGTAATCCCAGCACTTTGGGAGGCCGAGGCGGGCAGATTGCCTGAGCTCAGGAGTTCCAGACCACCTTGGGCAACATGGTGAAACTCCATCTCTACTAAAATACAAAAAATTAGCCAGGCGTGGTGGTACACACCTGTAATCTGAGCTACTCAGGAGGCTGAGGCACGAGAATGTCTTGAGCCCAGGGGGCCGAGGTGGCAGTGAGCCGAGATCACAGCACCACACTCCAGCCTGGGTGACAGAGTGAGACTCCATCTCAAAAAATTAATAAATTAATAAAAATAAAAGTTAGTATGTGGAATGAAGTTGGCATTTAGGATACAGAAGATGACAGCTTCTCTCATTCATAGATGTCTCTTTAACTTCCAATGTGTATTATATATACTTAGCATAAGCGATGTATAGAAGATCATAATAATGGGTAGTAGAGTGTCATAGAAAACACAGGTCTTGGAGCGTGTTCAAAATAGACCTCCTCTTAGTGTGAACTTGGGCCACGTAACAAAACTCTTTGAACCTCAGTTTTCTCTTATATAAAAGGAGAACACCAACTTTATGAGACTATTATGAGGATTAATTGAGATAATGTGTGTGAGGTTTGGGACAGATTATAGATAATAAATAATGGTTTCCTGTCTTTTTAGCCTCTTTAGATAATAAAAAGATGAGTGAGACATGAACTCTGCCTCTCCAGAGTCCACTATAGCCTAGCAGAAGAAACATTATACATACTGAAAGACAGCGCCAGGTGCTGAATAAATTGATAAAAGATAAAATATGGGCCGGGCATGGTGGCTTACGCCTGTAATCGCAGCACTTTGGGAGGCCAAGGCGGACAGATCATGACGTCAGGAGTTCAAGACCAGCGTGGCCAACATGGCGAAACTCCGTCTCTACTAAAAATACAAAAATTAGCTTGGGGAGGTTGCGGGCGCCTGTAATCCCAGCTACTCGGGAGGCTGAGGCAAGAGAATTGCTTGAACCCAGGAAGTGGAGGTTGCAGTGAGCCGAGATCGTGCCATTGCATGCCAGCCCAGGCGACAGTGCAAGACTGCATCTCAAAAAAAAAATAAATAAAATATGATCAGTCCTTTAAGGAAGTATAAATCAGAACGAGGCAGGGGAAGTTGCTTTTAGCTGTTTGATCAGGAAAGTCCGGTTTAACTGTCAGAACTGAGGATTGAAAGACGGGTAGACCCAGGACAGGTGGCTGGAAACCGGGGGTGAGGAGTGATGTCTACAGTGGAGACAAGACTGAAAAAGCAAGTACTAGGGAAGCCTAAGTCCATCTCCATAGAGAAGGGTTCAGATGGTCTGAGGAAAAGGGCACATGCAGGGAAGCTGTGTGAAATAAAGATGGAGGAGGTTAGCATTAAATGGCAAGCCAAGAAATTTAGATGTTTTCCCTAAGCGAGTGCTTTCAATATGGGGATAGGGTTTGGTATCAGTTGAAACAACTGAAGGAACAGTTGTTAGGGGAGTAGGAAACTGCTGAAGATATTTGAGCAAGGAAGCTCTGGGATCCATGTTGCACATCAGAAAGTTAGCCTGCATATCACTGTGTGTGCCCCGGTGCAGGGGAGAAACTGGTGACCAGGAAGACAGGTTAGAGCACGTGTCCAGGAGGGAGGTGATGAGGCCTGAACTAGAATAGTGGCAGATAGAGATGGTGCAGATAAAATTGATAGACTATTAAGGTCTAGGGAGAAGTCCAAACCAGTAACAAGATTTTGAGCCTAGATGGAGGGTGAGAGCCATTTTCAGAAATGGAGAACTAAAGGCAGGGCAGATTCAAGAAGGCCGACCATGAGTTCAGCCAAGCGTAGCCCACAACAGGCAGCTCAGTGCGAGGCTGCCACAAGCCAGTGTTGACCGAAAGGATTTAGTGTCTGGGCCCCTAAGGATGAGTCCACTGCCTAGGGACAGTCTTTCTTCTCTGTCTGTGGTTGCTACTACAGTCCCACTCAGAAAGTTAGACATAAATTAAGGCAGCATCATTCATTTATTTTAAAGATGTAATTCCCTCAAAAGAATTAAAATGCAGTTGACTAAAGGCTTGTCTGTGAGGGCATCAGGCCTAAAACACAGATTGGGCACTGACTGCTGTATTATATAGGGCAAGCTATTTTTAAAGCTTGTGATTGTTACTGTAACCAGAAAACAGGCAGGAAATGAATGATTTTGCAAAAGATATAGACAGGAGCTAGATGGTATATTTGCATTTGTAGGAAGAGCAGTGCCACGCTGGAGCTGGTCACCCACACTGGCAATGCCATGCTGGCACTCAGTCAGGCCATAGACATCCTCCGGGCTTCTTTGTGGACCGTTTTATTTATGTCAGCAAAAACGCTTGTCCCTCTTCCCTCCCTAAGACCTCTTTCTTGGGGCCCATAAATAAGTGCACACACACACACAGAAAAACTTATCAGAGACACAGTTCCCTTTTTATTGAGACTGCCTCATGTGCATTTACTGTAACACCCATTTGTTGTTTTCTGATTGATGCTTCATTGCTGCATGTATTGATACTTGCATTTCTCCTCTCAACTGGGGACAGGTATTGTGCATCTCAAAGAGACTTCAGCTCTCCTTCCCTCCCAGAAATCTTCAGTGCTTAAAATTGTCAGTAAAATCCCTTGGGGAGTCTGAATGGAAACTTTGGTTTGCAGTTTCAAAAAAATATTGCCTTTCTGAGATAGTTGCCCAACTCTAGATAAGAATGGTTGGATCAGGTGTTCCAAACAGGAACTGAGATCCACAGATGACATGGGGGCCATATGGGAGGGCAGATGCATAAACCTTGTAGAATAAATCTACTTCAAGTATCTCTTTTTAATAAGGAATTTTATATACATACATATACACGCACACTTGAGTCATTTTTAGCTTTTTTTTTTTTTTTTTTTTTTTTTGAGATGGAGTATCACTCTTGTCACCCAGGCTGGAGTGCAGTGACACGATCTCAGCTCATTGCAACCTCCGCCCCCCGGGTTCAAGCGATTCTCCTGCCTCAGACTCCTGAGTAGCTGGGAGTACAGGCGCCTGCCACCACACCCAGCTAAGTTCTGTACTTTTAGTAGAGATGGGGTTTTGCCATGTTGGCCAGGCTGGTCTCGAACTCCTGTCCTCAGGTGATCTGCCCGCCTTGGCCTCCCAAAGTACTGGGATTACAGGCATGAGCCACCATGCCCAGCCCATTTTTAGCATTTTTATTTGAAATGTAATAAAAGGATTTTCCGAATTACCCCCTTCATAGCTGGATAGCAGAAGGGAACTGTGAGGGTAGACCCTGAAAATGCAGACACAGTGGAGGTGTTTCGTGTCTACTTACATTTTTAATAACTTTTTTTATGACAAAGGTAGTACACACAAGGTCTGAAAAGGATATACATCTGGCCAGGTGCGGTGGCTTACACCTGTAATCCAGCACTTTGGGAGGCTGGGTGGATCACCTGAGGTCAGGAGTTCAAGAACAGCCTGGCCAACATGGCAAAACCCCAACTCTACTAAAAATACAAAAATTAGCCAGGCATGGTGGTGCGTGCCTGTAATCCCAGCTACTGAGGAGGCTGAGGCAGGAGAATTGCTTGAACCTGGGAGATGGAGGTTGCAGTGAGCCCAGATTGCACCACTGCGCTCCAGCCTGGGCGACAGAGTGAGACTCTGTCTCACCAAAAAAAGAAAAAAGAAGAAGAAAAATCAGATCAATGAAAAATCAAGTCATTGTTTTCTAGCTGTCCCAGGATAAAATCGAACTCAGCAAATATTTTGTAATAAAAGACATAATTCCTCTTGTAGTCTAGATGAGAAAATAAATGTATAAACTGACAATTTAAGTAAAACCGTAAATTCAGGGGTACTGCCGGGTATTTTGTGTGACTCAGTAAAAATATTAAGGATAAAAAAAGAACCTGCATGAAAAGAAACACTGAACAGACAACCCACAGAATGAGAGAACATTTTTGCAATCTATCCATCTGACAAAGGTCTAATATCCAGCCCATAAGGAACTTAAACAAATTTACAAGAAAAATCCCCATTAAAAAGTGGGCAAAGGACAAGAACAGACACTTCTGAAAAGAAGACCTCATACAGCCAACAAACATATGAAAAAAAGCTCAACAGCGGCCGGGTGTGGTGGCTCACGCCCGTAATCCCAGCACTTTGGGAGGCTGAGGCAGGCGGATCACGAGGTCAGGAGATCGAGACCATCCTGGCTAACATGGTGAAACCCCATCTCTACTAAAAATGCAAGAAAAATTAGCCGGGCGTGGTGATGGGCGCCTGTAGTCCCAGCTACTCGGGAGGCTGAGGCAGGAGAATGGCGTGAACCTGGGAGGCAGAGCTTGCAGTGAGCTGAGATCTCACCACTGCACTCCAGAGCCTGGGCGACAGAGCGAGACTCCGTCTCAAAAAAAAAAAAAAAAAAAAAAAAAAGCTCAACATGACTGATCATTAGAGAAATGCAAATCAAAACCACAATGAGATACTATCTCATGCCAGTCAGAATGGCAATTATTAAAAAGTCAACAACAACAGATACTGGCCTGGTTGCAGAGAGAAAGGAACACTTTTACACTGTTAGTGGGAGTGTAAATTAGTTCAACCATTGTGGAAGACAGTGTGGCAATTCCTCAAGGATCTAGAGGCAGAAATACCATTTGACCCAGCAATCCCATTACTGGGTATATACCCAAAGGAATGTAAATCATTCTATTATAAAGATACATGCATGAGTCTGCTCGTTGCAGCTCTATTCACAACAGCAAAGACATGGAATCAACCCAAATGCCCATCAGTGATAGACTGGATAAAGAAAATGTGGTACATATACACCATGGAATACCATGCATACATAGAAAGGAATGAGATCATGTCCTTTGCAGGGACATGAATGGAGCTGGAAGCCATTATCCTCAGCTGAACAGAAAACCAAACACCACATGTTCTCACGTATAAGTAGGAGTTGAATG